>NC_000010.11:32748541-33052823 GCF_000001405.40 Homo sapiens | reverse complement strand
AAATTCAGTTCTGAATTATGCTTCACTAGCAAAACGCTCTGTATTATATTCATAGAAGAAGACTGTGTGATCTCCCAACCTCAGCTCAGATGGAAAGAACACTTCTGTGCGGCTGCTCACCCTAACCTGATCACATTTCCAGACGCCACCCCAGCAAATTAAGCGGATGCTAAAATCACTTAGAAGCGTGTCTAATGCACAGGATAAACATGAGCTACTGGAAAGAGGTATAGGATCAGTAACACAAAAGAAAAAAGGAAAGAAAGCATAGCCCATTTGGAACAGAGGGAAGAAATCACATACCACTTGACAAGGAAAATTGCTGCATTTCACCAAGGCAGGTGCACCAGGCATGTTTGTATATTAAATCATTACCAGGAATTAAAGAGCCCATGTAAGAAGGCAATGTTACAAATCGATTCACACTCTATTTATAATTCTTTAACAATGTTTGAGTTCTGCAGTCAGAAAAATAGATCATGGGAATGGTTTGCTGAAAAAAATTAAACACACAGTATTTATTTCTCTCTGCTGAATGAAGTGCTGTAACCACCATTTATATTTTTTCCAATGCCATAAAAATGTCTTTATTGTTATGCACAACACTATATAAAACATGGTGCAAAGAGGATTCTTGCTTACTCAGGCTTGAGAGTAGAGGAAACAGCCAAAGGAATGGAAATCAGGGCTCCTAGAAACCACATTCTCAGGCCCCATCCAAGAGTCTGAGAGGGAAGACCAAGGTAGTCAGCCTAACAGCCTTCAACCTCACCCTGAAACTGGGAGCAGTTTCCCTTGAAACTGGGAAAGAGAGAAATGTTTCAGTTGTCCTTAGAGTTCGTTTCCGGAGAGCCAGGCCTGAGTCTTGCAAATGGAAGTGAGAAGGAAAGTGACAGAAATCAAAATATCTCACCACAAAATCGGTTCCCTGGCATCATGAGTATTTTATACTAAAAATCCATAGAGACCGTCAAGTGCTGGAAGAGACTTTTGCCTTATCTACATAAAGATGGGATTGGCTGGGTGCGCTAGCTCATGCCTGTAATTACACACTTTGGGAAGACAAGGCAAGAAGATCACTTGAACCCAGAGGTTCAAGACCAGCCTGGGCAACATGACAGGGAAAAGAAAGAGAGAGATAGGACTGACCCACCAACGAGAACAATTGTTCTTGTTCTCCTTCTTGTTAATGCATTATCCATTACAGGAAAGAAGACCATTTTTCAAGACAATGACTGTCTCAAATGATCATTTAAATTCCAAAAAGAACATTTGCAAGTTAATATCTGTTTCTCCCCACTTCCAATAGCCAAAGCAATCTTAGGCAAAAAGAACAAAGCCAGAGGAATAAGGATATAGTAACCAAAACAGCATGGTACTGATATGAAAGTAAGACACCTAGACCAATGAAACACAATAAAGAACCCAGAATTAGAGCCAAATACCTGGAAGCCACCAATCTTCAACAAAGCAGATGAAAACATACACTGGGGAAAGGACACCCTATACAATAAATGGTGCTGGGAAAATTGGATAACCACAGGTAGAACAATGAAACTGGATCTCTATCGCTCACCATATATAAAAATTAACTTGAGATGAATTAAAGACTTTAAGACCTGAAACCACAAAAATCCTAGAAGATAAAGTAGGGAAAACTCTTCTGGACATCGTCCTAAGCTAAAAATGTATGACCAAGATCCCGAAAGCAAATGCAACAAAAAGAAAATTAGTGGGACCTAATTAAATTAAGCTTCTGCACAGCAAAAGAAATAATCAGCAGAGTAAATAGACATCCCACAGAATGGGAGAAAATATTTACAAACTATACACGCAACAAAGGACTAATATTCAGAATCTACAAGCAACTCAAACAAATCAGCAAGATAAAAAAAATCCTATTAAAAAGTTGTCAAATGACATGAACAGACATTTCCCAAAAGACACACAAATGGCCAAAAAACATGAAAAGGTGTTCAACATCACTAATCATCAGGGAAATGCAAATTAAAGCCACAATGAGATACCACCTTAACCCAGCCAGAATGGCCATTATCAAAAAGTCAAAAAACAATAGATGTTGGTGCAGATGCAGGGAAAAGGAAACACTTAGACACTGTTGGGGTTGCTACAACTGTGTCCGGAATTGGTGGGTTCTTGGTCTCACTGACTTCAAGAATGAAGCTGCGGACTCTCGCGGTGAGTGTTACAGTTCTTAAGGTGGCGCGCCTGGAGTCTGTCTCTTCTGATGTTCAGATGTGTTTGGAGTTTTTCTTCTGGTGGGTTCGTGGTCTCGCTGGCTCAGGAGTGAAGCCGCGGACCTTCGCAGTGAGCGTTACAGCTCTTAAGGTAGCGCGTCTGGAGTTGTTCTTTCCTCCCTGTGGGCTCGTGGTCTCGCTGAGCTCAGGAGTGAAGCTGCAGATCTTCGCGGTGAGTGTTACAGCTCTTAAGGTGGTGCGTCTGGAGTTGCTCGTTTCTCCTGGTGGGCTCGTGGTCTCGCTGGCTTCAGGAGTGAAGCTGCAGACTTTCGTGGTGAGTGTTACAGCTCATAAAAGCAGCGTGGACCCAAAGATTGAGTAGTAGCAAGATTTATTGCAAAAAGCGAAACAACAAAGCTCCCACAGTGTGGAAGGGGACCCGAGCGAGTTGCCAATGCTGGCTCCCGCAGCCTGCTTTTATTTTATCTGGCCCCACCCACATCCTGCTGATTGGTAGAGCCCAGTGGCCTGTTTTGTCCGGGCGCTGATTGGTGCGTTTACAATCCCTGAGCTAGATACAAAGGTTCTCCACGTCCCTATCGGATTAGTTAGATACAGAGTTTCCACACACAGGTTTTCCAAGGCCCCACCAGAGCAGCTAGATACAGAGTGTTGATTGGTGCACTAACAAACCTTGAGCTAAACACAGGGTGCTGATTGGTGTGTTTACAAACCTTGAGCTACATACAGAGTGCCGACTGGTGTATTTACAATCCTTGAGCTAGACATAAAGGTTCTCCACGTCCTCACCAGAGCAGCTAGATACAGAGTGTCAATTGGTGCACTCACAAACCTTGAGCTAAACACAGGGTGCTGATTGGTGTATTTACAATCCCTGAGCTAGATATAACGACTCTCCACGTCCCCACCAGACTCAGGAGCCCAGCTGGCTTCACCTAGCGGATCCCGCACCGGGGCTGCAGGTGGAGCTGCCTGCCAGTCCTGCGCCCTGTGCTCGCATTCCTCAGCCCTTGGGTGGTCGATGGGACTGGGCGCCCTGGAGCAGGTGGTGGCGCTCGTCGGGGAGGCTCGGGCCGCACAGGAGCCCACGGAGGGGGTGGGAGGCTCAGGCATGGTGGGCTGCAGGTCCCGAGCCCTGCCCCGCGGGAAGGCAGCCAAGGCCCGGCGAGAAATCGAGCGCAGCGCCGGTGGGCCGGCACTGCTGGGGGACCCAGTACACCCTCCGCAGCCACTGGCCCGGGTGCTAAGTCCCCCATTGCCCGGGGCCAGCAGGGCTGGCTGGCTGCTCCGAGTGCGGGGCCCACCAAGCCCACGCCCACCCGGAACTCCAGCTGGCCCGCAAGTGCCGCACACAGCTCCGGTTCCCGCTCTTGTCTCTCCCGCCACACCTCCCTGCAAGCTGAGGGAGTGGGCTCCGGCCTTGGCCAGCCCAGAAAGGGGCTCCCACAGTGCAGTGGGGGACTGAAGGGCTCCTCAAATGCCACCAAAATGGGAGCCCAGGCAGGGGAGGTGCTGAGAGCAAGCGAGGGCTCTGAGGACTGCCAGCACGCTGTCACCTCTCACAACCTTTATGGAAAACAGTTTGGAAATTTCTCAAAGAACTCAAAATAGATCTACCATTCGATCCAGCAATCCACTACTGGGTATCTACCCAAAAGAAAATTAGTCATGATACAAGAAAGACACCTGAATGCATGTTCATCACAGCACAATTCACAATTGCAAAGATATGGAGTCAACCTAAGTGCCCGTCAACTGATAAGTGGATAAAGAGTATGTGTGAGAGACAGAGAGAGAGAGAGAGATTTATATATATATATACACACACACACATATATCACATACACAGATTGTGATATACATATATCACAATCTCTCCATATATATATATACACACACATATATCACATACACAGATTGTGATATACATATATCACAATCTCTCCATATACACACACACACACACACACACACACACACAGACACACACCATGGAACAGTACTCAGCCATAAAAAAAATAAATAATGCTTTTTGCAGCAACTTAAATGGAACCAGAGGCCACTATCCTAAGTGAAGTAACTCAGGAATGGAAAACCAAATACTGCATATTCTCACTTTAAGAGGGAGCTAAACTATGGGTACACAAATGACACAGGAGGCGGGGCAGAGAAGTGCTGGGAGAAGAAGGGTGGGGTCCCTGATGAGGGCTCCACCCCTAGGCCTGTGCGCACACACCTAGGTGAGGACAGGCATTTCTGTTTTCATGCCAAAATGTTGCATTTCCCAAGACCACCCTGGCCCGCCACACCTCCATCCTGTGCCTATAAAAACCCCAAGTCCCTGTTGGGAAGAATACACAAGCAGCCGGACATCGAGAGGAACACAGTGGCAGAACAGCACACCGACAGGTACCAGCAGACTCCAGCAGGCCATGGACTGGCAGAACGACACACAGGAATGGCTCACAAAAGGATGGAGGTGCCATTCCTGTGTGTCTGCAAACCCCTCCCCACCACTCAGAAAACTGGAAGCTGAACTACTGGCTCTGGCTCTCATCACCTTTGGAGGACCCCACAGAAATTCCTGTTCTTTAGCAAAGGGTTCACCTGAGACAGATGTCTCTATAATGTCACAGACAAAACATCTTCATTTTCTTCCCACAGCTTTGGGAGACTTGTTAGAGCTCTATATACCATGAGGCTAGAGCTAAGTTTTCTCACCACTTATGGAGAGAGTGAAAGAATCTCTGCAGTGGTAAGTCATCCCCACCTTGAGGAAAGGCATGGATACTGAAGGAAACCAAAATACTTCACTCCAAAGCCTACTTCTTTGACATATTTCAAGATGGCAATTCAGAAGGGCTGGAAATAGAAGAGTAGCTAAGAAGCTGTCTTTTGCGGGGAGCTTTGCCTCTATAGAGAAAATCTGATTCATGCAGCCATGCATTCTCTGAGGCCCACCCTTGTCCGGATCTAGGAAAGATGAACTGAGAGTCTGACATCTCTAAAGATCTAAAAGAAACATATACCATTTCTTCTCTCTGAGGGCTGCTACCCCTTGAGGTTTCATCTACATAACAAGGCCACCTTTGCTAGCCATCCACCCTCTTCTCTCCCTTCCATAACTTGTCTTGCCACCGTCACATGATTTACGACCATAACCTGTTTGTGGCCATGCTCTGAGCCCACATTCTTTGCGTAACCTCATAGCTAATGCATGCGGGGCTTAGTACCCAGGTGATGGGTTGATAGGTGCCACAAACCACCATGGCACACGTTTACATATGGAACAAACCTGCATTCCTGCACATGTATCCCAGAACTTAAAATTAAATTAAATTTAAAAAAAGAGGGAGAAAAGCTTCTGAGCCTCACTGAGGGGATGGGGTCATCTGTGTTGTCCCCCATGCATATTATTAATAATAAATTTGCACGCCTTCTTTCTTATTAACCTGCCTTTTGTCAGTTGGTTTTTCAGTAAAACTTCCAGAAGGCAAAGAGAAAATTTTCCCTTGGCCTCTATAACACCAGCTAACCAGAAGTAGGCTTTGGGGAAAGCGTGTGCTTTGAGTCACCCAGAACCATCAGTGACACTTTCATTACCCTTACCCAGGCCTCTGCAGCATGTGACACTGGGTACCTACCACAGCCATGCGATTTCCTCAGTGCTGGGTGAACCTAAGGGAGGAAGACTTAACCTCTGCCCTCCAGGAGCACACAGATCTTTATTATTTTTTTAATTTATTTTAATTTATTTATTTATTTTGAGACGGAGTCTTGTGGTCACCCAGGCTGCAGTGCAGTGGCACAATCTTGGGTCACTGCACCTCTGCCTCCCGGGTTCAAGCTATTCTCCTTCCTCAGCCTCCCAAGTAGCTAGGACTACAAGGTGTGCACCACCATGCCTGGCTAAATTTTGTATTTTAGTGGAGACAGGGTTTTGCCTTTTTCTTTTCCTTTCCTTTTTTTTTTTTTTGAGACGGAGTCCTGCTCTGTTGCCCAGGCTGGAGTGCAGTGGCACGATCTCGGCTCACTGTAGCCACTGCTTCCCAGGTTCAAGCAATTCTCCTGCCTCAGCCTCCCGAGTAGCTGGGACTACAGACGCACGCCACCACACCCAGCTATTTTTTTTTTAAATATTTTTAGTAGAGACGGGGTTTCACCATGTTGGCCAAGCTGATCTTGATCTCCTGACCTCGTGATTTGTCCGCCTCAGCCTCCCAAAGTGCTGGGATTACAGGCCTGAGCCACTGCGCCTGGCCGGGTTTTGCCATTTTGCCCAGCTGGTCTCAAACTCCTGACCTCAAGTGATCCACCCACCTTGGCCTCTCAAAGTGTTGGGATTACAGGCGTAAACCACTGTGCCTGGCCCAGGAGCTCACAGATTGCAAAATAAGTGGAAAGCATTGTGAAATTAAGTAATCTGAATTTAAAGCTGTTGGATGTTAGGATTTTTTTTTTCTTTTTTTTTTTTTTTTTTTGAGACAGGGTCTCGCTCTATCACCCCGACTGGAGTGCAGTGGCGCCATCTCAGCTCACTGCAACATCTGCCTCCTGGGTTCAAGCGATTCTCCCACCTCAGCTCCCTGAGTAGCTGGGATTACAGGCATGCATCATCACGCCTGGCCAATTTTTTGTATTTTTAGTAGAGACGTAGTTTTGCCATGTTGGTCATTTCGCTATGTTGGTCTCGAACTTCTGGCCTCAAGTGATCCACCTGCCTCAGCCTCTCAAAGTGCTGGGATTACAGGCATGAGCCACCATGCCTGGCCAAGCTGTTGGTACGTTAGAGTATTCTGAGCCTTGAATGAAATGTTGCTATTCACCCTGAGCCACACAGCACATAGTGAACTTCTGCCTTTTTTTTTTCTTTCTGTAAATAATTAAGACTTATTGGTAAGAATAACAAGTGGCTCCAGAGATAAGACCCACTCAGATCTTTACCTCTAGTCAGGTAGTAATAAAATAATTTTCCTTGGAATGTAGCAATCTGTAACCAATCAAATCGCTGTAACCCATGCACTAGTCTTGGGTAGAAAATGCTGTAATCCTGCTAATACTTCCCTGTGTCTGCCTGTATAAGTGAAACTTGAACTGCTTCACTTTGGAATATGGGCCCCATTCATTTAGAATCTGTGTTTTCCAGGTGGCTATCCTTAAGCTTTATGCTCAAATAAATTCCATATTTAATCATATTTTAAAATCTTATTATTTAAGGTTGACAGCATAATGCCAGTATTATCAGTGGCTAATATGGGGAAAAACTGATAATATGGGAAATTATCAGTGTCTAATAAAGGAAGAATCCCAAACCAGGAAGAGGGCGTAGCAAGTCAGGACTTCTCAAGGACAAGGGTAGTACTCGAATGCCTATCACAGTGCCCTGCATAGAATAGGAACCTACGAGGCTGGGCGTGGGGGCTCACACCTGTAATCCCAACTACTCGGGAGGCTGAGGCAGGAGAATCGCTTGAACCCGGGAGGTGGAGGTTGCAGTGAGCCAAGACAGGGCCACTGCACTCCAGCCTGGGTGACAGAGCGAGACTCTGTCTCAAAAGAAAAAATAAAAAAGAATAGGCACCTACTGTTTGCACCAAACTGCACTGAATATGCACTAAACTGACTGGGAATCTTCCCTCTGCCCAATGAATACCTCCTTTTTGCCAGCACTACCCATCTCCCCTCCATACCCTGTCTTCCAGCAATGCCCCTAACAATACAAAAGGTCTGTTTTGCAGAAGGTATTAATATTACTGGAATGTGGGTTTAGATTATCTAGGTTTAAATTCTATCTCAACCACTACCTTGCCTTGTGAACTCAGACAGGCAATTTATCTTTTCTCATCAGCAAAACAAGGGGACTGTTCTAGGATCTCTGAGTTTCTTCCAACTTTGAAACTCTACGCTTCTAAGTTTCAATGTAAAAAATAATCATTTCCAGGACTGCTAAGAAGATTTTTAAAAAGCAATGAATACACATATGCCTTATTAATCATTATCCAAGTGCTATGGATGCGTAGTCCACAACCTAACAGAAAGGATAGGAAGGGTGATCAGTTCTCCTTTGAGTATTCTGCCGGGTGTTCTACACTTAAGAACCTCTAGTCAATTTTATTTGAGTTCAATCGCATATTTCTTAAGGTCCAGGTATGTCTGCATATATTATAATTTTCATAGACACACACAGTTAGGAACTTTGCATTAGGTACTTGGCAGGATTTTCCTCCAAATACTCTTTTATGCCATAAATTAATTCTCCAGGTCGTCCTCTATAACTGCCTTGAAGATGAGTCTACCTTTGGAGGTTTCAGTGGCTAAACTGAAAGGGCTCCAATGTGTTCTGACTTCCAAGCCTTAACAAACACTGCACAAACAGGTCTACATGTATGCCCATTTTTCATCTTTCTTTATCTGAATTATGACATAATTCATAAAGATATTTAGAAATAGCTGGATGTTTAACTTTATGTAGACAATCATTGTTAGCTGAATTTTTCACAGTGCTTTTGCAAATGTCTACCAACCTCTTTCAGACTAAGCCCCACAGAGACAGTATGCACCATTTCCAGGCCAAGCCTTTTAAGTAGTCCTCGAACAGTTGACTTTTTTTCCCTAATGTCTAATTCTGAGATATGATTAGTGTTGCTATTACAAATAGTATCTTATTTCCTACTACAAGCTTGTTGGTTATTGCTGGAATAGTACAATACTACACACACAGCTTCTATTCAGAACCTGGCTGAATTCTCTTCTAGTTAAAGTTTACTCATTGATTAATTGAGTAGAAAGTGAATAGCTAAGAGCTCAAATAGTTGAGCTAGACTTCCTGGGTTCTAATCCCAGTTCCAACATTTTAGTTTTGGAAAATATTTGTCGATACGCCTTCAAATATTTCAAACCCTCCATTTGTTTTTTCACTATTTTGGGGTCTCTTTTTATATGTGTGTTGATGCTTTTGTTTCTGCCTCCCTGTAGTTTAGTCTCTCAATCTTTCTTTGCATGCCTTCCTAATGTTTTCTTTAAAAAAAAAAAAAATAGGCCAGGTGCGGTGGCTCACGCCTGTAATCCTAGCACTTTGGGAAGCCGATGAGGGTGGATCACGAGGTCAGGAGATCGAGACCATCCTGGCTAACACGGTGAAACCCTGTCTCTACTAAAAACACAAAAAATTAGCCGGGTGTGGTGGCGGGCGCCTGTAGTCCCAGCTACTCAGGAGGCTGAGGCAGGAGAATGGCGTGAACCCGGGAGGCAGAGCTTGCAGTGAGCCGAGATTGTGCCACTGCACTCCAGCCTGGGCGACAGAACAAGACTCCATCTTAAAAAAAAAAAATTATATATATATATATATATATATATAGAGAGAGAGAGAGAGAGAGAGAGAGAGAGAGAGAGAAGGGATCTCACTATGCCCAGGCTGGTCTCGAATTCCTGGGACCAAGCGATCCACCCACCTCGTCTTCCCAAAATGCTGGTATTACAGAAATGCACCACTATGCCCAGCCACTTTTGTAATTTCCTGACCCAGTCTTTCATCTTATGTATTCTTCAGCTTTATCAATTTCATTATGCAATCATCCATTAAATAATAAAACTTTCATTTCAATAATTATATTTTTAAAGTTGATATTTCAAAATGCTTCTTTATACCTGTTTGTTTCTGTGGCATTTTAAAAAATAGTCTCTTTTATTTCTCTGGTGATATTAATTGTATTTATTTTGCCTTCTCAATCTGTTTTACTTTTGATTTTACTTCCTCCAGGAGAGTTCTGCCAGTTTGCTGCCTTTCATTATATTTACACTCCTCAGATGCCTGGGAATTTCCCTTATGTGTTTGCTGGGCTTTGTTTGTTTGTTTGTTTGTTTTGAGGCAGGATCTTGCTCTGTTGCCTGGGCTGGAGTGCAGTGGCACAATCACACTCAATGCAGCCTCAATCTCCTGGGCTCAGGTGATACTCCTGCCTCAGCCTCCTGACTAGCTGGGACTACAGACGCACAACATCATAGCCGGATAATTTTCTAATTTTTTTCTTTTCCAGGCTGGTCTCCCTTGGCCTACGAAAGTGCTAGGATGATAGGCATGAGCCATCGCACCCAGCCATCTTTGCTTTTTATTCTTGTAGGACAACAGTTGCTTTTGCTAGTAATGTCTATCTGAAGAGGTGGATGAAAACCTAGGATCTAGTTTCTGTCCCATAGGTATTAATAAGCCTAGGCTAGAGAGGCCTTAGAATTGCAATCTGGGCTCAAACATTCCCTGTTCTTCCAGCTATCCCTCTCCCCAGGGAACCTCAGAATTAACCAGGGACTGCTGTGAGCTGCACTGATTTGTAGTGTGCCATATTCTGTCCCTGTGATAATGGCTTTGCCCTTGGGGGAAGTGTGAAGTTTCCAGGCCTGCTAATTCCCTCTCTCATCTATTGACTTCCCATACCGGCTGGGCTCCTGAGCTGCCCTGGGGCAGCCTAACCTTGCAGCTTCAGGCTGGCTTTCTTGCCACCTGGCAGCAATCAGATTAACAATGGCCCCTTCAGAGAAGGGAAGAGAATATAATTCTGCCACTATTCTCAGCCCCTCTCCCTCTTATACCACCTGGCCCTTTCCCACTCCAGGCAACCTTCACACAACTGCTGCTCTTCCCAAACTAGCCCTCCCCCACACCCCACCATTGACTCTCCACGTTTCAGGCAGGTTTGGTCACTTTCTGACTGCCACTGTCTGATAATCACAGCTGTTTAATTCACTTAGTTTTCTTTCTTTGACATGGTATCTCCGGGATTTGAGGAAGGAGTCAGCAATCTGTGGCAATTCTCCATCTTACCCTTGAAGTAGAGAGTGCAGAGAGCTTACTAGTCCAAAGCAAAATTTGTGCTGAGAGACCTTGGATACAATTAAGTCTCTAGCTTCATTAACTAGAACCATACAGGAAAAAAAAAAAACAGTCCTGAATTTTTGCCACACCTCCTGGTGGGCTTCCTTGCCTCCAGTGGCAAGCTCCAATCACCTCCCTTTTCATGTCAGATTGCCACCAGCTCAGTCATTCTGACATGTCACCTTCAGCTGGGCATCTGCTCCCTCAAAAATTGCTGGTGAAAAAAAAAATTGCTGGCGGCATTTTGTCATGAACCCCAGGTTTTTCAGCCTGTCATTTCAGTCCCTCCACAAATGGGTTCACCCTAATATTTCCAGATTTTTATTTTAGGTAGGAACCTTCTCTCCAGTCCCTCAAAACAAACTCACATAATTTCCCTTCTATTGTGGATTTCCTTCTCACGACTATCCTTTATTTCTGCCTCTTAGCCGCATGCCACCCAACCTAGTTCAATGCTGTCCATAAATGGTCACGCTAGTCTCCTCAGTTGAAATCCCTGTTTCCTTCACTTGAGTTCCTAAAGCAAAGATTCAAACACCATTGATTTGGGTCAGCTCACTGACTGCTCTCAAATATTTTCAAATATCCTCTATTAGCTTATAGATTCTTTGAGAGTAGGAGTTTTTTCTTATCATATATATGATAGCCTTGAACATGATTTACAAAGGAATCAATAGTTACTTGTTGTTTATTGATTGATTGAAGCCTGCAACTAATTCCAAGAGTTACATTGTTTGAAAGAGCCTAGGCCAGACAGAGGTCAGCTCTCTCGTTTTCTTTCTGCTCTCAGAACTATGCCCAGCATGGAAATATTTGAAACACTACATGATTCTATCCTTGGCATCAAAACAGCTTCATTTCTACACAAAATCTATGAATAGGTAGCATCTCTGGCATCTTATAATGAAAACCTTAACTAATAATAACTTATTTGTTGTGCTCCCATGTGAAAGAAAGCAATGCCCTTCTAGGAAGTGTATGTGTTTAAAGAAAGTAGGCTGAATGTAGTGACCTTGACTTATCCAAGTTAGCGGCCAGAAAGCAAATGGGATTCATCCCAGATGGGATTAAGCTTGCAATTGTTGCTCAGTACTAGATAAGCTCATGAACAAATCTAATTACCTGATATCTAATCTGCCAGCCTCAATAGGTCACCCTTCATTACTTGGGAGCATCTTACATTTACAAGACAATTGGAAATGCTGAAGTCCTGAACATCATGATCATTCACAAAATACTTTATTACAGAAAGTTTACTCCTGAGCAACTTGAACTTGTCTATTTTTCAGCTCTGAATTTTGCCATTTCAAAGCAGAAATAGAACGTTTGTAACTACAGAGGCCTCCAATGCCAGTACCTCAAAATCATACACATGAAAGTTAAAAATATTGTTACTTGAAAAACCATAAAGACAGTTACATTAGCCCTTCCTTCCCTCCTTCCTTCCTTCCTTTCATTCTTTCTTTCTTGTTTTATGTTTTTGTTTTTTGTTTTTTGTTTTTTGAGACAGGGTCTCACTCTGTCACCCAGGCTGGAGCGCAGTGGTGCGATATTGGCTTACTGCAGCCTCAACCTCCTGGGCTCAAGCCATCCTCCCGCCTAGGCCTCCCAAGTAGCTGGGACCACAGGCGCACGCCACCACGCCCAGCTAATTTTTGTATTTTTTGTAGAGATGGAATTTTGCCATATTGCCCAGGCTGGTCTCAAACTACTGGGCTTAATCCATCCAACTGCCTTGGCCTCCCAACATGCTGAGATTACAGGTGTGAGCCACAGCACCTGGTCTTGAATGAGCCATTTCTATCTTTGACCTCTGTTATATTCAGCTTTCTCAAATACAAAAGAGGAAAAGTTGGGAAATTTTCATCAATGAATGTAATGGAAAAGAAAGAAACTTAAAGCTAAAGAGCCCAGGTTAAAATCTTGTTCTGACAATTTTCTAGCTGTGTAACCGGGGACACAAACTCTCAAAGACTCATTTTTCTCATCTGTAAAATGCGAATAATAAAACCTATCTCACAGGATACCTGTGAGAGTTAAATCAGTTAATACATGTGGAGATGATTAAATAGAGCACATTGTCAACTAGAAATTATTGCACTTATGTTGGCCATGATCATTGCTTTCTTCATTTAAAAAGTCATAATGCCAATGTATTCACGGCCCTAAATTAGGTACCCTAATAGATCAGAAAAGGGTCCCATTTAAAAACATTGTTGTTTAATTAGCATATTTTATGATTCACTGGAGCACCATCTCTAATACTCAGGAGCATGAGTTTTACATTGACTAATACAGTTCAAACATTCAAAGCACTTAGCTTCCAAGGATACTGTCTAGAAATCCTGACATGGTCACCTAAGAATAATTAAATGAAAGAGCTGTAGCAGCAGTGGCAAGAGGCTTTCTCATGTTGCCAAGAGGCAGGCATTTGTTGTGCAAATTTACCTTGGGCTTTCCTTGTTTGTTTCATTGATACTTACAGAAAGACCTCCTACTCTATGCAGAAACCACTTCAAAATTATCTCCAAACAAGAAGGGTATATATTTTTTCAAGGAAATAAATTTTGCATCTTCCTTGATTGTGTATATCAGGACTAAGCAACCCAAGAATCTGCTTTGTAAACTTTTAAAGAATCTGCTTTGTAAAACTTCTTTAAGAAAGAAATTCCCATAACAGAATAAAAAGAAATTATATCTCAAAGAAGGAGATTAAAGGGAGAAAAGCTATGTATTCAATGTTTCGACCAAATTTATTTTATTTATTTCTTTGTTTGAGGCAGGATCTCGCTCTATCACCCAGGTTGGAATGCAGCAGCGCAATCACAGCTCACTTCATCTCAACCTCCTGGGCTCAAGTGATCCTCCCACCTCAGCCTGCTGAGTAGCTGAGATTACACGCACATGCCACCACACCCAGCTAATTTTTTTAATTTTTTTGTGGAGATGAAGTGTTGCTACGTTGCCCAAGCTGGTCTCGAACTCCTGGCCTCAACTGATCCTCCAGCCTCCAGCCTCCCAAAGTGCTGAGATTATAGGCATGAGCCACCGTGCCTGGCCTAGAATAACTTTAAACATCTTTAAACAACTTTAAATGCAGAAATCTAGGAACAATTTTATTACCTTTGTGTATTTTGGTTATTTTGACTTCTCTAATAAGCTATTATGATGTCTTTCTAAAATTACTATTTGATATGGAGAATTTTTTAAAGCATATGTTCTACTATCTCATTTGCTGGCAAAAGAGAAAGAAAGCAAAGCAAAGACAGATAGTAAATTACGGATTAAGGTTAAGTATCTCTAATGGTATGATGGGTTGTTCCAATGCATATTTTATTTATATTGTCTGCTATTACTGGGCTGTTGAAGTCAGCACTGTGTATTAAATTTCATTTCTTTATATGTTTACTATTACAATTCAAGTAATAGTCACTAATAAGAGTTACCAGCCATCATTTACAATAGATCAGGCACTATGTTAACATCTTTACATACATTATGTCCTTAAATCCCTGAAACAACCATTGAAGTAGACACCATCTGCATTCGTACTTTCTAGTATGGAAAACTAGCTGATTTGCACAAGGTTACACATCCAATAGGTAGAAGATTCCATACCACATTGGCAGTGTCACAGGATCCTTTGGGTGTTGCTTTGCCACCCTGAAACTTCTGTGGCAGGCAGCGCCTCTGCTTGGGTTTTGTTCATGCCCCCTGGACTCCTTCTGCCTACTCGGTCCAGCAGGCTCTGCTTGGCTGATGCTCCCGGCCCAGATCCCACGCCTGCCAAGGGCGGGTCAGGTGCAGAGCAGCAAGGGGTGTGAGAGCGAGTGAGCTGGGGATCTAGCCACTGCATACAACCAGGTGTGCTGGCTGAGGCAGGCTGGGCAGCTCAAGGTGCCAGCTCTGTGCGAGGCTGCGGCTGGACCAGACAACAAGCAGCTTCTGCTGCAGGCACCAGTGTCTGGACAAGGCTAACATGATGGTGCCCAAAAGCTCAGAGACACCAGGAACCACAGAGCCCCAAAGAGGGTGTTTCAGCAGGTAACATCCCTGGCTCAAGGAGGTCTGGGCTCCCAGAAGGGCCACAACTCTTCTCTCCTCATCGTCCACAACACGATGAGCAGGGAGGCATGTTTCAGCCCTGCTTGTGGTACAGCTCTTTCAGTCTGCCATTCGGGGGGTCCCAAGCTCTTGTCTCAGGTCCAGGAAGAATGAGGTTGGCAGACAACTGGAGGGTGAGCAAGGTGAAGAGGAGCTTTACTGGCAACAGAACAGCTCTCAGGAGACCTACAGTGGGTAGCCCCTTTCCACAAGCAGGTCCCACCAACGACTGTATGAGTCTGGCTCAGTCTGAGGTTTATAGGAGCTCAGAAGGGAGGAACTGCATGCTGATTGGTCCATGGGTGGCCATGGTTGGGCCTGGAAAAAGCACCTTGAGTTCTCACTCCTGGTCTTGGACTCCATCTGGAACCAGCATCCCAGCCCCCTCTCCTTCCCACCTAGGAAACTGTCTGCCTCCTGCCACCATAAACATGCCATCCACGACACCCAGGCTGTTCATGCTGAGCTTCCCCTAGCCCCCGGGCCTCCCTCTCAGAGTTCGTCAGTGCCTGAAGTTTCAGAGGGGGCTGAGAAGGCCAGGGGGGGATGATGTGTCACTGCGGCCCTGAGTGTGTGCACACCTGGCTAGGTCACGACAGCGCCCAGGCTCGGCTTCAACTTTGCTTCAAGATCAGAGTGGGCATCGGAAGCAGGGAGAGACAAGAGAGAGGGAGCAGGCTTTCTGAGCCTGACAGGGCAGGGAGGCTTCCTGGGCCCCCGAGAGTGCAGGGATACCTGGGTCTGGAGCCATGGCTGGGCAGCTGCGCCCGGGAGCACAGGGTTCCCGCCCCACCAACTCGGTAGGGGTCAGGGCTTCTGCCTGTTTCCAGCCCCCACTGGCTCCACTGAGCACACAGCCCTGGCCACGCCTCCCTCACTGCAACTGGCATCCCTGCGGCTGCTGCTGCAGTTGGGCCGCCACTGCCATCGGTAGCGATACAAACGACCTACCAACATATACGGCTGCTACTATGCTTATAGAAAGTGCCATTGGCCAGGCACGGTGGCTCATGCGTGTAACTCCAGCACTTTGGGAGACTGAGGCAGGCAGATCACTTGAGTACAGGAGTTCAAGACCAGCCTGGGCAGCATGGCAAAACACTGTCTCTACCAAAAATACAAAAATTAGCCAGGCATGGTGGTTGCACGCCTGTAGTCCCAGCTACTCAGGAGGCTGAGGTAGGTGGATCGCTTGAGCCCAGGAGGCAGAGGTTGCAGTGAGCCAAGATCATGCCACTGCACTCCAGGCTGGGCAACAGAGAGAGAGAGACCCTGTCTCAAAAAAAAAAAAAAAAAAAAAAAGCTTATCAGATATTAGTAATTATAGTTTTGATAGAATACTATGAAAGTATACTTATTTATAAAAAGTCATCTGCCACGACTGTATTTTTGTAGACTTTGTTTACAAACTTGCTGATATTTGGACTATATTGCTTGTATGTTATTTGATTAAACAGTTTCAGGTAGGTAAACTATACCTAGACTAGGAAAATTGCATCTTAGACCTAACTCTAATAAGTAATGTATTTTCCAACATCATTTTACTTTTGAACAGCTAAATTAAGTAGACCGCTAATATCTGGGACAAGGTACTAAAGAGAATCTCACCAATATTTAATACCCAACAATTAAATGGTGAAATAACCCTAACCTTGAATTCTCTCACAAGTTTAGGTTATGCCCTGAACATTACATTTATGCTATAATTTTGTTTCATTTTGGTTTAAAGAAAGAAATTCTAATGGACAATGCCTTATTGAGCAGCTGTGGTCAAATATTTATTAAAAAGGACGTATTGATTTGCAGATTAAAACTGACCACATATGAACTCTTCTTTTCCAGTGACATTCTTATTTAAGGTATTGATTAAAGACTTTTTATGCAGAAAGCATTTTTCTTGTCAGCTCAGTTATGCTGGCTTTTGTAATAAGCTAATTTGATTTCCTTTTTTAACCTTTGTTTGATTAGGGGAACAGACATTTGCATTAAAATTCAAGAGAGATGAAGTCTATCATCGATCTTGACTTCCTCATGGACCTCTTGTACTCAGCGAAAGATGATTTAGAGAATGTCAAGAATCTTGGAACAACCGTAATGAGAGAGAAAAAAAAATCACTTCAGACTTATATACCAGGAAGGGCTTATTTGACAGAAAGGGCAATTGCATTTGGTGGATATGTTTTAGAGAAATCAAATCCAGGAAGATTAATTTTGTTCTTAGGCCAAATCATTAAAATATCTATGGGATAAGCTGCCATTAATAAAGTACTTGCTAGTTAAACCAAAACATTTCAAAACATCCAAAGAGTTTAAGCAAAACATATACATTATTACTTGTCACAAAGGGATACTAAAAGTAAATTCTAGTATTTCTTTATAAACATGTTCCTAGTAAAACACTAACTTCAGACAGGTTTGGAATTTAATCCTCTATTGCTTTCTCTGAGAATTGTGGGGGTAAAACACTAATAGATTAGCCCAAGTCTTTCATGAGTGTACCCAGGATTAATCCTCTTTCACAATAGGACTCAAAGCTATTTGCAAATTTTTTTTTAATTAAAAAAAAAGTTTTTAGGCCAGGCACAGTGGCTCACGCTTTAATCCCAGCACTTTGGGAGGCCAAGGTGGGTGGATCATGAGGTCAGGAGTTTGAAACTAGCCTGGCCAACATGGTGAAACCTTGTCTCTGCTAAAAATACAAAAATCAGCTGGGCATGGTGGCGTGTGTCTGTAATCCCAGCTACTCGGAAGGCTGAGGCAGGAGAATTGCTTGAACCCGGGAGGTGGAGGTTGCCATGAGCCGAGATCAGGCCATTGCACTCCAGCCTGGGCGACAATAGCAAGACTCCGTCTCAAAAAAAAAAAAAGAAAATCGAGACAGAGTGTTGCTCTGTTGCCCAGGCTGGAGTGCAGTGGCATGAACAGAAGGCTCACTGCAGCCTCAACTTCCTGGGCTCAAACAATCCTCCTGCCTCATCTTCCCAAGTAACTGGGACCACAGGTGTGCACCACCACACCCAGCTAATTTTTAAAAAATGCTTTGTAGAGATGGGGTCTCACCACATTGCCCAGGCTGTATTTGCAAATCCTTATAGTTGACTTGGCCCCTGTAGCCTCTTCCTAGACAGAGACCAATGTATTTCTGTGCCCTCAATAGCTTAGGTCCATTGCTCATTCTCGTAATCTTTATTTGGATCTTTTCTGGAAGTGGAGGCTCCTTCCATTTTCCGAGGAGTTCCATTGGAACTGGAATTTTCATTTCAAGAGGAACTGAGAATCTACAATGAACCTCATGATGTATTAAATATTTAAGAGGACCCATGGAAAGTATATCAGATAGGTCCACCCACCTCTTCTGTTATAACTACTCAGATGTCAGGAGTTCGAGACCAGTCTGGTCAACATAGTGAAACCCCGTCTCCACTAAAAGTACAAAAAATTAGCAGGGTGTGGTGGTGTGTGCCTGTAATCCCAGCTACTCGGGAGGCTGAGGCAGGAAAATCACATAAACCCGGGAGGCGGAGGTTGCAGTGAGCCAAGATCGTGCCATTGCACTCCAGCCTAGGCAACCGTGCAAGACTCCGTCCCAAAAAAAAAAAAAAAGATAAAAGAAAGAAAAGAAAAGAAAAAAATGTAATTAAATCTGGAAGTAGAAGATATTTATCATTTGGCCTGAGAAGTCAATCTAGTGTTTTTTTTCTTCTGTAGATAATACTATAAAATTATATATTTAATAGATATTTCATATGTAAGGACAGCAAATAAAATGAGATGGTGCACATGTGAACATATTTCTATTTATTTATTTATTTTTGATACAGAGTCTCATTCTGTTGCCCAGGCTGGAGTGCAATGGCACCATCTCTGCTCACTGCAACCTCTGCCTCCTGGGTTCAAGTGACTCTCCTGCCTCAGTCTCCCAAGTAGCTGGGATTACAGGTGCCAGCCACCATGCCCAGATAATTTTTGTATTTTTACTACAGACAAGGTTTCACCATGTTGGCCAGGCTGGTCTCAAACTCCTGACCTCAGGTGATCTGCCTGCCTTGGGAAAATATTTTTAAATTAAGAAAAATAATACAACAGAAAATACTTTGAAATTCCATGAAGTGAGGCTCTTTTACAGGAAAGATGGCACTATTTTATTTCATGTCTAACTAACAATTGAGGAAAAATATTCCATTTACAGTAACAAGTTTCCATACTCTTAGTGGTACAGAAGCAGAATATCTATAAAACACGGCTGAGGAATTTAAGAGAAGTATTTTCCTATGTCCCATATGAGCAAAACATTTACTGTTCTTTCATGTCATGAATCCAAAAGTATCTATATTATGTTTTATAATGTGTTAAAATCTATATAATGTAATTCAAAATTCATCCAGAGGATAATATATTTATGTATTCCTCAGGCAATTTTAGTTGAGATATTCATTTGGACTTTAATTTTAAAAATCATGCTAAGCTTCTATCCGCCTTGTTTCTCCTGTTTCACGGCAGAGAAAATAGTTCTAGCACCTGGGAAATCCATCAGATTCATCCCAGTGGAGGCTTTGAGAGCAGACACATCATTTTTTCAGACTTCAGTTGCCCTTCAAATCCAGTAAACAGAATTCCTTGTCTCATAACACAAGGATTTTACATGAGTATTTTATGTGTAATTTATCAGAATAGCTGCCAAGACATTCAAATTTGTTTTAAAAAGACAGGAGCTTTGTAGCAGACAGGCTCGGGGTTTAAAACCCAGATTTTGCATGCTCTTCATTTTCACTGCGTTCTCTGAAGTTCAGTTTATTGGTCATTGCCACGTTATGAGTCTTGTCTCATCCGGTTCCTCAACGCTCAAAGCCAATAATAATTGCTAACTATGACTAATATCATGTGGAAGGTCGGAAAGTTCACTGCTAACCTTTGTTCCAGCTCAAAATGTTTTCAAGGTTAATAGATTGATTTTGAGCTGAGATAGGATGCATTTATAAAATGGAAGAAAATGAAAAATTTGGCATCAGATCATTTTAAATGATTCATTTGTTACATCTGGATTGTAGCCATGAAATTCATTTGATATATATCACATCGTTATAGTCTAACCTAGATGCTGGAAAATAAATTAATGATACATTTTAACATCAGACAATTTTACATACACACACTCACATATACTCCAGGATGAGAATTAGGGCATTATCACTTATTGATCACTCTAGCCAGGAATATGACATATGTAAAATAGAGCCTAGCCTCTTTCAAAGACTGAGACTTCTCTAAAATACAGCTAAGCTAAAACTATAGTTCTAAGAGCCTGGCTACTAATTGCGTCCTTTAATCTCCTTGCTTGAAACAGAGAGACATAAAATCTCAGACCTTGTCTGAGTTCTGTGCTTGGTAGACTTTGGGGAGCCCTGGTTCCAGTCTACAGAGGTCTTCTGTTTTGCTCACACCCTTGGTTGGACTTGAGGAGGACTCTAGCGTCCCAGAAAGATCGTTACTACCAGCTGTGTCCGGGTTCATTTTTGCAATGAGTTTCTGAGCTTGACTTTCCATTTCAGTTTAGTGATTGGGGAAATCCCTGGCCTCTGGTGCTGGCCTGGACTTACAGTTTGGTCCAGCATTGCCATAACCTGGCCCACCAGATAAAAGGCAGCATTTCCTTGGAGAGTCTTCTGGTGTCATAAGATGTGTGGTCCTTATTAAGGACAAGTCAGCAGGGCATGGTGGCTCACAGCTGCAATCCCAACACTTTGGGAGGCAGAGGCAGAAGAGTCACCTGAGGCCCAGAGTTTGAGACCAGCATGGGCAACAGAGTGAGACCCTGTGTCTATAAAAAAAATTTAAAAAATTAGCCAGGCATGGTGGTGCTTGCCTGTAGTCCCAGCTACTCAGGAGGCTGAGGCAGGAGGATTGCTTGAGCCCAGGAGGTTGAGGCTGCAGTGAACTGTGTTTGGGCCACTGCACTCCAGCCTGGATGCCAGAGCAAGACCCTGCCTCTAAGAGAGAAAAAAGAACAAGTCACCAAGGCCTGTCGTTTCTTCCTTTCAAACGTTCAATTCACCATTCCTTCATGGTCCATGATATCTAGATTATTAATTTTATGCTCTCGCTAGATTGCCTTTATTTTCAGGCTCTTCCTTCCCATTTCCTAATTAATCAGCCCAACAACGATCAATATATTAGCCTTCCTCCAAAAACATCCCCAGTGACTTTCCCTTATCTACAGAACTGCTCACAAGCCTCTGGGCATGGCTCCCAAGGTTTCCTGCCTGTTCTGTGGCATCCCTGTTCCTTGTCTTGCGTTGTCCCCTCTGTTCCCCGGGAGCAGACAGATCTGCCATCTGCCTTTCACTCAGCTCTCCCATCCTAATGGCATGGGCATGGGCCATCACTTCATATGAATCTCCGATCTTCACCTCTGTACAATGGTAGAAATAAAACCTTCTTTATTAGTTGTTGTGAGGATTAAACGCACGTGGCGGAAAGGTCCTAAGACAGTTTATGGCACATGGCAAGGGCTCAATGTGCTTGTAAGAGGTCTTCGTTTCTGGCCCACAGTTTTTAATGCTTTTGGAAGACCCTCTACCTTTCCTAATCCCACCCACTCTTTAAGTCCTTGTGAGATTCCATCTCCTTCTCAAAGACTGCTGTGATTAGGCTGAAAAAAATCTAAAAAGCAATTTAGTGTTTGATCACATCCTATATTTTATTATTTTCAAGTTTTTCAGGGGTGATGGTCTTGCCTTCTCAACCAGATTATAAACTCCAGAAGGACAAACTAAAACCTTAACCTCTGTCATGAAAATCTTGGTCCTTCATGACCTCACCTGCTCCCTGCATTCAGTCCTTGCCCTGAATATTTCTGGGGGGCTTCAGAATGTGTCTACAGGGTTCATTAATATTTCCCCTTTGGGTCAGGAATGGTAGCTCATTGCCTGTAATTCCAGTGCTTTGGGAGACCGAGGCAGAAGGATCACTTGAGGCCAAGAGTTCGAGACCAGCCTGGGCAACATGGTGAGACTCCCATCTCTACAAAAAATACAAAAATTAGCCAGGTGTGGTGGTGCATGCCTGTAGTCCCAACTATGTGGGAGGCCGAGGCAGGAGAATCCCTTGAGCCCAGGAGTTACAGGCTGCAGTGAGCTATGATCATGCCACTGCTCTCCAGCCTGGCACACAGAGTGAGACCCTGTCTCTAGAATATATATATTTCCCTTTTGCAGTATCAGCCCCTGCTGAGCACTGCTATGCCTGCTGAAAACAGCCTCACCTGCAGTTCCCATACACTGCTTGAGGCATTTCCACTTGGCACTGTCACCCACATCAAGTCTGCTCAGCGCACCTGCTGCTCTGCCTGAAGGCTGTCATGACCACTGCTCGTCATCTCATTGGATGGGGCCCTCAAGTCCTGTTTCTTGTGTCTCCGATGTCTTATGAGAGCTTTTAGGAAAACAGTCCTTATTTAGGGAAACATTGTTCCTAAAATAGGACTTCATTGGAAGACAGCCAGGAAAAGAATCAGAGGGATACAAAAATAAAATAAAATAAAATATTAAAAAATTTACAAAAGAAAGAATCAGAGAGACAGATTCCAAATCACCTCATTCAACCTGTAGGCAAGGTTTGATTGCTGGGTTAAGTCTGCAAACCTGGTTGCCTCTTTCTTTTTGACTGGGTTTGCTTCTAGGCACCTCACTGCCTCAAGCAAGTAGACATCTAATGAGCTTCAGACCAGTGCAGCAGCCACACCTCATTTCCAGTGCCAGCATCCGCTTATCTGCAAGTTGGATCCCGGCTTCACATTCTTGAACCCATCATGGTGCCTGGCTCTCTGCTGGGCTCACACATAAAAACTAGGCAAAGACCAATAGACCAACAATCTTAATCCAATAGCAGACATCAAGGTAATTCTGGGCATTAGGTTCAGTTTGGGCCACGGAGTTTTATTTTTAAAATTCCTGTTCTAGGCCAGGCACAGTAGTAGCTCACACCTGTAATCTCAGCACTTTGGGAGACTGAGGCGGGCAGATTGCTTGAGCTCAGGAGTTCAAGATCAACCAGGGCAACATGATGAAACCCAATCTCTACAAAAAAATACAAAAATTAGCTGGGCATAGTGGTGTGTGCCTGTAGTTCCAGCTACTCAGGAGACTGAAGCAGCAGGATTGCTGGAGGCTGAGAAGTTGAGGCTGCAGTGAACCATGATTGTGCCACTGTACTCCAGCCTGGCTGACAGAGTGAGACACTGTGTCAAAAAAAAAAAAGAAAAGAAAAATTGAAGCAGTAATTAAAAAAAACCTTCCAATCAAAGTAAGTCCTGGAATTATCAGGGTACAGTGGCTCACACCTGTAATCTCAGCACCTTGGAAGGCTGAGGTGGGAGGATGCCTTATGGTCAGGAGTTCAAGACAAGCCCTGGCAACACAGTGAGACGCCATCTCTACAAAAAAAAAAAAAAAAGGTAAAAAATTAGCCAGGCATGATAGTGCACACCTGTTATCCCAGCTACTCAGGAGACTGAGGTGGAAGGATCACTTGAGCCCAGGAACTTGAGGCTGCAGTGAGCTATGATTGTGCCACTGCAGCCTGGATGACAGAATGAGGCTCTGTTTCAAAAATAAAAATAAAAAATAGAAAATAAATAAAATTTCTTCTCTGAAATTGTTTTTCTCCTCTGTCTCTGTTATAAAAGTGAAACTAAAAAGAAAATAAAGTCTGTTACTTAAAACATACATATAGGGGAATTTATCGCACATCTAAGTTCAAACAACCAGGTTGAAGAATAATAAGCTTTGCAAAAACATCTGTTTGGAAAAGAACTGATTTTGCATATTGCACTTTAGATAGCGAAGACCAAAATGTTTCCAAACCCTGGAAGGTGGAGGCCACATTAAAGAAACTTGCTCAGCCTCCACCTTCTAGGGTTTAGAAGCATTTTGGTCTTCGCTATCTAAGGTAGAGGCCACATTAAAGAAAGTTGTTCAGGGCTGGGCGTGGTGACTCACGCATGTAATCCCAGCACTTTGGGAGGCTGAGGCAGGTGGATCACTTGAGGTCAGGAGTTCAAGACCAGCCAGGCCAACATGGTGAAACCTTGTCTCTACTAAAAATACAAAAATTAGCTGGGCATGGTCGTGGGCGCCTGTAATCCCAGCTACTCGGGAGGCTGAGGCAGGAGAATCACTTGAACTCGGGAGGCGGAGGTTGCAGTGAGCCGAAATTGGCACCACTGTACTCCACCAGCCTGGATGACAAGAATGAAACTCCATGAAAGAAAGAAAGAAAGGAAAGAAAGAAAGAAAGAAAGAAAGAGAGAGAGAGAGAGAGAGAGAGAGAAAGAAAGAAAGAAAGAAAGAAACAAAGAAAGAAAGAAAGAAAGAAAGAAAGAAAGAAAGAAAGAAAGAAAGAAAGAAAGAAAGAAAGAAAGTAAAAGAGAAAAGAAAGAGAGAGAGAAAGAAACTTGCTCAGGGTAACTTCTGAAGGCTACCAGAAGTCTATTGGCCTAAGAACTTAAAACCGCTCACTCACCTCCTGGGTGTCATCACCCACTGCCCCTGCTTCAGGCAAGCCTTATCACAGACTGGCACACTCCCATTCTCCTTTGGCCCTAATCTTCCCTGAGAAGACCAAGGCAGTCCCTCCAGGCCTCAGTAGAACCTTGGCACTAGAAATCTGTTACACAGAAGTGCACCAGTCTGAAGGAGTCCTCCCTGGATTCTAAAAGTGAAATGAGAAAAGGGGAAGGATAGTTTAAAGGAAAAAAATGATAAAGGAGAGAAAGAAAGGTATCATGTCTGTATAGGGTGGATCCTCTAGGTTTTGGTCTCCTAAATGCAATGGCTTTACTTGGTTGCTTTAAGGTTTTTAAATCTGAATATAACACCTTACAACAGGTATGTGGCCCATACCAAGGTATACACACATATTCACACAGACTCTTTCCAAATTGAAAATATTAAGGCAAATCAACAAGGGATTCATTTCACAGTTGTTGCCATTTTCCAGTGGCATAAGCTGGGCACTGTAACTCTACAGAATTGATTTGTCAGATGACATGACACAAGAGTAGACGATGGCATTCACAGAGCATTAGAGCTAGGAGTCATCTTGGTGATCATCTAATTCCATTTCCTCACTTTGCTGATGAAGGAACTGGGGTCGCAAGAAATAAAAAAATTTATTCAAAGTTAGAGAGATGGTCAATGTTAAAACTAGAATTAGGACTCGGATCTCTCCGAAATACCTATCTTTCCATGAACAGCCGTTGTCGTTTCCTCAGTTGGGGTATTTAAAACTGAAGTTGCCTTCTGATCCTGATGTCTGTAACAGGGTGTTTGCAAACCTCTAGCTTACTCAGGTATAAACATGTTTTGTGGTTTTCACCCCTCCTGTGCTAAAAATGTTTTACACTGTGGCTGAAAGATTTGAAAGGAATGCAATCAATATCTTCCTGATTTCTGATATTCAGTATTTTCACTGTAAGATTCTCTCTCCTTTTTATACGTACCCCCATCTTGCTCCTTATTTTGTCAAAGGGTCATTTCCAAAGATTAAAAGTTGATTAACTTTAAGGTATTGTCAGAAAACACCTGAAAAGCATGGGAGGAACCCCATTACCAGAATGCAAATAAAAGTACAGATTGATGTTCCTGCCTGGTAGTTCTGTTAAATTACATGCCTGTTGCTTTTTGCTGTTTAATTTCATATGGCCATCCTTCTGTCACTTACCTTGGGCAGAAACTTATGGAGACAATAGACAATCTTGGCAGAAACTGAAGAGAAACTGTTGCCAGGGGGTGGAAAAATGGATATAGCTGACAAATTACAGGGTTGCCTATTCAGTCATGAGAATTGAAACAAGTCTGTGAATCAACGTATGAAAAGGATGCTTAATAAGATGGGAGAAGTCTCTTTAACACCTGTTTCTTCTGCAATTGAATGCCCTAATGCCAATCACTCACAGTCTGGATCTACTCTCCAAGCGGAAAATGATCTCATCTCTTTTTCTTTAAGGATCGAAGCAGCAGACCAGGGTCTATTTTTAACAGTCCTGGGAGCAACAACCATGGCATTGGCTGCTAGGAAAGATTGTCTTAGAAGGTCTGGCCTGAGGCAGTAGGGAAATCAGAGCCAGGAGAGAGGGAACCAGAGAGATGTTGAGCTTGTATAAGCACAAGCAGATGAAATTACTGCATGAAATAAAAGTCTGAATAAAAGGTGAACTCATTTTACTCTGAAAGTTACTAAGCCTTGGATTGTAAATGCCAAGATGAGGAGGAAGAGGCTCGGCCAATGGTTTTTATTGCAATCCATTATGGTAATGGAAAAATCTTCTTTTGAACTGTAGCTGTCCGTGTTGACCTTGATAAGGTGGAAATTCAGGCTCATTTATTGAGAAAGAAGGATTCAAAGTAACTCAGCCCAGAGCTTTCCGCATTCCCCTGTGACAGGACCTCCTTCACATAGACCAGGCAATGAAATGTTCATGAAAGCTGATTTCTGTCCTGCATTTCTCCAAAACTTGAGGGTTCCTCAGTACAAATGCTGTGGAAATTGTATTTAATCAGAGACCCTCACCGATCTGTTTTATTCGTTTCTGTGTATGTCAGCCACCACTGTGGAGAGCAGTATCATGATTGTCTTGACCTCAGAAATGTATTACCTATGCTTTCTTTTAGCTTTTATATTTCTCCAGGGATGAATGATGCATCTAGAACACATTCCCAAATAGTTTACAACTTCTCTTAAATAAAACTCAGGTTTTTTACTATATTGTAGGCAAGAATTTCTGCCTGATTATTGACTTATACTTGCTAAGAGGTTATTCACTGAGATGCTGATATCTTTAAGGACTCCTAGGTATCAGTATCACTTAATTATTTCTCCCAATGCTTTACAGTAAGGGAGAGAGCCCTTAGATGAAAGGAACCTGGGGAACCAGAATTGCTGCATGGCCAAATACCCCATCGGACTATGACCTGAATGAGAAATAAACTTTCTGTGCCTTTAAGCTACTAAAAATTGCAGATTGCTCCGTACAAGTAGTTAACCTATCTATCTCACTTAATTATTTCTCCCAACATTTTACAGTATAGGGGGAGAGGCAAACAGGAAAGCAAATTAAAAAGATGCAATGTCGTATTATAATAAAATACCATAAAGAAGGTTGTGGGTGCATGAAGAAGGCAGTAACTCATTCTGTTTGGGGGAGGAAGTTCAAGGAAGGTGTTCACAGAGAAGAGATGTCTGAGCTGGTCTTATGGTGGAGGAAAAGCTGGTCTTATGGTGGAGGAAAAGAGTCTCAGAAAGGAAATGACATTTGCAAAGGCCCAAAGGTGTGAACGTGTGAGACATATTCAAAGAATAGCCAGTAGTCCGGTGTGGTCAGAGTGTTAAGTGCACAGGGCAGGGAAGGCGAGAGGGCTGAGTGCTGAGCAGCAAGAGATGAAACCTGAAAGGTAGGTGAGGGCTGGACTGTGTAGCGTGTCGTAGACATTGCCAAGGGCTCAGAACTTCTTTTGCTAAGAGAAGAGAAACTGCTTGGCTTAGCAGTTGCATTCTTCACAGCAGGTGGGCATCACTCGGTTCTTACCTATAGGCTTGTTGGGCCCCATAGGCCTTCTTATCATGTTCTTCAAACCCATTCATTTTCCTCTTGGGCACCCAGGAAGACTACATTGCACAGCTTCCCAGACAATTATATGGACGCACTGTGACTAAGATCTGGCCAAATGAAATCTGAGCAATGCAATGGGCACCACTTCCAGAATCTTCCAGTGAAGACCACTAGGACTTCACAAAATGGCAGAGGCACTAGGTGGAAGAATCATGGGGTCCTATGATCACTGCATGGGAGGCTGTCCACCAAATACCCAATCAAACTCTGACCTGAGTCAGAAATAAATGTTCTGGCCAGGCATGGTGGCTCACGCCTGTAATCCCAACAGTTTGGGAGGCCAAGGTGGATGGATCACCTGAGGTCAGGAGATTGAGACCAGCCTGGCCAACATGGTAAAACCCTGCCTCTACTAAAAAATACAAAAAATTAGCTGGAAGTGGTGGTGCATGCCTGCAATCCCACTTACTCGAGAGGCTGAGGTAGGAGAATCGCTGGAACCCAGCAGACAGAGGTTGCAGTGAGCCAACATTGCACCACTGCTCTCCAGCCTGGGTGACAGAGCCAGGCAAGAAAGGAGAAAGAAAAGAAAAGAAAAGAAAGGAAGAAGAGAGAGAGAGAGAGAAAGGAAGGAAGGAAGGAAGGAAGGAAGGAAGGAAAGACAGAGAGAGAAGGAAAGAAAGAAAGAAAAAGAAAGAAAGAAAACAAAGAAAGAAAGAAAGGAAAAGTTATATGCCATTAAGCTATTAAAAATTGGAGGTTGTTCATGATAGTAGTTAACCTATCCACTAATTCAATAGGTGAGGAAGTTCTCAGAGAAAAGACAGCTGCTTGCCAATGGTATCCCAATGGGATAAAAACCAATGGCACCTGCTCACTTTTCTCCAGGAGGGTGTGGGAGTCCTGCACAAGCCATAGCACCAGATTGTCCCCAATTCATTGGCCATAGGTGCACCGTGGTCCTCTCATTCTCCCAGCCCTGATTGACTACTTCCATAAGGCAGTACAGAGCCAGCTCCAAAGAACCAGGTCTCCAGGCAGGGTTCCTAAGGGTCACAGAATACTCAGTTCTTGTTTCCATCAAAAGCAGGTCAACATCCTTAGGAAGTTCCTTCCTATTTTCAGCACCCTAGGGCAAGAAAGTCTAGAATGTAAATGTGCCTATGTTTAAAACCTAATCATGGCTGACTTTAGATTGAGACTTCCAAAGCAGCAGCCTAAAACTAATACTCATTATAGCACTTATTTAGTCTCCATTCTAGCCTTGGGACTTGCCTATAAATGGCTCCATAGAGGATTAGAGTGAGTTGAATAGGGTAATTAATTTAAATTAAATTATGTTGACTCAAATTATAATTACTCGTAATTACCAATAGGCCTTCTATTTATAATAATATTATTCTAGCTTTCATTATATCTTTATTAAAGATACTAGTTTACCAATTCCACCTAATATCTTCACTACTACGTCTAAAAGGCATAATATTATAAATGTTTATCATGGGACTCTCATCATCTTAAATTTACACTTCACCCGAGCCACCAAGATAATAATCATTCCTCCAGTCTTCACAGCCTGTGAAGCTGCTGCAGGCCTAGCACTACTAGTAATGGTGTCTAATACTTATGGTCTAGATTAGATATGGAATTTATTTATTTATTTATTTTTATTTTTTAGTAAAGATGGGGTCTTGCTCTGTTGTCCAGGCTAGTCTCAAAACCTGGCCTCAAGTGACCCTCCTGTCTTGGCCTACCAAAGTGCTGGGATTACAGACGTAAGCCACCACAACAGACCTCTGTACAGCACGCAAATCTCCTTCAATGCTAAAAATTATCAAACCAACAATAATACTTTTACCAGTGATGTGATATTCCAAGAATTACATAATCTGAGTTCATACAACTGTGCACAGTCTACTAATTAGCCTGGTTGGATTATTTCTCTTTAGCCAATACAGTGAGAAAAGTCTAAACTTCTCATTTATCACTTTTCTGATTCATTATCAACACCCCTTTTAGTATTGACAACCTGATTTCTCCCCCTAACAATCATGGCAGCTGGTATGCTGGGACCTGAATAGCCCCTAGCTGGGAGGAGCCTCTAAGAATATGAAAGGTTCTGAGGCTCAGTCTTTGCTACTCCTCCCCTTGCTCTTCCCATTCACATCATTCAGGGCGTCAGCTATGTTTGTATATGACTCTCCCCAAGGCCACTCTTGACTTTATTTAAATTCGGTTTAATCTATATAGTAATACATTTATTTAGGCAATGTTTGGGAAACTTGATATATAACAGATCTAAGCTCAGTGCCTTCCTGGTAACAAATCGGAATGCGATTTACAGGAAATTCTTCTACCAGGCACATCTGAGATAGATGTGAAGAAATGAGAGTAGTAAAAGAATGAAAAGTCAAGGATGAGAAGGAAACCTCATTTGGAATTTTAACACTTGCCCGTGATGGGTTTGTAACATGTGGCTTTAATAGCTGTTTTCCTGAATGTGATATTTAACGAGAGCACGATTACTTTTGAATCCAGAGACTTAGGCTGATACTGACAAATCATTTAGGATTGGTCCTAAAAGATTTCCTTATCTGGGTGTAAATTCAGAAATTTGAATCCCTTCCACAATATGATACTTCAGGTTTTTATATTCCCAGGTTCTGGGTGAAAGCGTAGCACGGCAATTCAGAGCAAACTGGGAGTGCCTCTAAAGGAATGTAATTACTGAACACGCTGTGATTGGATCACCTTCCTGTCTGCAATATTCTTACGTTAAGCTTTATGGTCTCACAAGTTACAACTGGCATCAATTTAATGAGTTCTTTCTTGAAGAAACCCATAACATCATTTCACACAGCCTTTATGATTTGCCATCTTTGAAAATTCTGCTAAAGTTCTTTTCATTAATAGCCTCTTGAAGACTTAGACAAGATGGTATGGGAAATTCCGAAAAGAGAGAAGGAGAGAGAGAGTGCTCTGGAGGAGGAATCTGGGAAATAATCTGCAATTTAACATCCTGGAGTCAGACAGACTGCCTCAGGTAAAATCCTGGCTCCACCACTAAGCAGCTGTAGGACCTTGGACAAAACAATCTCTCTGTGCCTCAATTTCCTTTTTTTTTTTTTTTTTTTTGAGATGGAGTCTCGCCCTGTCACCCAGGCTGGAGTGCAGTGGCTCGATCTCAACTCACTGCAACCTCTACTTCCCGGGTTCAAGCTATTCTCCTGCCTCAGCCTCCCGAGTAGCTGGGATTACAGGAGTGTGCCATCACGCCCAGCTAATTTTTGTATTTGTAGTAGAAACGAGGTTTCGCCATGTTGGCCAGGCTGGTCTCAAACTCCTGACTTCAGGTCATCCACCCGCCTCGGCCTCCCAAAGTGCTGGGATTACAGGCACGAGCCACCACACCCAGCCTCCATTTCCTTCTTTATCAAAAGACTCATAACAGTATCTGCTACATGAGGCATGAAGATTATATCATTTGTTCATAAGTATTCATTTTCTTCTCCTCTTTTTGAGATTTCCCTGTAATTAGCCTCATCTCACTGATTTGGGTTTGGCTATGTCACTTGTCAAGAAGGGGCACAAGCAGGTAAATGATTTGCCTTGTCTAAGCAGAGGTTGTTAGGGGTGTTGCCCATTCATTCCCAGTATCCTCATATTCTTTTTTTTCCCAGAGTATTATTCGGGGGGTACCTATGCAGGTCTGTTACCTGAGTATATGTGTAATGGCAAGGTTTGGGCTTCTAGTGTACCCATCATCCAAATGGTGAACACTGTACCCAATTAGCCACCATGCCTGACTAATTTTTGTATTTTTAGTAGAGACAGGGTTTCACCATATTGGGCAGGCTGGTCTTGAACTCCTGACCTAGGGTGATCCTCCCACCTCAGCCTCGAAAAGTACTGGGATTATGGGATGAGCCACCGCACCTGACCACAGATTGCATTCTTTATTCACAATTATTTGAACTCTTTCTGCCATTGCCAACCGTCTCGACAGATGGAATGTACTGTTCCTTCTCGTTCTTTTGTGACTCGATTTGGCCAATGGTACAAGATTGGATGGGATGTTTTTCATGTCTGAGCAGAAGGTTTCAGAGGCATTGCAACCAGCTCTTTTGCTGTCTCAGGGAGTGGCTTCAACCTGGTTTTTGGAATGAAAACATAAAAGCCCAGCCCAGCTCAGGGGAGCTGCAGCTGACCCTCAGTCCTAATGTAGTATGAGTGTCAAATCAATATTCGTTGTAATCCACAGAGATATTGAAGATGTTTATTACAACAACATAAGTTAATAATTGAGAATATTTTGAGGATTTGTTGCAATCACACATACTTAGTACAATGCCTGGCACATCCCATGTTCAAAATTAATGTTAAATCATGTCATTGGTGTCCTCTCTATAGCATCATTTACCCATCGCAGCTCTAGAAGAATTAGCATTCTTAAATATTTATTGAATTATTGAAGGTGAATTATCGAAATTTATACCTTTTATAAAGTTTTATAAAGTTCAATAAGATGAATAAAATAGAAAATTATTTATCTTAGGAACGCTTTTACACTGTTGGTGGGAGTGTAAATTAGTTCAACCACTGTGGAAGACAGTGTGGCAAGTCCTCAAGGATCTAGAAGCAGAAATACCATTTGACCCAGCAATCCATTACTGGATATATACCTAAAGGATTATAAATCATTCTACTCTAAAGACATATGCACATGTATGTTTATTGCAGCACTATTTACAATAGCAAAGACTTGAACCCAACCCAAATGCCCATCAATCATAGACTGGATAAAGAAAATGTGGCACATATACACCATGGAATACTATGCAGCCATAAAAAAGAATGAGTTCATGTCCTTTACAAGGACATGGATGAAGCTGGAAACCATCATTCTCAGCAAACTAACACAGGAACAGAAAACCAAACAACTCATGTTCTCACTCATAATTGGGAGTTGAACAATAAGAACACATGGACACAGGGAGGGGAACATCACACACCAGGGCCTGTCACGGGGGTGGGGGGCAAGGGGAGGGAGAGCATTAGAACAAATACCTCATGCATCCGGGGCTTAAAACCTAGATGATGGATTGACAGGTGCAGCAAACCACCATGGCACATGTATACCTATGTAACAAACCTGCACATTCTGCACATGTATTCCAGAACTTAAAGTAAAATAAAAAATAACACTAACAAAAATAAATAATAATAAATAAATAAAAAGAAAATCATCTCTCTAATTCTTATAAACCCTATGAGACATGTCGTAAATTGTCAGTGACATATTTGATCTATATCTGAACTATCTGGACTGAGGAAACATATTGTGAAGCATAGCTTAAAAACAACCAGTTTATATTTTTGCACAAAATTTCTCGCTCTTCCAAAAAGTTTTCTCATATGAGAGAGTGCTGGGACTGTAAGAAACTCTTCACCAGTGGGGTTTCTTTTTGGTAGTAGATAGTCAGTGAAATTGAATCAGATTTAGATTCTAATCAAAGACACTTTGAGAACCCCACCTCAGAGCAAGAACACAGCAGTTTATCTTAGGTTTTTAGAGCTTTCCCTCAGGCTGGCTCTGGGATGCTGTTGGTGAATTCTAAGATAAGCTATTTTTGGACATTAAAAGGTTTCTACAAATAATGGAGAGCTTATTTTAAAGCTGTAATTATGAGGCAGAAACAGTGATAAACATGGATGATAAAAATCATGCAGGGTTTACTTGGGGCTCTTCAAAAATGAAGATGGCTCCTTAGAAGGGCGGGTGCTTTTAAAATTTGAAATGTTCCCTCGACAAACAATGGAAGTCTCAGCGTGAGCAAAATGCTTTTATGAACCTCCTGCATTTCGAGGCCTGTAAATTTGAAACCAGCATTAAGATAGGCCTTAAGAGATGATGGTTTTGCTTTTTTTAAAAGTTATGATTAATACTAATTTTAAGATTTTCTCACATTTATACAGCGAATTTCATGGAAAGTACTTTCACATGCATTTTGCTGTTCTTGCCCACAGGAACCCCAGGAGCCAGGCTACAAAGGCTTCATTATCATCTCAGACAGCAAAGTATGAGCTCAGGGAGGTTGAAAGTTGCATAGCTAGTAAGAGGCGGGATGGCTCATTTTGCTTCAAGACCGTTGCTCTTTTCTCCATATTACCAAACCTTAATAAAAACTTATCAATTTACTTCCAATATTTAAATTAAAAAATAATTTTTTAGAAATGGGGTCTTGCTATGTTCCCCAGGCTGGTCTCAAACTCATGGCCTTAAGCAATCCTCCAGCTTGGCCTGCCAAAGTGCTGGAATTACAGGCATGAGCTACCGTGCCTGGCAGACTTCCAGTATTTAAATGGCAGAATAAAGCTATCAATGCCTCCTTTCCTCTGTCCTCCAGAAACACAAGAGGCAGAGTTGAATAATGGATCACCATTATCCCATCTGCCCACAAGGCAGGGTAAAGGCAAGGGGGTGTGCATGGCCAATGGCAATGCAGCTGCCAATCTCTGCTGGGCAGAGAGAAGAAAAAGAGAGCTCACTCACACATACCACTCTGCAAAGAGGAACTTCACAAGGAAGTTAGATGGCTCCGTCCTCTGCCTCACATTCACCACCGATAATTGCTGGTTCAGGAAGCCCATACTAATGAAGACGAGTGCTATGGAAGTATCACAGGATCTATAGAAAGACACTGCAAGAAGAAAGGCAGAAAGAAATGGAGGAGAGGAAGCTGGGGGAGGTGGAGGAGATTGACAAATTTAAAAGCAGTGAAACTTACAATCATGGCGGTAGGCGAAGGGAAAACAAATATCACGAAAACAGTATCCCACAGACCAGTTAAAAACTAGCATCAATATCTCATCACAAACTCACAAGAGTTTAAAGCCAAATGATAAGGGAAGATTAGATGGAATAATAAGAGAATTATGAAGGTGACTTCAGAAATAGCACGAAGGGCCTAGACACTGCTGAAAACATAGCAAGAGACGTGGAGGACAAGAGTCAGAAGAGTGAGGAGGTGAAATGGGAGTAGATGAGAGCTGGAAAGGGTTAGAGAAAAATAACAAATACAAATGATAGATTAATGAGATCCAGAATTAATAGAAGGCTTGGGTCTAAATCTTAAATGGCACCTCTTATTCTAGGAAAAGCATTTTATCAAATTATCAACACTGAGACATATTCCAGTAGAGCTAATGGATACCAAAGATAAAGAAATAATTCTTGACAACAGAAATACTATATAAATAACAAAATTTCAGAGATAAAGGGGATAGAAAGAGGAAAATACTGTAGGTTTAGAGATTTCCTTATATCCTATAGCCAAGCACCAGTGCTGATAAACCAACAAATTTAGGTTTATTTAATTATATAAATATTAATACTAAGAAAAATAGCAAAAATCAAACAAAATCATGTAGTAGAGGGAAGGCTGGGGTTAAGTGGAAATCATTGAATTCAACATTGATTATAGTAATAAATAAACAAATGATAATCAGAGAAATAGAGTCATTATATAAGGCATACTATATTCTTATAAAAACAAACCGCTAGAGAAAATTTAATTTTTCACATTATCACAAAAAAGAAAAAGAAAACACTGATTACACAGTGAAAGAAATTAATGCATCAGTAAAAACAGGTAGCATATCATTAATTATAAGATGTTATATTGACTTCTAGAAATTTATATTACAAATATATACATGTGAAATTATGTAGGTACAAAGATGTGGACCGCAGAATTGTTTGTAATATCAAAATACTGGGAACAATTTAAAAGTCTGTCAACAGGAAACTGATTGAATAAATTATGACATATCCATGAAGCAGAATATTATACAGCAGTCAAAAAGAATGGCTTCAATGTAATATTGCTAGGTTTAAAAAATAATATTTAGAACTAACATTGTACAGTATACAATCATTTGATGAAAAATCATATGTATTTATCTGTGTATGTGTAGTGTGGGTGTAGGCATATATTATCATCCCCGGAAGGTTAAAGAAAGGGTAAAAACAGATGTCCCCAAAGAGGGAAACTGGATCCTTGGGAAATGCGGGTAAGAAAGAAACACTTCACTGTGTACTCTTCTGTGGTTTATGGATTCTGTATGTGTGCAGGTTTTATCTAGTCGAAATCACAGAAATTAAATATTATAACTTATAAAAGGCAAAAATAACCTTACCAATTGATTGATCCTTGATATGGCTTAACTCTGTCCACCCAAATCTCATCTTGAATTTTAATCCCCATAATCCTCACGTGTTGAGGGAGGAAACTGAGAGGAGGTGATTGGATCACGGGGACTGTTTCCCCCATTCTGTTCTCGCCATAGTGAGTGAGTTCTCCCGAGATCTGATGGTTTTATAAGGCAGTTTTCCCTTTCTTGCTCACTTTCTCTTTCCTGTTGCCGTGTGAAGAAGGTCTTGCTTCCCCTTCCGCCATGACTGTAAGTTTCTCGAGGCCTCCCCAGCCATGAGAAACTGTGTCAATTAAACCTCTTTTCTTTATAAATTACCCAATGTTGGGTAGTTCTTTATAGCAGTGGGAAAACGGACTAATACAACCCTGTTATGCAAGTGCAGTTTATAATGAATTGGGAATGAAGAAGTTTGACCCAGAATAATTTCCTGCCTAGAACATCTCTGAGTATCCAATTTATTTTTGGGTCCCATTGGGAGATAAGGTTTCAGTTTGGCTTGGAGTCACTTAGAGCTTGACTTAGAGGGGACTTGGACAAGGGGATCACCGTCTGAACTAGAAACAGTCTAGATCAGCAGCCCAGGGCCTGCCTCAAGAGAAGGCTAGAGACTGCCCACTGTTGTGCCATGTGCCAACCAGGCAGAGAAACACCAAAGTCACAGTTGTAGTTAGACAGAGGTATGGTGTGTCCAGGAGCCTGCCAGTGCAGCCTGCAAGGCTGTTACTAAGTGCACTTTAATTTTTAACTTTTCTAACAGAAGTGGGAGCTGTCCCACTGAGAGTACACTCCTGCCAATGTCATGTGAAGTGAGAAAACATTTCTTGCTTTGTCTGTAGTTTGTGGATCTCTGAAGCCTTTCCTTTTCTAATAGATGACTAATAGATGGTTATGGTTAGACCAAGACCCGAGGGATGTTTTACATGAGGCTATTCCCACAGTGTGACTGTCCACAACATGCTCTTTCAAGGCATGGGAAAAAGAGTCACCACTGCCTAGGGAGAGAAAAGAATTAGAAGGGCAGCCTCCCCCTTGAGAGTTCAATGCAGTCCTTTAAGTCCAGCAATTGAATCTTTTAAAAGGCAGAACTCTGTTCTAATCAATCAAGCTTTCATTTCCTCTGGCAATACATTCCCCTTGGCACTCAAGAAATCAGAAACTAGAGCCTTGCACACGAAAAGTCAACACAGGATTTTCTGCTAAGTTGACTTGGTCTTACGAACCCACCCAGAATTTTCTGTCAGCAAGAAACCATCTATCAGTCCAAGTTTGTCACGTTAAATGGAAAAGATGTGGTTTGCATCCAGGACTTAAGGAATATAGTTTCTGATATGTTTGAGAAAAATTAAAGATAAGCAACAACCTCGAACATGTTTTTCAACCTGTCATTTCTGGTTATATAGTTTTGTGATGTCTGTGTCCAAGGTCTACTGACTAGACAGACATTCCAGGCCATACAGGTTCTGATCCTAGTTACTTAGCACAGCAAGTGGCTTTGCAGATGTCGTTGGCCGATAAAAGGCTAAAAAACCATGGGCATGATTCTAGTCTTTTGTCTTCCTCATTAGCACTTCGTGTGAAGTGATAGGAAGATTCCTTAAAATCAAACTAACTCATACACAGTGAAATTTATACTAAAAAACTTTTTTTAAGAGACAGAGTCAGCTGGGTACGGTTGCTCATGCCTGTAATCCCCACACTTTGGGAGGCCAAGGTGGGCAGATCACCTGACGTCCGGAGTTCGAGACCAGCCTGGCCAACATGGTGAAACCCCATCTCTGCTAAAAATACAAAAATTAGCCAGGTGTGGTGGCAGGCGCCTGTAATCCCAGCTACTCCGGAGGCTGAGGCAGGAGAAGTGCTTGAACCCAGGAGGTGGAGGTTGCAGTGAGCCGAGATCGCGCCATTTAACTCCAGCGTGGGGGACAAGAGTGAGACTTCGTCTCAAAGAAAAAAAAGAGAGTCTTGCTGTGTCACTCGACTGGAGTGCAGTGGTGCCATCATAGCTCACTGCAGCCTCCGACTCCTGCACTTAACTCATCCTCTCATCTCACCTTCCCCAGTAGCGAAGACTACATGTGTGCACCACCACACCCAGCTAATATTTTTTAATTTTTTGTAGAGACAGGGTATCACTGTGTTGCCCCTGCTGCTTTTGAACTGCGAGACTCAACCAATCCTCTCACCTTGGCCTCTCAAAGTGCTGGGATTACAGGGATAAACCACCACGCCCAGCCCACAAGACATTTCCCAGTGGATTTTTTCCCCAAGGTTTCCCACGGAAACTGTGTCCAGAATTGGTGGGTTCTTGGTCTCACTGACTTCAAGAATGAAGTTGCTGACCCTCGCGGTGAGTGTTACAGCTCTTAGGGGGGGACGTCTGGAGTTGTTCGTTCCTCCTGGTGGGCTCGTAGTCTTGCTGGGCTCAGGAGTGAAGCTGCAAATCTTCACGGTGAGTGTTACAGCTCATAAAAGCAGCATGGACTCAAAGAGTGAGCAGTAGCAAAACATATTGCAAAGAGCGAAAGAACAAAGCTTCCGCAGTGGGGAAGGAGACCCGAGTGGGTTGCCAATGCCGGCTCCGAAAGCCTGCTTTTATTCTCTTATCTGGCCCCACCCACATCCTGCTGATTGGTAGAGCCCAGTGGCCTGTTTTGTCCGGGCGCTGATTGGTGCGTTTACAATCCCTGAGCAAGATACAAAGGTTCTCCACCTCCCCATCAGATTAGTTAGATAGAGTTTCAACACACAGGTTCTCCAAGGCCCCACCAGAGCAGCTAGATACAAAGTGCCAATTGGTGCATTCACAAACCTTGAGCTAAACACAGGGTGCTGATTGGTGTGTTTACAAACCTTGAGCTAGATACAGAGTGCCGATTGGTGTATTTACAATCCTTGAGCTAGACATAAAGGTTCTCCACGTCCTCACCAGAGCAGCTAGATACAGAGTGTCGATTGGTGCACTCACAAACCTTGAGCTAAACACAGGGTGCTGATTGGTGTATTTACAATCCCTGAGCTAGATATAAAGACTCTCCACGTCCCCACCAGACTCAGGAGCCCAGCTGGCTTCACCTAGTGGATCCCGCACTGGGGCTGCAAGTGAAGCTGCCTGCCAGTCCTGCACCGTGCGCTCGCATTCCTCAGCCCTTGGGTGGTCGATGGGACTGGGCGCCGTGGAGTAGGGGGTGGTGCTCGTCGGGGAGGCTCGGGCAGCACAGGAGCCCATGGAGTGGGTGGGAGGCTCAGGCATGGTGGGCTGCAGGTCCCGAGCCCTGCCCCGCGGGAAGGCAGCCAAGGCCCAGCGAGAAATCAAGCGCAGTGCCGGTGGGCCAGCACTGCTGGGGGACTCAGTACACCCTCCGCAGCCACTGGCCCGGGTGCTAAGTCCCCCACTGCCCGGGGCCAGCAGGGCTGGCTGGCTGCTCCGAGTGCGGGGCCCGCCAAGCCCACGCCCACCCGGAACTCCACCTGGCCCGCAAGCGCCGCACGCAGCCCCGGTTCCCGCTCGTGCCTCTCCCTCCACACCTCCCTGCAAGCTGAGGGAGTGGGCTCCGGCCTTGGCCAGCCCAGAAAGGGGCTCCCACAGTGCAGTGGGGGGCTGAAGGGCTCCTCAAATGCCACAAAGTGGGAGCCCAGGCAGGGGAGGTGCTGAGAGCAAGCGAGGGCTCTGAGGACTGCCAGCACGCTGTCACCTCTCAAAACTTGTTCAGACAACATTTGAATTTACATAAGAGTAGAAAAATAATATTTTTGCACACATATTCCAAGAGCTGAATAGTCAATATTATTATGACATGGGTGGAGTTAGTACCTTTTTTTTTTTTTTTTGAGATGGAGTCTCACTCTGTTGCCCAGGCTGGAGTGCAGTGGTGCAATCTCGGCTCACTACAACCTCTGCCACCCAGGTTCAAGCGATTCTCCTGCCTCAGCCTCCTGAGTAGCTGAGAATACAGTGGCAGGCGCCACTGCACCCGGCTAATTTTTCTATTTTTAGTAGAGACAGGGTTTCGCCATCTTGGCCAGGCTGGTCTTGAACTTCTGACCTCGTGATCCATCCACCTCGGCCTCCCAAAGTGCTGGGATTACAGGCATGAGCCACCACACCCGGCCTGGAGTTTGTATCTTAACACACTGGTGTATGAATATTCAGTGGATAGTGAAGTCACACGGCCTTGGCTTCAGAACTGGCACCCACCCACCCTCACCACAACCACCAAGCTATGAAGAATGTGGGGTTGGGGAGACATTTGACTTTCTAAGCCTACAAAAGAGGGCTCTGAATAGCTGGTCTTCCCTCCCACCGGCCTGCTGGGAGAACAGAAGAACACGAGGTTTGCAGTTGTACTTGGTGTTGTCGTCACCATCTGGGCAGTTCCCAGTGGGAATAATTCTGGGCTCTTCTTGAGTCCTCTGCATCTGGTACATTACATGGCAAGTTCCTAGTTGGTTTCAATTCTCATTTTAAAATCTCTTGCCACTTTTATCATGAAACTTTTTAATAACTTGGTCGAAAACCAATATTCTTTCTTTTTTCTTCAACTTTTAAGTTCAGGGGTACATGTGCAGGATGTGCAGGTTTGTTACATGGGTAAACCTGTGCCATGGTAGCTGCACGGACCATCCCATCCCCTAGGTATGAAGCTCAGCACCCATTAGCTATTCTTCCTAATGCTCTCCTTCCCCCTGCACCCCCGTGCCAGGCCCCAGTGTATGTTGTTGCCTGCTATGTGTCCATGTGTTCTTATCATTCAGCTTCCACTTTTAAGTGAGAACATGCAGTGTTTGCTTTTCTGTTCCTGCATTAGTTTGCTGAGGATAGCAGCTCCCAACTCTATCCATGTCCCTGCAAAGGACATGATCTTGTTCCTTTTCATGGCTGCATATATTCCATGGGGCTATGTGCCACATTTTCTTTATCCAGTCTATCACTGATGGGCATTTAGATTGATTTCATATCTTTGCTATTGTGAATAGTGCTGCAGTGAACATACGCGTGCATGTATCTTTATAACAGAATGGCTTCAGTGAACACACGCGTGCATGTATCTTTATAATAGAATGATTTATATTCCTTTGGGTATATACCCAGTAATGGGATTGCTGGGTCAAATGGTATTTCTGCCTCTAGGTCTTTGAGGAATCACCACACTGTCTTCCACAATGGTTGAAATAATTTACATTCCCACCAATAATGTAAAAGCATTCCTTTTTCTTTCCAATCTTGCCAGCATCTGTTGTTTGTTTGTTTGTTAGTTTTTTGCTTTGTAATAATAGCCACTCTGACTGGCATGAGATGGTATCTTATTGTGGTTTCAATTTGCGTTTCTCTAATGATCAGTGATGTTGAGCTTTTTCTCATATGTTTTTGCCGTATGTATGTCTTCTTTTGAGGAGTGTCTGTTCATGTCCTTTGCCCACTTTTTAATGGGGTTTTTTTTTTCTTGTAAATTTTAAAATCAATCTTCTTTATATGTCAATAGTATTATCATAAAATAGAAGTACTAATATTGCATTTCATGACACTTCTAGGTGCAATTATAAAAGTCATTTCTGGCTGGCTTATAATCCCAGCACTTTGGGAGGTCGAGTCAGGAGGCTAGCTTGAGCCCAAGAGTTTGAGACAAGCCTGGACAACAAAGTGAGACTCCCACCTCTACAAAAAGTACAAAATCAACCAGGTGTGGTGGTGCACACCTGTAGTCCCAGCTACTCAGGAGGCTGAGGCAGGAGGATCACCTGAGCCAAGGAGATAAAGGCTACAGTGAACTGTGATAGAGACACTGTACTCTAGCCTGGGCGACAGAGCAAGACCCTGTCTCAAAGCAGAAAGAAAAAATAAAAGTCACTTGTTACAACTATGCATTTAGATTTTCCTTAAACAATCAATTTATGCCTCTCTCTACTGCTTTTGTTTGATTAATACACACGATCATTCTAAATCAGTAGCATTGCATAACAATCTTGTTAACATCTATTTTCTAGGTATTTAATGGACTGATTTCATCAAGGCCATCCCTCTGAACTCCCTGAGTGTAGACATGATATTTTCATTTTACTACCCTGTGCTCCTGCCCAGCACACCCAAGCCTCAGGGCCCAAGCCAGGCATGGAAGAACAAAAGCATCCAAGGAGGCTTCATGGTGCAATTCCAGATGGAAAATGAATCCATCCTGTGGCCAGAGGAGGAACTACCTAGAAATTCTTCCCGACTCCGGTCATTCACTGACAACTCGTTAAAACACCCTTTCGCATGGCAGTGGTTTTTAATTATTCCTCATGTGCCTGTGAGCTCCAAAACCACAGGAGACCTTCCAGCAGGCTAGGAGGGCAGGAAGCAGTTGGAGCCACTGTGGTTTAAAGGAGTAAACAAGCCAGTTCAGGTATTTGGATGAGTGCAGAGGGCTGTGCCGGAGAATGTCATACATGCCCAAGCACTCGTTTGTGGTTTTCAAAAAGGACAAATGGGTGTGGGCTGAAAGTGTGGCATCGCCACCCAGAAAGAACTGAAATTGCCACCCAGGCTGCATAAGCACACACCCTGATTATCATCTGTTGTCTAGCTGCTCCTCACAATATGAGCTTGTGCTCGTTATCTAGAAATCGATCTGAAAATAAATACAGGCTTAGTGCATCACTCTATCAGTATGATGACCGTGGGGTGCACCAGGAAGGGGACTAGACAAGGAGGAAATACCCAGAGCTCCTGTCCTGGCACTGCCATTCCCAAGAACAAGTCTTGAAAATGCTCTGGGCTTCAGCGTCCTCGTTTGTAAATCAGGAATTACAATACCAGCTCCATCTTCCTTGCAGAATTATGAGCTGATAAAGAAAACCAATCGACAAGTATCTTACTGAGCTCACAGTGCTCCCAAACATGTAGACCCCGATGAGGGCTTGAAAAGGGATAAGAAATGGTATCTGGCCTGGAATATTTCCCAATAGATTTTGGATAAGATGAGACTGAAGCCTGTGTATCAATAGTAAACCATTTGACAAGTATTTGCACAAGCACACAGTTATAGAATATAACCTATAACCCTCATAGGATTACTCAGACAAGGGAGAGTGACATGGAGGGGCAACAGCTGGGCTGGATCCTACAGGATGAAAAGGCTTCATCTGGCAAAGGGAGGGAAGGACAGGACCCCATCTGAAGACTCAAAGGCTGCAATGAGCAACACTTCTTCAATGGGCCAGGGAAATGAAAATGTAAGGGTAGGATGACACTGGATTAAAGTAACAGTGAAATCAGATGGAGGAGGTATTTGGAAAGAAAGGGAAATTGAGTTCTAGGGTATTTTCAAAAAATAGTGACAAGTTTAAGGAAGATGAATCTAATGACAGTGTGTAGTCTGGTCAGAGCTAAGATGGAAACTGATATGGAAAAGCATCTATTGCTCACTCTTAGTAGCAGTAAGAAAAAAACTGGTAAGACTAGATGACTTACTAGATACAAGGGAAAGAGTTGGGTTAAAGTTCATTTAAATTTTTTAGCAGGGGGATTACAAGAACTTCTGCTCATTTGAAAGTCAGCAATACGTTCTTGTTTGCTTTGCTTTATTGGAGGATGGGGCCATTTAAAGCCATTGCTCCACATAGTATTCTGATTGCAATTGACTCATATGAATGACAATAATATTCCCTCACCAAGCACAGCTATTTATTACGTGGTTCTGTAAGTGTGGTTTTCTTCCCATCTTGATTTTGCATCAACTCCTGTTCTGTTTTGCAACAAGTCTTCAGCATTATATCATCTTGTTTTTTTTCAACCTGTGGAGCTCTGAAGCTCGGAAAGTAGAATCATCTCATAGAATCCAACAATCTTTATTTGAATCAATGCGGTTTCTGAAGTTTAGCTACCAGAGCATAGTGGCAAGGCGCAAATCCATTTTTGTCCACTAGGTGACAGACAAGAACTACTTTCTCTGCATCCCGCTGGAAAAATGAGAGCCACAATATGGAAAAACTAAGCACTGTGGCTCATACATTTCTATTTGTCTTCTGAACTTAGAAAAGGAAACACCAATTGGTATGCCCAATATCGCTCTGTAGTCCACTGAAAAATGCCGGAAGGGTTTTCAGACTACTGAGTTGGGGTACGGGTACTTTTGCTTTTTGTGTGGTTTTTTTGGAGTTTTTTGTTGCTTGATTGACGTCTTTGTGTTTTGTCCAGGTGAAAAATAGTGGCAGGAACAGATAATGAAGGTGGTAATGATAGTGTTATAAAGTGAGACTATATTGATTATAATGTATTAATTTTTAATTAATTCATTCATTAATTTTTTGCAGTCAGGGTTAAGGGGAGTGCCGGTGGGAAAGGCAGTGGGAATTGTGCAGGTGGAAGACATGATCAAGGTGAATAGCAATGAGACTGTTCCCAAAGGCCATACAGCCTTTGCCACCCTTTTCTAAAATTATTTTTTGAGACAGATTCTCATTCTGTTGCCCAGGCTGGAGTACAGTGGCACGACCATGGCTCATGGCTCACTGCAGCCTCAACCTCCCAGGCTCAAGCGATCCTCTCAGCTCAGACTCCCCAGTAGCTGGGACTGCAGGCGCACAACCCCACATCTGGCTTATTTTATTTTATTATTTTATTTTATTTTATATTTTATTTTATATTTTATTTTATTTTATTATTTTATTTATTTTATTTTATATTTTATTTTTATTTTTTATTTTATTTTATTTTATATTTTATTTTATTTTATTTTATATTTTATTTTATTTATTTTATTTTATTTTGTTTTATTTTATTTTATTTTATTTTATTTTATTTTATTTTATTTTATTTTATTTATTTTTTGAGACAGAGTTTCTCTCTTGTTGCCCTTGTTGCCCAGTCTGGAGTGCAATGGCGCAATCTCTGCTCACTGCAAACTTGGCCTCCTGAGTTCAAGCGATTCTCCTGCCTCAGCCTCCTAAGCAGCTGGGATTACAGGGGCCCGTCACATGCCCAGCCAGCTAATTTTTTGTATTTTTAGTAGAGATGGGGTTTCACCACGTTGGCCAGGCTGGTCTTAAGCTCCTGACCTCAGGTGATCCGCCCACCTCGGCCTCCCAAAGTGCTGGGATTACAGGCATGAGCCACCGCGCCTGGCCCTATTTTTACTTTATTTTAGAGACGGGGTCTCGCTATGTTGCCCGGGATGGTCTCCAACTCCTGGCCTCAAGTGATCCTCCTGCCTTGGCCTCCCAAGGTGCTAGGATTACAGGCAAGAGCCACTGTGCCTGGCCCCTTTTAGAAATGCCCTGGCAATCCAGACAGGGCTGAGAAACATGACTAAAAGTTACTTTACGGAGACATCTAGTTTATTCTTCTTCTGGATAGAACTATACTTAAATCAACAGTACAATGATGCTGACAGTGGGCTTCAAACCTGACTCTAATATTGAATTTCAGCTGGGCATGGTGCTCACGCTTGTAATCTCAGCACTTTGGGAGGCCAAGGCAGGAGGATTACCTGAGATCAGGAGTTCAAGACCAGCCTGGCCAACATGGTGAAATCGTCTCTCTACTAAAAACACAAAAATTAGCTCGGCGTGGTGGTGTGTGCCTGTAATTCCAGCTACTTGGGAGGCTGAGGCAGGAGAATTGCTTGAACCCCGGAGGCTGAGGTTGCATTGAGCTGAGATTGCGCCACTGCACTCCAGCCTGGGTGACAGAGCAAGACTCCATCTCAAAAACAAACAAAAACAACAACAACAATTGAATTGCTTCGAACAGTGGAGTAAGAATGGTTTTAATCAACATCCATTGAGTGTGTATTTTGTCTAACATACTCTACAGTTAGTATTCTTCAATTGATGTCATAACTATCACACCCACCCAAAGGAACTTAAAACTTACTGAAGCTTGTGAGACTGCTGCATATTTTTAAATATTCTAACAACATTCAGTTTTCTCCTACACACTTTCTAACAATATCGACAGCAAAATAAATATTGCTGCATTTGAAAATGAAATTTGAAAACAAACCTCTATTTACAACTCCCTTGGTAAAGTTTCTTTTTGTTTGTTTGTTGAGACAGAGTCTCGCCCTGTGGCCCAGGCTGGAGTGCAGCGGCGCCATCTCAGCTCACTGCAACCTCAGCCTCCTGAGTTCAAGCGATTCTCCCGCCTCAGCCTCCTGAGTAGCTGGGATTACAAGTGCACACCACCATGCCCGGCCTATTTTTCTATTTTTAGTAGAGATGAGGTTTCACCAAGTTGGCCAGGCTGATCTCGAACTCTTGGCTTCAAGTGATGTGCCCACGTCTGCCTCCCAAAGTGCTGGGATTACAGCCATGAGCCATCACGCCTGGCTCCCTTGGTAAAGCTTCTACTATTTTTAGGTAACTGTTTTGAAGATACGTTGTTTTCCTCTCCCAAAAAAGCAAGGAAGACCAGCTATTTAAAGCTAATGAGATCACATTAAAAAGATAGAAATAAATATTTTTACACATTTCCTTAAATCTCAGCATTCTGAATAACTTGGGCTTTCTTTTGATCAACTTCACTAGGAAAAAAACTAACTGATTTGGAGTGATGTTTCCACAAATAGGACTCCCATACATGCTTGCTCATGCCCTCCCTTGAACTTCCTCTGCTGCTTTCTATATATTTAAAGTGGAATGGAAGTTTATTACATGAAAGCAGATGGTGTTTGGCCCTTGTAAAGAAAACCTAAAACGCAGCATGGAGCGACATAAGCACAGTGCCTCCCCCTGCAATTATGTATTTACATCTAAGCTGTGCAATTTAGGTGTGACTTTGGGCAAGACATTCATCTGAGCCTCAGTTTCCCCGACGAGTAAAGGGCCTAGATCACTGACCCACACTTCACTAAGTTTTGGTGAGAATCGCGGGCGCTAACAGCACTCCAATTAAGGTCAAGCACTATGCAAATAGGAGCAGCATTTTTGATGTTGGGAAAGACAGCGCGGAGACCCGGGCTGGCTTCCAGAGGGTGCAGCCCGCCTGCGTTCCCGGGCTGCCGGGCCGCGTCACCACCACCACCGAGCCCGCCTGCGGCAGTGCAAACGCAGTGAGTCATCCGCAGGGCGTGCGGAGTGTGCCGGCTGGGTCCCTGCAGCCCCCAAGCCCGGAGGGATGCGGGAAAATCGCTCTTGGAAGATGCAATTGCTTTAATAATCGACTTTCACCCTTAGTAGCAGAAAAACGACCGTGGCCACAGTACCACAAAGTCTCTGGTATGTGATTTCACTTTCCAGTTTTCCTGGGGAAGCCAGCGGCCTCTGCTTGGGAGCATTATTACCATATATAGAGAGAAATCTGCCTAGTGGGGTGAAAAAAAGAGCCCAGGAGAAGCCTGAGTCAGTTGCCTTAGGTAAGAGTGACTATTGCCAGGGTCAGGATGAGATCTGCCCGTCAGCCGACTTTATTACTAACCCTGTGAAGTTGCAGATGATTCAAACAGCAGAAAAGGGAAGTGTTGCAAACATCAGCACACTCAGGACATCTAACCCGCAGGAGAGGCTGTGAAGCAGTTATTAAAATTCTGGAAAACAGATGAAAGAGACTGTTCTCAACCTTGGGGGGAAAGAAACGTTCCTACCTTTATTTCTAGATTTTTTTTTTTAAGAAAACAACAACAAAAAATTCTAAATAGAAGCAGTTTAGCTAATGATCTAGGACAAAAATCTCTGTGACTTTGAAGCACTGCTGTAGGTTAAAAAATAATGCATCACGTGAAACAGTAGTTTTGAGACCAGCCTGGGCAACAAAGTGAGTCCCCGTCTACAAAAAGTAAAACTTTTTAAAAATTAGCCGGGCTTGGTGGCATGCCTCTGTAATCCAAGCTACTCAGGAGGCTGAAGCAGGAAGATCCCTTGAGCCCAGGAGTTGAAGGCTGCGGTGAGCTATGATCCAGCCACTGCACTCCAGCCTGAGCGACAGAGTGAGACCCCCATCTCTAAAAAAATAAAAGTAGCCGGCACAGTGGCTTACACCTGTAATCCCAGCACTTTGGGAGGCTGAGGCGGGCAGATCACCTGAGGTCAGGACTTCGAGACCAGCCTGGCCAACATGGTGAAATCCCGTCTCTACCAAAAATATGAAAATTAGCTGGGCCTGGTGGTGGGCGCCTGTAATCCCAGCTACTCGGTGGGCTGAGGTGGGAGAATCGCTTGAACCTGGGAGGTGGAGGTTGCAGCGAGCTGAGATCATGCCATTGCACTCCAGCCTCAGTGGCGAGAGTGAAACTCTGTCTCTAAATAAATAAATAAATAAATGTTAAAAAAAATTTAATGCAGATATAGGCCACAGACATAAGACAACCTTGCTGACAAGTTGAAATGATTAGTAAGTATATAGTAATTGTTTTGATGCTTGTGACATCATAGTTACTGGCAAAAGAAAAAAAATAGAACTATCAAGAATTTTGAGTAGACATGTTTCAGGAAGAGGGAAAGGACTTGGATGAATGTTTGGAAAACAATGGAAAGCTTTTACACCTATTCTTGACTTCCATTTTGCTGGATTGCACATAGCTCCCCAAACCTCACTTTTTCACTCATAAAATAATCATAGCATTTGTCTCTACTTAGTTTTTAGTACTCTATTAATATTTTCTGTGATTATTCCCATAAAGCTGTTTGAATCACTTGGAAGAAATATATATCTTCTCATTTTTTAGACTTTTCTGTCGCAGCCTATTATGCTCTGATGATCAATATACAATTACATATAATATATTGTTATCAGATGATAATAGGTATATAATGTGAGGAATCTAAACATTACAAAATAACCAGAGGGAGCCCATGAACTTATTCTTAGATTCCATAAACAAAAAGAAAAAAAAAAGGAGTATCTATCCTACATAAACCAACTAGGAAAATGCCTCTGTGACATTGCTAAGACTTAATGACAAAAGTGATGGAAGAAACCAAGTAATTACACCGTGGGCTTTTCTTTGTGTACAAAAAAAAAAATCTGGTACAGTGATTTCGTACTTAATGTTGTCAATAGGTTCTTGAAAATTTCAGCTTTAGGTGAAAGGATATATAATGAAATCAATTTGATCATAGGCTACTTGATACAAACAAGAGTTAAGATCCTCTGGCATATTTCTGATCACAAAAACATAACCCAACTTTCAAATAAAGACCCAAAGCACTTCTAATATTAAACATTGAAATACATGTAAGCTCTACTTAACATTTAAGAAGGATGAATCAAAACAAGTAACATGATTTGCCTGCTTAGTCCAGTTCCGGGTCACTGGTGGCCAGAACCTCTCCCAGAAACTCAGGGTCCAAGGTGGGAGCCCACTCACAACAGGACGCCATCCCATCATGGGGTGCACTCACATACACCCCCACTCACTCTCACCTGGACCATTTTAGACACAATTCACTTAATGTGCATATCTGTGGGATGTGGGAGGAAACCCAAGTACCTGGAAAGAACCCACACAGACATGGGGAGAACACACACACCACACAGACAGTGGCCCTGGCTGAGAATCAATTTTTTCTTCTCATCAACATTATAAGGAAATGATGTTGAATGAAAGGAAAAAAGACATTATTCGAGGACTTGCTGTATGATATGGTTTCGCTGTGTCCCCACCCAAATCTCATCTTGAATTGTAGCTCCTGTAATTCCCACATGTTGTGGGAGGGACCCCGTGGGAGATAGTTGAATCATGGGGGCTGTTTTCCCCATACTGTTCTCATGGTAGTGAATAAGTCTCACGAGATTTGATGGTTTTATAAGGGGAAACCCTTTTCGCTTGGTTTTCATTTTCTCTTTGCCTGCCACCATGTAAAATATGGATTTGCCCCTCCTTGCCTTCCGCCATGATTGTGAGGCCTCCCCATGCATGTGGAACTGTGAGTCCATTAAACCTCTTTCCTTTATAAATTAACCAGTCTTGGGTGTGTTTTTATTTGCAGCACGAGAACAGACTAATACACTCTACTTTATCATTAAGTAGACTATCTTTAATTTTTTAACATTCTCATTGTAGAAAATTCAAACAATACAGGAATACAAAAAAGTGTGAATACCCCTTATAGTCCCACAGTCTCCAGAGACCAGAGATAATATACTGCCATATCTCTTTTTTTAATTTTTACTTATTATTATTATTTTTTTTTTTGTAGAGACAGCAGGTCTCACTATGTTGAGCAGTCTGGTCTCAAACTCCTGGCCTGAAGAGATCTTCCGGTTGGGCCTCCCAGAGTGCTGGATTACAAGCCTGAGCCACCATGCCCAGCTCTGCCAGACCTCTTTCTTAGGATAAACACATACACATGACTGCAATATAGATAATGTTCTACAATGTACTTTCCTCACCTAATGAATTTTATGATTACTATATAGAGATCAATCTCATTCTTTTCATGGGCTGAAGTCATTGACTGAATATGCCACAATTTATTTAAGCTGTCGTCTCTTGATGAAAGATTCCTCCCAGTGGTGTTTCTCTATTAAAGAAAACACTGCAGTAAACATCACTGGGATTTTGCAAACTCATGAAGCACATGAGCAAGTATTTTCCCAAAGGTAAGTTATGTAAGAGGAATTTCTGGGTGAAAGTCTACACTACATTGTATAAGTGTCCATTTCCCTTTGTTGTCACTGTTGTCATTGTTTGTGCTGCTGAAGCTGCTCTTATTAAGACATGGTTCACATTTTAACAGTTTAGTCATTACGCTAATATGGTCAGAGACCCCCTCCCCAGATGTATCACATGATCCAGCTCATCATTCTCTTTCCCATGGGCTTTCCACAGTCAGCAAATGAAAAACAATGTCCACTCCGTGATTAGCTATGCAAGCACTAAATACAGAGCTCTGTAAAAGCTCGTATCAAGACTATGGTTTAGACATGAGGTATAAGAGACACCTTTGGGCTCATGCCCAAATCTAAATCTTGGGATTCTCACTCACTTTCCAGCTGGTCACTATGCGATGATGAGCATGCTCAGTAGCGAATGCAGAGACAGAGTGGTTTGAATGTGTTTTCTCCAAAATTCAGGTGTTGAAATTTAATGGTCATTGTGGTGGTATTAAGAGGTGGGGTCTTTTTTTTCTTTGTTAATATAGCTAGTGGTCTATTGATCATGTTCATCTTTTCAAAGAACTGATTTTAGATGTTGTTGATTCTTTGTATAGTTTTTGGGTCTCAATTTTGTTCAGCTCTGCTCTGATTTTTGTTCTTTCTTTTCTCCTGCTAGCACTGGGGTTAGTTTTTCTAGTTCCGCCAGGGGTGGTGTTAGATCGTGAGTTTGAGATCCTTCTAACTTTTTGAGGTAGGCATTAGCGCTATAAACTGTCCTTTTAACACTACTTTTGCTGCATCCCAGAGATTTTGGTATATTGTGTCTCTGTTTTCATTTATTTCAGAGAATTTAAAATTTCTGCTTTAATTTTATTGCTTACTCAAAAGTCATTCAGGAGCAGGTTGCTTAATTTTCCTGTAATTGTGCAGTTTTAAGAGATCTTCTTGGTATTTCTATTTTTATTTGACTGTGGTCTGATAATATGGTTAGTATGATTTTAATTTTTTTGAATTTATTGAGACCTGCTTTATGGATGAGCATGTGAAAGATCCAAATAAGCACAATCAGAAATGACAAAGGTGACATTACAACTGATCTCACAGAAATACAAAAGATCCTCAGAGACTGTTATGAACATCTCTATGCACAAAAACTAGAAAATCTAGAGGAAATTAATAAATTCCTGGAAACACAAAACCTCCCAAGATTCAATCAGGAAGAAATTGAAACCCTGAACGGACCAATATTGAATTCCAAAATTGAAGCAGTAATACCAACCAAAGAAAGCACTGGACCAGACAGATTCACAGCCAAATTCTATCAGATGTACAAAAATAGCTAGTACTAATAATATGGAAACTATTCCAAAAAATTGAGCAGGTGAGACTCTTCCCAAACTCACTGTATGAAGTTAGCAACACCCTGATACCAAAACCTGGCAAAGACACAACAAAAAAAGAAAACTATAGGCCAATCTCCCTGCTGAACATAGATGCAAAAATCCTCAACAAAATACTAGCAAAACGAATCCAGCAGCACATCAAAAAGTTAATTCACCATGATCAAATAGGCTTCATTCTTGGTATAAAAAGTTGGTTCAATATACACAATCAATAAACATGATTTACTACATAAATAGAACTAAAAAAATACACATGATCATTTCATTACATGTGGAAAAAGCTTGCAATAAAATCCACATCCTTTCATGACAAAAAACCTTCAAGTAAGAAGGAACATACCTAAATAATAAGTACTATCTATGACAACCCACAGCCAACATCATACTGAATGGACAAAAACTGGAAGCATTCCTCTTGAGAACTGGAACAAGGCAAGAATGTCCAGTCTCACTACTGCCAGTACTTCAGTATGGTACTGGAAGTACTAGCAGATCAATCAGGAAAGAGAAAGAAAAAGACATCCAAATAGGAAAAGAAGTCAACTATCTCTCTTTGCTGACAATATGATTCTATAACTAAAAAACCCTAAAGACTCCACAAAAAGCCTCCTGGAACTGATAAACAACTTCAATAAATTTTCAGGATACAAAGTCAATATATGAAAATCAGTAGCATTTCCATGTAGCAATAAAGTTCAAGCCGAGAGCCAAATCAAGAACACAATCCCATTTACAATAGCCACCAAAAAAATAAGATATCTAGGAATACACTTACCCAACGGGGTGAAAGATCTCTACAAAGAGAACTACAAAACAGTGCTAAAAGAAATCATAGATGACACAAACAAATGGGAAAACATTTCATGCTCATAGATTGGAAGAATCAATATTGTTAAAATGGCCATACTGCTCAAAGCAGTCTACAGATTCAATGCTATTCCTTTCAAACTACCAACATCATTTTTCACAGAATTAGGAAAAACTATTCTAAAATGCATATGCAACCAAAAAGAGCATGAATAGCCAAAGCTGTTCTAAGCAAAAAGAACAAAGCTAGAGACATTCATTACTGTACTTCAAACTATACTGTAAGGCTGCAATAACCAAAACAGCATGGTATTGGTACAAAAACAGACATATACACTAATGGAACTCAATAAAGAACTCAGACATAAAGCCACACATCTACAGCCATCTGACCTTTGACAAAGTTGACAAAAATAAGCAATGGGGAAAGAACTCCCTATTCAATAAATGGTGCTGGGATAACTGGCTAGCTATATGCAGAAGAATAAAACTGGACTCCTACCTTTCACCATATACAAAAATTAACTCAAGGTGGATTAAAGACTTAAATGTTTGTGACCTCACACTGTAAGAAATGTAGAAGAAAACCTAGGAAACACCATTCTGGACATCAGCCTTGGGAAAGAATTTATGACTAAATCCTGAAAAGCAAATGCAACAAAAACAAAAATTGACAAGTGGGACTTAATTAAACTAACAAGCTTCTACACAGCAAAAGAAATTATTAACGGATTTCTCCCAAATGGGAGAAAATATTTGCAAACTATGCATCCAACAAAGGCCTAATATCCAGAATCTATAAGGAACTTAAACAACTTAACAAACAAAAAACAAATAACCGCATTTAAAAATGGGCAAAAGACATGAACCATTTTCAAAAGAAGACATACAAGCAGCCAACAAACATGTAACAAAATGCTCCACATCACTAATCATCAGATAAATGCAAATCAAAACCACAATGAGATATCATCTCACATCAGTCAGAATGGCTATTATGAAAAAGTAAAAAAAAACACAACAGATATGGGTAAGGCTGTGGAGAAACAGGACTCCTTTACACTGTTGGTGGGAATGTAAATGAGTTCAGGCACTATGGAAAGCAGTTTGGAGACTTCTTAAAAAACTTAGAACTACTATTCAACACAGCAATCTCATTACTGGGTATATATCCAGAAAAAAAGCAAATCAATGCAAGAATAGAAAAACCAAATACCACATATTCTCACTTATAAGTGGGAGCTAAAAGTTGGATACTCATGGACATAAAAATGGCAACAATAGAAACTAGAGACTATTAGAAGTGGTAGGCAAAGACAGGGGGTAAGGATTGGCTAACTAACTATTGGATACTATGCTTAGTACCTGGGTGACAGGATCTTTCATACCCCAAACTTCAGCATCATGCAACATACCCAGGTAACAAACCTGCACATGTACCTCCTGAACCTAGAATAAAAGTTGATTTTTTGGCCAGGCGCAGTGGCTCATGCCTGTAATCCCAGCACTTTGGGAGGGCAAGGAGGGTGGATCACCTGAGGTGAGGAGTGCAAGATCAGCCTGACTGACGTGGAGAAACCCCGTACCTACTAAAAATACAAACATTAGCCGGGCGTGGTGGCACATGCCTGTAATACCAGCTACTCAAGAGGCTGAGGCAGGAGAATTGCTTAAACCCAGGAGGCAGAGGTTACAGTGAGCTGAGATTACGCCATTGCACTTCAGCCTGGGCAACAAGAGTGAAACTCCATCTCAAAAAAAATAAAAAATAAAAACAAGTTTGTCTTTTAAAAAGTGGGAGTAGGGCCATTAGAGGTGATTGGGTCATGAGGGCTCCTCCCTCATGAATGGGATAAAGGCCCTTATAAAGGAGACTTCAGGCAGCATTCAGCTCTCTTGCTCTCCCACCTTCCACCATGTGAGGACACAGCATTCTTCCCCACTGGAGGATGTGGCAACAAGGCTCCATCTTGGAGGCCGAGAGCAGCCTTCATCAGACAACAAACTTGCCGGCGCCTCGATCTTGAATTTCCTAGCCCCTGGAACTGTGAGAAAATAAATTTCTGTTCTTCACAAATGCCCCAATGTGTGGTATTTTGTTATAGCAGTACAAACAGCCTGAGACAAGCCCTGAGTTCATTTGCCAACCAAATGCAGGAAAAGAAAAGATGAGTGAGATGGAGTCAACCATGAGTTCTTCCCTTTTAACACCCATAAGCTTCTTCCCTGTGGGGAAGGCCCTGGTTAAACGCAGGCTTGCATGAGGGAACATGACAGAAATTTCTCCTCTCCTACCATTATTTTTTGGTGTTTTTTGTTCTTTTTGAGACAGTCTTGCTCTGTCACCTAGGCTGTACTGCAGTGGTACAATCATGGCTAACAGCAGCCTTGGCCTCCCTGGCTCAAGCAATTCTCCTCCAACCTCGGCCTTCCAAGTTGCTGGCACTACAGGCATGCACCATTACGCCCAGCTAATTTATTTTTATTTTTTGTAGAGATGGGGTATCACTATATTTCCCAGGCTGGCCTCAAACTCCTGGCTCAAGCAACCCTCCTTCCCTGGACTCCCAAAATACTGGGATTACAGGCATGAGCCACTATTTCTGGCCTCCTACTATTGTTTATTTCATTTCTCCCCTCTTGATTTATCTTTCATTAAACCAGTTTTCATATCTTCTTCTTTTGTGTTTTTTTAATGGACTAGACAGCTCTATGTATTCACTCTACCAGTAGATTATTTTATGTGTATATATATATATATATATATATATATATATATATTTTTTTTTTTTTTGAGACAGATCTCGCTCTGTCACCCAGACTAGAGTTCAGTGGTGTGATCTCGGCTCACTGCAACCTCCACCTCCCAGGTTCAAGCAATTCGGTTGCCTCAGCCTCCTGAGTAGCTGGGATTACAGGCATGCACCACCAGGCCCAGCTAATTTTTGTATTTTTGAGACCGGGTTTCACCATGTTCGTCAGGCTGGTCTTGAACTCCTGACCTCGGGATCTGCCCACCTCAGCCTCCCAAAGTGCTGGGATTACAGATGTGAGCCACCACGCCCAGCCTATTATTATATTTTAACAAAGAAATGTGATTGGGACCTTTTGCAAGCTTTTACTTTTTCCTCCCTCCCTCTCTCCTGCCTCAAGGTTTTAGTGAATAATCTGCCTAATTTTTCAGATGCTCAAAAAATTATTTTCTTATACCTCTTCTTTTTCAAGATTATTTTTAATTGCATCACACTTCACTTATGAAAATTTATTTAGATTTAATTCTATGTTTCATTGAAGTTTTACTAGTTACTACTCTCCTGTATATTGTGGGTTTTTTCTTTTTTGTCATTTTTACTCTGTTTTTATTTAACTAGAGTATTTTCACAAGTAATTATCCAAAAAGTGCACATCATTGCTATACATTTACTTCTGAATCCCTGAATATCTAGGATGGTGAGTTAGACTCCTTTGCTTTGTTAACTTGCCACTATGGTTAAGTCTCAGAGCCTTCACAGTTCTTAACATTAGAAATGGGCTTTTGAAAAATAAGGCCATCATAAATTGGTGAACTTTTTCAATCTGCAGACACAGCCCTTTTTTCAGCTCTGGGGAAGTATTTTCTACTATTCACTGATTGTTTGTTCTTCATTGCATTTTTTTCTTGCATTTACAACTCCCGTTATTTTTAGATTGGACTTCCAAATCTGTTCTCCAAGATACTTATCCTTTCTCATGACCTCTCTCTTATGTGCACATTCTGTCAATATCATTCAGTGTTTGGAATTGTCTATTATATTATTCACTGTTGTTATTTAGATTTATATTTTGAAAATTATGGTTTAAGTTTTTTTCCAAAGAATTATTTCAGAGTATTTCTTTTTCATGAAAGACATTTTTAAAAGTGATCTCTCCAACCATTGTGAATCTGAATTAGAATATTTCTTCTAAACTCTCTCCTGGTTCCTGTTTCAGAAAGGTTCATTTGTTCTAAGTGGTCAATCTGGTGCCCTCCTTTTCACCAGACGGTTCTACCCATCTGTGGTTTGTTATTATTGTCTAGCTTATTTAGTATTATTAGCTGGAACAAGTTTCTTAAGTTCTTGCAGAGCTCTGGCTCTGGGATTTCCCCAAAGGAAATGGTCTGAGAGTTGATAAACAAGAGGGCTTGAGCTTTTTCTCAGCGGGGCTAGGGCTGAGGACACACAGCAGGTGAACAGGGCTCCTCTTCCGGTTGTGCTAATTCCTCTCCATCAAGGCAGGCAGCAGTGGGTCAGAGTGACAAGTCTCACTGAATCTGCTCCTCTGACTGCCTGAGGAGATTTGGGGCAGTGAGAGGACCCCCTCAAACAAGGCTTCTGACCACGGAGTCCACGGGCTTCCCCAGGAAAGGTGAGCAAGAGCACATGGTCTTTCCTGTAATGTGATTTCCACTCTACACCCTCTGTATTCATTTTCTCTTGCTGTGTAACAAAGTACCACAACTTAATGGCTTAAATCAGCACGCATTTGTTATCTCATGGTTCCCACGGTCCAGGAGTCCAGGTACAGCTGGATCCCCTGCAAGGCTACAATCAGTGTTGGCCGTAGCTACAGTTCTCATATGGAGCTCCAGGTCCTCTTCCAAGCTCATTTGGGTGTCTGGCAGAATTCACTTCCTTGCGACTGTATGACCGAGATCCCTGTGTTCTTGCTAGGAACTACCCTCAGTTCTTAAAGGCCACTTGCAGTCTCTTGCCACATGGCCTTCAAAGGCAGTTCATTTGCTCTTTTCCAGGTCAGCAGAAGCAAATCTCTGACTTCTAACTTTCTTCCAATCTGCTCCATGGGAGTCTCATAAAATGTGATGCAATGAAGGGAGTGATTATGCCACCACCATGTGCCACATGATGCAGTCTAATTAATGGAGCAATTATCCCGTGATAGTCAAAGATTCCCTCCACACTCCCGCATTTCCTCCACAAATAAGCTATGTACATCTGGGGTTGGGAGTTGGGACCCGCTTAGAATTTTGCCTTCCACGCTTGTACACTGTTGATGAGAGTGTAAATTAGTTCAACCATTGTGGAAGACAGTGTGGCGATTCCTCAAAGACCTAAAAACAGAAATACCTTTCAACCCAGCAATCCCATTACTGGGTGTATTCCCAAAGGATTATAAACCATCCCATCATAAAACACATGCATGCATATGTTCACCACAGGCCTATTCACAACAGCAAAGACATGGAATCAACCTAAATGCACATCAATGGTAGACTGGATAAAGAAAATGTGGTATATATACATCGTGGAATACTATGCAGCCATAAAAAAGAATGAGATAATATCCTTTGCAGGAACATGGATGGAGCTGGAGGCCATCATCCTTAGCAAACTAATGCAGGACCATAAAACCAAATACTGCATGTTGTCACTTATAAGTAGGAACTAAATGAGAACACATGGACACATAGAGGGTGACAATACACACTGGAGCCTATCAGAGGGTGGAGAGTGGGAGGAGGTAGAGGATCAGGAAAAATAACTAATGGATACTACCTGGGTGATGAAATAATCTGTAAAACAAACCCCTATGACACAAAGTTTATCTATATAACAAACCTGCTCATGTACCCCTGGACTTAAAAGTTAAATTAAAAAAAAAAAAAAAGAATTTTGCCTTCCACAATCTCAGAAGTATAAGAATACCTTTTAGTTTCCAGTGGCAGATAGAATTTCTCCTTCTATGTTTGTTGAGTTGCTTTAATAAAGAACTAGTGGGGGAGGGCAGATAGAATTTCTCCTTCTATGTTTGTTGAGTTGCTTTAATAAAGAACTGGTAGGGGAGGGGGATGGTGGGGAGGCAGAATATCAAAGGTGTATGTTTAAGATACCACATTTAGGCTGGGCGCGGTGGCTCAAGTCTGTAATCTCAGCACTTTGGGAGGTTGAGGTGGGTGGATCATGAGATCAGGAGTTCGAGACCAGCCTGGCCAACATGGTGAAACCCTGTCTCTACTAAAAATACAAAAATTAGCCAGGTGTGGTGGCGCATGCCTGTAATCCCAGCTACTCAGGAGGCTGAGGCAGGAGAATCACTTGAACCCAGGAGGCGGAGGTTGCAGTATGCCGGGATTAAGCCACTGCACCCCAGCCTGGGAGACAAAGCAAGTGTCTCAAAAAAGAAAGCAAGACTCAAAGCAAGTGTCTCAAAAAAAAAAAAAAAGATACCACATTTAATTGCTCAAATAATTAAACTTTCACCTTAATGAATTGATCAGCATTTATTAAATGTAAGATAGTACCTTAATGGTTGTTTTCACCATTGCAAAATGTTCTTCAAACAAATGAACCAAATTGATATATAAATAAAACATATATTTGAGGCAGTGTATTTATTTTAATTAATAGAATTTTTTTAGAACAGTTATAGATTAACAGAAAAATTGGTCACAGAGTAAAGAGCGTTCCCATATACCCACTACACACACATACACATCCATAATTTTCCCTATTACTAGCATCTTGAATTAGTATGATGCATTTGTTATAATTAATGAGCCAATATTGATACATTATTATTATTAAAGTCCATAGTTGACTTTAGGATTCACTCCTTGTGTTATGCATTCTGTAAGTTTCGCCAAATGCATAATTATATATATCCATCATTACAGTGTCCTACAGAATAGTTTTAGAACTATATATTTTAATCAAGAAGGTTTTTGTTTTGTTTTGTTTTGTTTTTCTAAGATGAAGTCTCACTCTGTTGCCCAGACTGGAGTGCAGTGGTAGAATCTCAGCTCACTGCAACCTCCGCCTCAAGCAATTCTTCTATCTCAGCCTCCCCAGTAGCTGAGACTACAGGTGCACGCCAGCATGCTCAGCTAATTTTTGTATTTTTAGTAGAGACAGGGTTTTATCATGTTGGCCAAGCTGGTCTGGAACTCCTGGCCTCAAGCAATCTGCCCGCCTCAGCCTCCCAATGTACTGGGATTAGAAGCATAAGCTACTGTGCCTGGCCCCAAGAAGTTTTTTTAGTCTGATGTTTTTCCTGTCATGGGTCATCTGTGTGACCCTTTCAGGCAAATGTGGGTGTCTAGACAGCATGTCATCAGATTTGGGTATAACAGAGCCTTCTGTGACTAAGTAGAGTTGACCTGAGTCCCTACTATTCAAAATTGGTTATTAGGGAGGATGTGGTTCAATCTGCTTAAGAAGAATGCAGTCTCTGGGGAAGGAATTTTAAAACAGAGTAATTTTGGTCCAAACTAAGGCCCAGTGGCATAAAAGAAATGTGAGTTTCCAGAAATAAAATTATCCTGAGGTGCTCTGGAAAAGACACTGTAGAGAGAAGACAAGCAACAGACTGGGAGAAAAGTAATTGCAAAGACCTATCTGATAAAGGACTGCTATCCAAAATATGTATACAAGGAACTCTTGGAACTCAACAATAAGAAAACAAACAACCTGATATGGTTTGGCTGTGTCCCCACCCAAATCTTATCTTGAATTGTAGCTCCCATAATTCCCACATGTTGTGGGAGGGACCCAGTGGGAGGTAATTGAATCATGGGAGTAAGTCTTTCCTGTGCTGCTCTCAAGATAGTGAATAAATCTCACAAGAGCTAATGGTTTTATAAAGGGGAGTTTCTGTGCACACACTCTCCTGCCTGCTGCCACGTAAGACGTGCCTTTTGCCTGCCGCCATGTAATATGTGCCTTTGCTCCTCCTTCGCCTTCTGCCATGATTGTGAGGTCTCCCCAGCCATGCTGAACTGTGAGTCAATTAAACTTTTTTCCTTTACAAATTACCCAGTGTCGGGTATGTTTTTATTAGCACGTGAGAATGGACTAATAGACAACTTAGTTAAAAAAGTAGGCAAAAGATCCAAATAGATACCTCACCGTAAAAGATATGTAGAAGGCCAATAAACATATTAAAGATGCTTAACATCAAATTTTGTTAGTCAATTGCCAAAAACAATAGTGAGATACCATTATATACACTTATTAGAATGACCAAAACTCAGAATACAGATAACTCTAAATGCTGGTAAGGATGTGAAGCAGCAGGAACTTTCATTCCTTGCTGGTAGGAATACAAAATGGTACAGCCGCTTTGGAAGACAGTTTGGAAGTTTCTTAGAAAACTAAACATACTCTTACCATACATTCCAGCAATTGCACTCCTTGGAATTTACCCAAATAAGTTTAAAATTTAGGTCCACAAACACCAAAAAAAAGAGTTATCAAGCTGGGTGCAGTGGCTCATGCCTGTAATCACAGCACTTTGGGAAGATGAGATGGGTGAATCACTTGAGGCCAGGAGTTCAAGACCAGCCTGGCCAACATGGTGAAACCCCATCTCTACTAAAAATACAAAAATTAGCCAGGCGTTGTGGTGCACGCCTGTAGTCCCAGCTACTCAGGAGGCTGAGGAAGGAGAATTGCTTGAACCCAGGAGGTGGAGGTTGCAGTGAGCCAAGAGCATGCCACTACACTCCAGCCTGGGTGACAGAGCAAGATCCTGTTTCAAGAAACAAAGACAGGGAAGAAACTTAAATGCATATGTTAAGTGAAGGCAGCCAGTCGAAAAAAGCTAAATACTGTATAATTGCAATTTCACAACATTCTAGGAAAGGCAGAACTATAAAGAGATAAAAAGATCAGCAGATAGTGGGGAGGGAGAAAGAATAGGCAGCACATAGAAAGATTCTGGGAGCAGTAAACTATTCTGTATACCACTAGATGGGAACTCTCTACTTTCTGCTTGATTTTGCTATGAACTTAAAACTGCTCTAAAAAATAAAGTCTATTTCAAAAATTATCTTGAGGAAATGGGTGTCCAAACTGGTAACCAAGACTAAAGCCCAGTCCCCAGAATTTGTGGAAGAGAGCTGGTTTGGACTAGCACAAAACTGATGCTATTATAAAAGTTCCTCCAAATGCAGCTATTCTGATGGGTATAGTGTCTATGTCCTGGGAGCAATTGCTGAGCATGGTTGTATTCACTGAAGAGAGAACTTGAGCTGGGAGCACACACAGCTGAGCTTGTTCCCTATAGGAGGATTATGAGGGCACCAGGATGGAGCAGAATTGCTGTGAAGTAGACCAGCACCATCTGTTGCCAGAGGATGACAAATATGCAGCAAAACTCCATTTGTCAGTGAGAAACAATAGCAAGGTTAAATTGTTCTGATATGAGTACTGTTCTCTCTCAGGTGTGGTAGTCAGGCAGATGGCACTTTGAGGACATGGGAACCCAAGGGTGTGCTTAGGTGTCAGGGAGGGCAGTGGAAGGGAGCACTTAAGGAATGATTAAATACTGGACTCTTAACAAATGCTGGAATTGGGGAGTTTCCACTGATTTTGGAGAAAAATAGTATAAAGTAATATCAATTCACACATGTGATAATCCTGATCTAAATGCTTAAGTTTCCTCTATTTTTTTCTGAATTCTTTGACCTTATTGTATGTTCTTAAACTGCCATATATATTTGGAATTATATATAAATTGCTATATATATTCAGAAAGAGTATGCTTTGTGAAGGAGAGGGATTTGGGAAGTGATCCTGGATTCTATGCAAAAAAATAGTTAACATTGTATCCAAAAGACTTTTTATAAGGTCGTTTCACCCAAAGGCTCTATTTATGACTCCAGAGAATAACAGTTTGAAGTCATAACCTAGTTGACATAAAACATAACTGGTGTGTGCCTCTGTTTTCTTATTAGTGTATTGAGATCTCACTGCTTCAGAAATAACCATAACAGGCCAAGGCAAAGGGATAGTCCATGGCTGCTTATAGAAAGTCTTGAGTCTTTAGTTCTGCTTGGTTGTTACTGGATTCTCATGCTCATTTGCTCTCTTTTTTCTTCATCTTCTCACCCAGTTAAAAACTAATTAGGTCATACCCTTAGAATGGCAACTCTTAAGAAAAAAAACAAACAAAACAGAGAATAGCAAGTGTTGATGAGGATGTAGAGAAATCAGTACCCCTGCGCATTACTGGTGAAAATGTAAACAACAGCAGCCACAGTAAACAACAACAACAACAACAACAAAAACATATGGCAGGCTGGGCATGGTGGCTCACACCTGTAATATCAGCATTTTGAGAGGCCAAAGCAGGTGGATGGCTTGACCCCAGGAGATCAAGACCAACTTGGGCAACATGGTGAAACCCCGTCTCTACTAAAACTACAAAAATTATCTGGGTGAGGTGAAGCGCGCCTGTAGTCCCAGCTACTGGGGAGGCTGAGGCAGGAAAATCATTTGTACGTGGGAGACAGAGGTTGCAGTGAGCTGAGATGGCGCCACTGCACTCCAGCCTGGGCGACAGAGCCAGACTCTGTCTCAAGAAACAAAAACAAAACAAACAAAAAAACAGTATGGCAGTTCTTCAGAAAGTTAAACAGAATTATCATAGATCCAGCAATGGCACTTCTGGGTATATTCCCAAAAGAATTGAAAGCAGGGGTTCAAGCAGATATTTCTACATCCATGTTCATAGCAGCATCATTCACAATAGCCAAAAGGTGGAGACAACCCAAATGTCCACTGATGGATTAATGGATAAGCAAAATGTGGTACATACATGCAATGGCACATAGTGGGGTGTCATTCAGCTTTAGAAAGGAATGAAGGACCAGGCATGGTGGCTCACGCCTATAATCCCAGCACTTTGGGAGGCCAAGGTGGGTGGGTTACTTGAGGCCAGGAGTTTGAGACCAGACTGGCAAACATGGTGAAACCCCATCTCCACTAAAAATACAAAAATTAGCCAGGCATGGTGGTGGGAACCTGCAATCCCAGCTACTCGGGAGGCTGAGGCAGGAGAATCCCTTGAACTTAGGAGGTGGAGGTTGCGGTGAGCCGAGATGGCGCCACTGCACTCCAGCCTGGGTGACGGAGTGAGACTCTGCCTCAAAAAAAAAAAAAAAAAATAGGAATTAAAAGTCTTACACATGCTACAATGTTGATGAAACCTTGAAGACATTATGCCAAGTGAAATCAGCCAGACACAGAAGGGGAAATGTTGTATCGTTCCATTTATACAAGGTACCTAGAGTGTCACATTCAGAGAGACAAAAGTAGAACGGTTCTGCTTGGTTGTTACTGGATTCTCATGCTCATTTGCTCTTTTTTCTTCATCTTCTCACCCAGTTAAAAACTAATTAGGCCATACCCTTAGAATGGCAGCTATTAAAAAAAAAAAAAAAAAGACAGAGAATAACAAGAATAGTCTCCCTCGGGGGAGGGTGAATGGAGAGTTATTGATTAATGAGTACAGGATGTCAGTTGGGGAGGAAGAAAAAGCTCTGGAGATAGTTGGTGGTGATGGTTGTGCAACAATGTGAATGTACTGAATAACACCAAACTGTACATTTACAAACAGTTAAAATGATACATTTTATATTATATATATTTTGTCACGATTAAAGAAAATTCATAAAAGGAAAAGAACATTTGGGTTGTGGGAAAGGAAGCTGGTGTCCGGAGGGGATCTAGATGCTCCAGTGCTTGCATGACACTTGGCCCTGGGTTCTTTACATCCTCCCTTCCAGGTCCTGAAAGTCTTTAGTCATTCATTCATTCATTCATTCAGCTAATGTTTATTAAGCATGTACTATGTGTTAAAGCTAAAACTACGGAATAGCTTGGGAACTACTGATTGTTGGTTAAATGCAGAATAGATTCTACTGAAATCATCAATACATGGAAATTATCAAATAATTTTTCTATTAAAACAATATAATTGTTTGCTATCCTCATTGCAGATTTTTCACATTCAGATATAGACTTGATTCTTAAATCAGTGTGTCACAAAATATGAAAGCTGCAAGGAAAATGATCAAGCCTACTAAATCACTCAGTAAAATAATATTTTTTCAAATAAAATTCAGGGATCACTAATATCATAAAATACAATATTAAAGCTGGTACACAGCCTTCTTAAACAGTCTAAATGGTCATGATTGGACCAAAAACATGAATTCACTGTGAAACATGGAAGCACATCCAGGAACTCATGTGGTTCACCTGAGCCCCTAGAAGTACACAAAGCAAGCTGGGTGTCGTGGTTCACGCCTGTTATCCTGGCACTTTGGAAGGCTGAGCCAGAGAGACTTGAGGCCAGGAGTTCGAGACCAGGCCGGGCAACATGGTGAAACCCCGACTCTACAAGAAATACAAAAAAAATTAGCAAGGCGTGGTCGCATACGTGCCTGTAGTCCTTAGCTACTCCAGAGGCTGAGGTGGGAGGATCACTTGAGGCTGGGAGGTTGAGGCTGCAGTGAGCAGTGATGGCACCACTACACTCCAGCCTGGGTGACAGAGCAAGACCCTATCTCAAATTTAAAAAAAAAAAAAAAAGAAAGAAAAAGAAAAGAAGAACAAGTCCACATACATATTGATTTCTATCCCTTTATTCTACTCATTTAAGTGATACACCCAAAACACATACTATGTTTTTGTTATGATTTAATTGTTCTGTAAGTTGCAACTGAAAACTGAAATAGTTTGTTCTTTTATTCACAATTTTTTTAAATGTGTAAAGCAATTGCAAATTGAAAAGTCTACATGTCAACAAAGGCAATTTGGTAACTGTGGTGTAGTATAAGAATGTGGACTTGGGGTCCAAAAATCTGCAGGTCACTAGACATATGACCTGGGAAAAATCAGTCTCCATGCTGTTTTATATCTGAAAGTAAGAATAATAATGCCGACACACCCTAATTTCCAAGGTTACCATGTACATGTGAGGTAGGCTTATATTTCTGAGGATGCTTTTTGGTCATGCTATAAGAGATGATAATAGCTATCACCAAAATGGAGTTTCTTTTTAAGTTTAAATAAGACAGCTGTGCATTTAATGCTGTATATGAGCAATTATTAAGATGCTATGTAAGTCCAGATTTTTTAAACATATAATAATACATTGTTATTAATCAGAAAAGAAAAAGAAAACTAGTCAGGCACAACCTATAAACGGGTTTTGAATTCCACATTTGTCATTGGGCAAAAATTCCTACAGACTTAAAATAACAGCTACTCTATTATTTCACCTATCAATTTCCCCACCACAGTGAGGAAAATATTTATTGGTCCCCCAAATTTATGATCCCTCCATCTACTCACAGTTCACTTTGCATCTTTCTTTTTCTTAATCAAATTTACCGTTTATTTTATTTATTTATTTATTTTTGAGACAAGGTCTCACCCTACCACCCAGGCTGGAGTACAGTGGCACCATCTCGGCTCACTGCAGCCTTGACTTCCCAGGCTCAAGGGGTCCTCCCACCTCAGCCCCTCAAGGTAGTTACAGGTGTGCGCCACCATGCTCAGCTAATTTTTGTATTTTTTTGTAGAGATGGGGTATTGCCATGTTGTGCAGGCTGGTCGTGAACTCCTGGGCTCAAGCGATCCAGCAGCCTCAGCCTCCCAAAATGCTGGGATTACAGGTGTGAGTCACCGCCCCCCGCCAAATTTACCTTTTAAATGCAAGGTTTAAAAACATTAAATTTATTTTTCTATTGCTATAGTTTTACTAATTTTAATTTTTTAACCTACATGACTTGATAAGATTATTCCTCTCTGGAACCAACGGAAACACAAAACAGGTAACAATAATTCCTATTGTGGACTGATTCTTTGGACAATCATCCAAATAACTAAAACACAGTATACCCATAGAAAATTGTGAAGTTCTCTTGCTCTGGCATGGGTTTAAAACCAACAAAAAAATGATGATTTTAAACTCGGGGGGAAAAAACAGTGATCTAGGGCAAACCAAGACCTGCGAACAAAATCTGGCTGACTTCCCGTTTTTGAAAATAAAGTTTTATTGGAACACAGCCATGTTTATTTGCATACATATCATCCACAGCTGCTTTTGCAAGACAAAGGCAGTTGAGCAGTTGCAACAGAGATCACATGGTTTGCAAAGTCAAAGATATTTACAATTTGGTCCTTTGTAGAAAAAAATTGCCAATTCTTAATCTAGGGACTAAATAGAGGAAAAAGGAAATAGAAGCCCCTCTTTCTTGCAGTAATGTTAAAAATCACAATTTCTAAAATATAAATATTTTGCACCAGGTTGGAAAACAGGCATTCAGCCTAATACTCATTAAAGCCTTACACTTAAAGGTCACTCTGTGGTCAGTATTCTTTGCTGCTGGATGACAGGAAGTGTGAGTAAGCTTTCTTTCTCTGCGAATGAACAACTTGCTGTGTCCAGATTTGTTTTGTAAGGACAAACAATATGATGCAAAAAGCAATGACATACAAATAACAAAATGATGTAAACCCTTTCCACAAATTGTTGGATGGGTTTTTAGACCAACCTGACCTTCATTCCACTTTTACTTTGAGAAGCTGCCTCTTTGGGGCTTCAGGTTTTGCTGCAGAGGTCACAGGAGGTGGGCAGTGGTATGGTGGAGGCATGTTCCGCACTCCCCTCTTTCCAGCCTTGGGAAGCTGTCTCCTAAGGTGGAAAAAGATGCTTCAATACCTCTTGTACAGTCTACACCTTCCTTCACCCGAGGCACAGTCAAGCCTTTTGCTGGTTTCACTCCATTCCTTTCTAGCTACCTAAGGCAATAAATTTCCATTTTTGCTTAAGTACTTCGAGTTGGGTTCCTGTCACTTACAATCACAACAGCTTTTTGTCAGAATCCTTTCTTTGGCTCTGATGTTCTGATTTTCACTTCCAGTAAGCTCATCTGTGAGAGGTGTTGCACACGACATTTAATGCCAGCTGTACATTAAAATCACAGGTCCAATATTTATTACTTCTGTGCACGTTTGAGCTTCACTTCTTACCTCTACAAAATGAAGATAATACTACCTACTTTCACAATTGTGATGATGAAAGGAGATGACGTATTTGTAAAGCATCATGCATGGAAGAGACAATAAATATTGTGGCTTTTTTTTTTTTTTTTTTGTGATACAGTCTTGCTCTCATTGCCCAGGCTGGAGTGCAATGGTGCGATCTTGGCTCACTGCAACCTCCGCCTCCCATGTTCAAGCAATTCTCCTGCCTCAGCCTCCCGAGTAGCTGGGATTACAGGCATCCGCCACCACGCCTGGCTAATTTTTTATATTTTAGTGGATACGGGGATTTGCCATGTTGGTCAGGCTGGTCCCGAACTCCTGACCTCGTGATCTGCCCACCTTGGCCTCCCAAAGTGGTGGGATTACAGGCATGAGCCACCAAGCCTGGCCTAAATATTGTAAATATGGCCTTTCAGTCCTCCCCTACCAAACACAAACAATGGATCGAGAGGTCCTAAGCCTCACCTCTTCCTACTCATCCTACGCATACTCAGTCTTCTAGAATTGATTCAATTGCTCCTTGTTTGTGTAGCCTCACCAGCCCAGCCACCACTTTATTAAGCTCTAGATGTCAATTCTCAATGATTCTACAATCCTCTGAGATTAGCACTCATACCTTTTATAGCCCTCAAACCAGTTTTTAAGAACAACTTTCAGGGCTGGGTACCGTGGCTCACGCCTGTAATCCCAGCACTTTGGGAAGCTGAGGAGGACGAATCCCTTGAGGCCAGGAGTTTGAGACCAGCCTGGGCAACATGGCAAAATCCTGTCTCTACTTAAAAATACAAAAATTAGCTGGGTGTGGTGGCACGCACGTAATCCCAGCTACTCAGGAGGCTAAGGCATGAGAATCACTTGAACCAGGGAGGTGGAGGTTGCAGTGAGTCCAGGTTGAGCAACAGCACTCCAGCCTGGGCAACAGAGCAAGACTCTGTCTCAAAACAAACAACTTTCCACTTTGTTCATAATAGCAATATATGTTCATTACAGAAAATTTAGAAAATAGAGAAATACAAAGATGAATATACAGTAAAGGCATAAATCAGCTATATTCCCAATCCTACAACCCAGAAATAATTCATTCTTTCTCTCTCTCCCCTCCCCCCAATTTCTCTCTCTCTCTTATTCTACATGTATCCCATTAGTATACTTCTAGTGGTAATTAAGAGAAAACCTGGACTCAATATGCAATTGGTTTAAACTATAAGAAAAAATTAGCTCACATAATAAGTTTGGAAATAAGATGAGTTATTTAGCTGGACAACTCATCAAAAGTCAGTCTTCAGTTACTCAACAAGGAACTAGAATTGAGACAATTTTAATATTCCTTAAATGCTTTTATGAAGACAAAATGAAAATCAGTCAACAATATCTAAATAGTTAAAAGAAGCGAGTAAATCCAGCAAATCAGCCGTAGTGGAAACTGATTTGCAGTGGGTGGGTGTTTGTTGAACTGGCTCTTGGTCACTGACCTGCAGCCTCCAAGGCTAATAAGTCAACAGATCAGCAGATCAATCAGCTGGGGCCTTTGCATTTTTCCACATTCCCAGGCCTGTCAGCTCAGCCTCAGGCCTGGCTGCATGGTGGCTTTATCACATGTAGAGTCTAACATTTAATGGAAGCATGACTTTGTTTCCTGCTTTTAAAGATAGAGGGAAGCTTTTCCTAACATTTAATGGAAGCATGACTTTGTTTCCTGCTTTTAAAGATAGAGGAAAGCTTTTCCAGAAGCCTCTCCACTCTCATCCACCTCACTGGCCTGGAATGAATTATACTCCCCGGACTCAGAAGATCACTAGCCAGGGGAATTCACATTCACCACTCACTGATGATTCACTCCCCAGGGCAGGGCTGGTGACTGCCTCCCCTGAAGCACACTGCTGTGCAGAGAATAGAAAGCCCACCAAAATTAAGAGGTGTTAGGAAGGAGAAGGGAAGTGGTGTGGGTAGGAAGTCAACAGTTTCTGCCACCATATCTTTTTGACTTAAATTTAAATTTCTCCATGTCCATATATAGTTTTTGAAAACATGATTTTATCTGAAAACATAATTGCATGAAAGCATCAAGTTTATTTAACAAGTTCCCTACTGTTAGGCATTTAAGGCAATTCAATTTTTCACTATCATCAACCACTTAGAATTTTGCCCTAAAACTGCCAAATTAATGTCCCTAAATCCATTGACTTGAGTCATGCTGTTTCTCTTACTGAATAAGTATTAACATTTACGGTTGAAGATGACTTTAACTTTGCTTATATGTCATCAGTGAATCAATACATGAATTTTCAAGAAATGCTAGATTTGTCCAATACATACATATGTCCTTTTCCAATCTTTATTATTAGCTTTTATGTCTCCTCACTTTCCCCCTGTCTAGAAGAGCTCTTGGCAAATTCATTTCAAGAAACCTTTGCTGATAATTTTGCCAGGTCCTATAAGGACCCAATCTCTGCCTTCAGGAGCTTATAATTTAGTAGTTTTTCTTGAATTAGCTCTCAGTAGGCAGATCACTTAAGGCCAGGAGTTCGAGACCAGTCTGACCAACATGGCAAAACCCTGTCTGTAATAAAAATACAAAAATTACCTGGGCGTGGTGGCGCATGCCTTTAATCCCAGCTACTCGGGAGGCTGAGGCACAAGAATCGCTTGCATCTGGGAGGTGGAGGTTGCAGTGAGCCAAGATCGCACCACTGCATTCCAGCCTGGGTGACTACAGAGTGAGATTCTGTCTCAAAAAAATAAACAAAAAAACCCACAAAACTCTCAGTAGATAAAGATACGTAGACGACCAGGACTGTCTGATTCATACATCTGTTTAATATTTACTGAATATCTATTATGTGCCAGGCCCAGATCTAGAATCCAGGGATGGCCAGGCACGGTGACTCATGCTTGTACCCCCAGAATTTTGGGAGGCCAAGGTGAGAGGATCACTTGAACCTAGGAGTTCGAGGCAGCAGTGTGCTGTGATCATGCCACTGCACTCCAGCCTAGGAGACAGAGCAAGACCCTATCTCAAAAAAATAAAACAGACTAGAATCCAGGGGTGCAATGCTTTTAGGGAACTTAGTAATATTCTTAGGTAGTGAGAAAGAAGCCCAAGTGAATCTTTCAAGTTGTTCTTCCTACCTTTTATTCTCAAGCCCTTTGTCACTTAGAAAGGAAACATCTGGTCTTTTCTGCCCTTATCTGAATCCTTTTGAGAGAATAATTCATGTAGATTTTCTCACCTTTGGCCTTGTCACTGTCGTCATAGATAATGTGGCTATTTCAACAAAGGGCTAGGCTTAGCCAGAGAATGTAATTTTACAAACTTTATTTCCTGATGCAGCCTGCAGCTCACAAACAAGGCAGGAAGTGCTGCTCACAGTGAACTTGGCTGGCTGTGGCTGCAAATAAAATGGGAGCCTTCAAACATTGCTGACCCAGCGGCCAGATCCTATTCCCTGGGGTCCTGGCCCTACCAGGGCATGAGAGGCCGCAGAGCAATGGGCTCCGAATTAGGACTTTGTTCACTTTGGAAGTTGAGGGATAGAATATCCCCCTTACAAATGGGAATTTAAGTGTAAACAGCTCTGTACTTTCCCAGGTGACCCTGCTTTAAAAACAAGCATATAAACATTTCATTTTTAAGGAAATAAAATTATAAGAATCTTTCTACCTTTGTAGGTTTGTCTAAATTAATACAATAAATGAGTTCCTTTCTTGGCTCAAAGGGACTAGGTTGGGAAAAAAATATCATTGTTCATAGAATTTTAGAGTGGGAAGGGCTCTTGGAAATCATCTAGTCTGGTGACAGGGAAACCTGGCTGCCCATGGAAATGACATGGACAGCCTTCAAGAATAGACATAGCTGGGCACGGTGGCACATCTGTAATCCCAGCTACTCTGTAGGCCGATGTGGGAGGATCCCCGGAGTCCAAGAGTTTGAGACCAGCCTGGGCAACACAGCAAGACCCCTGTAAGAAATATTTCCGGGCGCAGTGGCAGGCACCTGTAGTTGCAGCTAATCGGGAGGCTGAGGCAGGAAGATCACTAGAGCCGGGGAGGTAGAGGCTGCAGTGAGCTAGGCTCGCCACTGCACTCCAGCCTGACAAGAGAGCTAGACACTATCTGAAGACAAAACAAAGCAGAACCCCAGGCCCCTCCTGGGCCAGCTGTATCGGATTCCCAGGGCACTGGCATAACACATTTTATCTACTCAAACATCGACTTCTTTCTTTAGTTTATTACCCCCATAGAAAGGTCAGTGAAGCTGGAGGAGAAGCACTGACTGCTGAGAACTGAGAACATCTTCTGGGGAGATGAGAGGTCAGTAAATAGATAACGAAGGCAGAAACGGCAGGCGCGTCCGTGGCAGAGGAGCTCCTGACCAGGACGCCAGCGCAGAGCGCCAGGGTTTATCTGAGCAGCGTCATCGCTTCCTGCGTTTCTGGGAGTCCTGCCCCGGGAGGAGTCCGGGCGCTGCCCCTGCCCCCACAAGCCCATATTCCTCCTCTCCCGCACTGCATTGCAGACCTAGGAGGGCACTGAGAACCCAGAGAGCCCTGCCGAGCCGTGATGCAGCAGCGGATCTGACAAATCCGCCCGGTGCACAGAGCACGTGACTCATTGTGATGTGTCAGTGAGTCGGCGGCTGGACGCGGTTCCGCACAGAGCTCCTAGCCCTATCCCTCCCCGAAGGCGATGACAGAGGTGTAGGCTCCTAGAAGCTGCCAGGCCTTGCAGCAACGCTGCACGCAGGAGACGCACCTAGGGCAGAAGCTCAGCCAGTAGCTTCGGGCTGGCTTTTCTGCTTCATGCAGGTGAATACAGAATGCCTTTGTTTCCTTCCCTCGGTCCCACCTCCAGTGTAGTAAAGCTGATTTTTCTTAGCAGAGAAAGAGCAAACGTTAATTTTCTAAAAAAGATACATTTTTAAAAAGGCAAACTTAAATCCAATTCAAAGAAGAATGCATTGCTCTGACTGAGTTATCCAATAAGATGCATTTATTCAACAGATACATTGACTACCTACTAAGCACTAGACACCGTTTTAGGCATTGTGGAACAAAACAAGCAAATATTCTTGCTTTCTGAAACTTATATTCTTTTTTAATTTTTTTTTTTTTTGAGACGGAGTCTTGCTGTGTCACCCAGGCTGGAGTGCACTGGCACGATCTCGGCTCACTGCAACCTCCACCTCCCGGGTTCAAGCAATTCTCCTACCTCAGCCTCCCTAGTAGCTGCGATTACAGGCGTGTGCTACCACGACCGGGTAATTTTTGTATTTTTAGTAGAAATGGGGTTTCAGCATATTGGCCAAGCTGGTCTCGAACTCCTGGCCCCAAGTGATCCGCCCACCTCTGCCTCCCAAAGTGCTGAGATTATAGGCGTGAGCCACCGCGCCTGGCCTGGAACTTACATTCTTAAAATGCAAATCATAAATCTTGGTAATCTTGATAATTAATGAAACGCACATAAATGATGGTTTCCTTTCCCCGAATTAAGACCTTCCAAATGTTTATTGAAGTCTTCATATTTTAATATTTAAAGGAGCAGCAATTTAATTAAGTGGGAATATTTGAAATAGTGTGGCATCATAGCAAATAGGAAGAATTAAGTTAATTTCACTCTTCCATAATATAAAAGAACCCCTTAAAGCCACACATTAATGTGAAAAGCAAAGTTTAGTAAAATCTATGATTGAGGATCAAAATCCACAAACTATCAAATGCCACTTTTTTTTTACTCTGGAGTTAATCTAAAAACTACTGATTTATTATTTTAATATTACCAGTAGCTACCATTTATGGAGTACTATCTATGTGCCAAGCACTGTGCAAATATGCATTTTTAAAAATTAAATTCTTGCCATAAACCTTTGAGGCTGGTCTTGTTCTGCCCATTTTACAGTGATAACTGAAACACAGAGAGGTTAAGTAACAGGTCCAAGATCACACAGCTCTAGAATGAAATTCAAACCCAGCATCTGGTATTAATGAATAAATTCTAGTGCCTTGCCAAACCTTCTTGTGACTCTATCATGGATTACAGATGGGAAAATTATAACCTAGTGGTTAAGGGCTTGGTGTCCAGCACACTCGATTTGCATCCTGGCTCCGATGCTACAAAGCCAAATCATCACTGCCTCACTCGGTTATCCTGGGGATTATAGGATAATTCATTTGAAGCACATGGACAATTTTTGGGTCTTAGCTCCCAATTAATGTTAACCATGATAATGACAGTCAAAAAGATGTTGAAACTCAAAACCACAATGAGATATCATCTCACACCAGTTAGAATGGTGATCATTAAAAAGTCAGGAAACAACAGATGCTGGAGAGGATGTGGAGAAATAGGAACGCTTTTATATTGTTGGTGGGAGTGTAAACTAGTTCAACCATTGTGGAAGACAGTGTGGTGATTCCTCAAGGATCTAGAACTAGAAATACCATTTGACCCAGCCATCCCATTACTGGGTATATACCCAGAGAATTATAAATCCTGCTACTATAAAGACACATGCACACGTATGTTTATTGCAGCACTATTCACAATAGCAAAGACTTGGAACCAACCCAAATGTCCACCAATGATAGACTGGATTAAGAAAATGTGGCACATATGCACCATGGAATACTATGCAGCCATTAAAAAGGATGAGTTCATGTCCTTTGCAGGGACATGGATGAAGCTGGAAACCATCATTCTGAGAAAACTATCGCAAGGACAGAAAACCAAACACTGCATGTTCTCACTCACAGGTGGGAATTGAACAATGAGAACACCTGGACACAGGGCGGGAAACATCACACACTGGGGCCTGTCATTGGGTGGAGGGCTGGGGGAGGGATAGCATTAGGAGAAATACCTAATGTAGATGACGAGTTAATGGGTACAGCAAACCAACATAGCACAGTATACCTATATAACAAAACTGCACATTGTGCACATGTACCCTAGAACTTAAAGTATAATTTAAATAAATAAATAAATAAATAAATAAATAAATAAATAAATAATGATGATGGTTGTAGGCCAGAATCTTGACTTAGGTATAAACTCTCTTCTTATTTTAGTCTCCCAAATTTTGAAGTTTGAGTTCCTGAATCTTTAGAGGATAATGATAGTCATCAAATTGCTGTTTTATTTCTTTCTTGACTTATCATCACTGTTATCAAGTAGGTAATAGAGTGGTATGCTAAAGAGCAAGGGTTTGAAGCCAGGATAGGATGTAAATCTTGGTTCTGGAATGTGCTTGATGTGGAACTTGGACTCATCATTAAAGGTTTAAGCCCCTGTTTCTCAAGCTGTCTACAGTGAAAGATCAGGGTTTGTTTTTTTTTTTTTAACCTTTGTCCCTGCTTTTTTCTCCTTCCTTCACTTCTTCTGTTCTTCCTTTCTTGCTATTTCCCATCTGTTATGGACCAATACTTTTGCAAAATGCAATAAAAATATCTTAGCAATGCCAAATTGCTATAAATATTCCTCAATACTCTCAAGTTTTGTTCTAAATTCATTGTGGACTGTTAACAGCTTTTTTTTTTCTTTTGTTTTTTAGAAATAGAATGGGTGGGTCGGGTGCGGCGGCTCATGCCTGTAATCCCAGCACTTTGGGAGGCCAAGGTGGGTGGATCATGAGGTCAGGAGTTCGAGACCATCCTGGCCAACACGGTGAAACCCTGTCTCTACTAAAAATGCAAAAATTACCTGGGCATGGTGGTGCATGCCTGTAATCCCAGCTACTCAGGAGGCTAAGGCAGGAGAATCACTTGAACCAGGGAGTCGGAAGCTGCAGTGAGCTGAGATCACGCCGTTGCACTCCAGCCTGGCGACAGAGGGAGACTTCGTCTCAAAAAAAAAAAAGAAAGAAAGAGAATGCATGCCATTTGGTTCCATGAGTAAGTTTTTTAACGGTGATTTGTGAGATTTTGGTGCACCCATCACCCGAGCAGTATACACCGAACCCAATTTGTGGATTGTTAACAGCTTTTAGATCACACTTTGAATGTCATTACTCTAAGCTTTTGCTTCCTATGTTTCCTAATTTATAATCTTGGATCCTAATATTTATTTCATGTGATGGTTGTCAAAAATCAAGTGAAATAATATAAATAGATTGCTTATTACATTACGTGTCTAGTATATTGTGAACGCTGAGAAATTAGAGCCCCTTAGGATGCCTATGTCAGAAACAGGGACAAAGAGACAGATTTGTAAGAAGTAGACACTCAAGTATTCATAGATGAGTTCCACCTAGGTTAATTTTCTGCCCACCCCATTGGGAAGCTCAGTTGTTCCCTTGGGAGACATATCCCAGAACTCCCGTTTTTTTCAGTGATGTCTTAAAAGGGGTAAGTGACTAGCCTGGGCCAAGCCACAAGTCATCCCAAAGCCCTGCACATTCTGAACTCTCAGCCCGCTGTTCTATTTTGCGCAGTATATGCATGACCCTAGAACGCCACTAAAAATAAGCAGTAACATTAATATGCCCGTCTAAAAAAAGTGAGTACCTTATGATCAGGATTTTAATTGTGGCTCAGGATTGTAACTCTCCCTGTAAAGCACGGTCAAATTAAATTGAGAAAATACTGCTTAAGTAGCCTATTTAATAACAGTGCTATTACTGCATTGGCATCCATTTGGCTTCTAGAGTGAGATGAATAGAGGTCCCTACAAGGCTAGAAGAGGGCACAGTGATGCCCTGTAATGACACCCATCGGAATGATTCATGTAATAGACAGTGATGGGTTGTCAGGAAGTGCAGCTGCATCACAGTGAATGTCAGCATCCTTCAGGCAATATACAAAGGCTGTACGAGCATCTAAGTTTTTAAATCATGGTGCTGACATGAAACAGGAAGGGTTTCCCTGCTCATGGTATTTAATTGATTTTGGCATGAGCTGCAACTAAAGCACCAACAAAACATAAAAAAGGAAGATAGCAAATATCACTAAGGTGTGTCTAATTACTCTAACCCTGAGTGATAGCCTCAAAATTATCAGCAAAAATCACCTCATAGGCCGGGTGTGGTGGCTCACACCTGTAATCCCAGCACTTTGGGAGGTCGAGGTGGACAGATCACCTGAGGTCAGAAGTTCGAGACCAGCCTGGTCAACATGGTGAAACCCCATCTCTACTAATAATACAAAAATTAGCCGGGCATGGTAGCACACACCTGTAATCCCAGCTACTTGGGAGGCTGAGGCAGGAGAATTGCTTGAAGCCGGGAGGCAGAGGTTGCAGTGAGCTGAGATCACGCCATTGCACTCCAGCCTGGGCGACAGGAGTGAAACTCTGTCTCAAAAAAAAAAAAAAAAAAAAAATCACCTCATGAAAACAGCATGAGGCATGAGTAAAAGTTCTCAGAATCCAGATTCATACCAAATTTAAGTGTATATCAAACTATACCCAATAATCAGTATTAAAAACATTTTCTGTAAAGTATATCAGAGAACAACGAATCCTGCTATAAATAGTATTTAAGTTTTCAGCTGTGATAGGGAAAACTACAACACTGAAAAAGATCCGAAAGATAATATCTGTCAAATTTGAAGCACCTGAAAAAACTTCTATAGGAAATTGTAACCAAAACACCAAGGGTTTGGTCTAGGTCCTGCTGCTATGGGCACAGAAAGCCAACGACTGAGAGAAGAGTTGCCAAGGAAGAAGGATTTAATCGGGTGTTGCAGCCAAGGAGATGGAAGCTCAGTCTCAAATCCATCTCCCCCACTGGCTAAAACTAGGGGTTTATATAGCAGAGAAGAAATGTAACAATGTGTAAGAAAATAGGAACTCAGAAGGGGCAAGGAAGCAATCATGATGAGTGAGGGGTCCGCATCTATCCCATTGTCTGGATGTGGTGATCTGGGGAGTTCTAGTTCTTTGGTACTTTTTTTTTTTTTTTTTTTTTTTTTTTTTTTGCCAGGCCTGACAGTCATTTCTTGGGGAAGGAATGCAGATAAAACAAATACAAGTTTCAAGCTTTAAGAACAGAAGGGTCAATTTCTATGTTTATATTACAAAAAATAATGATAAGAACTATCTATGGGACTATGGGTGCATTTCAAAAACCTCAAATAGAAATAAACTGTTAGAGGAAAAAGATGTGAAAGTCAAATAAAAAGACAATACGAGTCAATTCAATGAGAAGAAATATCAATACATTGACAGGTTATGTGGTCTAAAACAATGAAACATATCCTAGAATTGATCGTTTTCTACTAGTTGAATTGGCAACATCAGTTTCATTATCAGAGGGTACATAAAAGTAGTGGTGTAGATCTGAAGGAAGAAAAGTTCTACCTTCTAAAGCAACTGGAATAGAGGAAAAAGAACAGTAAAGAAACGACATGGAAGGTAGCACAAGAAAAGAATAAGGCAGCCAGCAGGTAAGAAGCTAAAGTGGTTACGAGTAGGAGCTTTCAGCCGCACATATGTGGGTTGAAATTTTTCTCTAAAATCAGGTTGGTGGCTGGGTGCAGTGGCTCACGCCTGTAATCCCAGCACTTTGGGAGGCCAAGGTGAGAGGATCACTTGAGCCCAGGAATTCAAGACCTGCGTGGATGAAATAGTGAAACCCTGTCTCTACAAAAAAAATAGTTAAAAAATAATAAAATAAAATGGGGTTGGCAAGGTCTACCTTGAAGATTTAATGAGATAATGTGTGGAAAGGGCTTAGCAAGGTCCTAACATGTGCTTGGGTAGTTCTGAAGCCATAACCACAGACTTGAAGTCTAAATAACTCTTTAAAAACTCATGCTTTTCCTTTGGTCCTTTCTTGGAGAAAGATCTCCTGTTGTTTAGCTTTTGAGCCATCCTAGATGTCATCCCTGCCTTCAGTTTACCTGTCATTTTCGTTTCCTGTCTTTGGGATGGCTCATATACTCATTTCCCCCTTCCCAGTCTCACTTTGGGACAACTTCTCTGCCCTTCCAAGGTTCATAATCAGGAAACAGAAGAGTGATTAGTACATATTTCTAGTCCAGAAGTCCTCTCAAGAAGAAAAACAACTAGAATGATACTGAAGATTACACTTTCTAAGTGAACAAACAATAATATCCATGAAAGATTTTTTAAAGAATTTTATGCATAACTAGAAATGCTGGGGACTAATGAGCTAAAACAGTTTGGAATTGTATATCAATGTATACTAGGAAAACACTACCCACAATAAAATATTTTATAATGAAATTTGGATTTGAAATTTTTTTTTTTTGAGACGGAATTTCGCTCTTGTTGCCCAGTCTGGAGTACAATGGCGCAATCTCAGCTCACCACAACCTCCGCCTCCCAGGTTCAAGTAATTCTCCTGCCTCAGCCTCCCGAGTAGCTGGGATTACAGACATGCACCACCACGCCTGGCTAATTTTGTATTTTTTAAGTAGAGACAGGGTTTCTCCATGTTGAGGCTGGTCTCGAACTCCTGACCTCAGGTGATCCGCCTGCCTCAGCCTCCCAAAGCACTGGGATTACAGGCTTGAGCCACCACGCCTGACCTGAAAAATGTTTTTAATTCTACACTGATAATGCAGCAAGCTCAAACCTAAGCTGCAACTCTACTTGTAAATGGTTGCAATACTGTCTTTCTTTTCTTTTTTTTTTCCAAGACAGGGTCTCCCTCTGTCACCCAGGTTGGAGTGCAGTGGCGCCATCATAGCTCACTGCAGTCCAGAGCTCCTGGGCTCAAAGGATCACCTCAGTCTCCCGAGTAGCTGGGATTGATGGCATGCAGCACCACACCCAGCTAATACTTAAATTTTTTTGCAGAGACGAGGTCTCACTATGTTGCCCCAAGTGGTCTGAACTCCTAGGCTCAAGTGATCCTCCCAACTCAGCCTCCCGAAGTGTTGGGATTACAGGTGTGAGCCACTGCTCCTGGCCAATATTTTCTTATTATATAAATGACAGTAAGATTTAGATATGCAGAAAAAAAGGAAAAATAAATGTATTTTCAATGAGTTATAGTAAGTTCAAAATTTTAAAATGAAGGGCAAGTATTCAACCTGACACTGATAACATTAGAATCTAATCAAAATGGGATAACAGCAAAAGTTATTTCCTTCCCACCTATTTTTGCATATATCCTGATTGACCACCTGCAAGACTTTTACTATGCTTGAGGTGCTGCTACTAATTTACATTGTAGGCCTGTTTTAGATGAGTCATCCTGTGAAAAAAGCTGTGGCCTCAACTATATGTAATCTTTTATGCCAAGTAATATTATTAAATGTTTCTTGGAACATCTGACAAAAGGTACATTCTGCTCTGCCAGCCTAGTGCTAGCAAAAATATTTCTCCTTAATAACCCAAGGTAAAGAGCATATATATTTCTGAAAATCAAAAAGTCCTGGGCAGGATGAGAAATCATTTTACATGTTCCTCAGGCTTAAAGTTTGAATTAACTATTGAGTGGCAAATAAGACTCTAGCCTGTTTGTAAAGATCTCCAGAGATGATTATTCCAAAACTTCAGAGACTCATTGCTATTCAACAATTCTTTGTTTTCTTCAAACAGAATTCAAGGGTTGGGTTTATCCTCATTTCCTCCACTGTGAAGCGGAAGAACTGAACACTGGCCTCACCCTCGCTGCAGATACTTGACATTGACAAAGTGGTCTAAATGCATTTCATTTTCCTCAAGTGTCTGGTGTTTTCTGTACAGAGACATACAATCACCACCTGATGAACCATCCCTAAAGCTTTATCTCTCACTTGAATGATTTCACTCTCTGTTCCTTGCTTCCCTGCAGAACTACCTCTCTCCCTCGCACACACACTAACAATTTTACCTTTCGATATTTAATTTGTTGTAAACTTCCATTTTCTGTATCAGAACTATCATTTTTAAATTATTCTCATCACAGGCACCAAAATTCAACTTTTTTTCCTCTAGATGTGGGGGATTTTTCACAAAAATAATGCTTTTTGCCTTTTTTTCAAGTTGCTGTTTTCAGTGATTAAAGGAAAACATTCAGGCTGTTTTTAGATGTCTGCTTACTAACTCGATCCTGAGCACCCATCTGCAGAACTCCTGATCATGCCTCAGCAAAGATACCAATTACTCCAGTTTCTACTGCAGTTGCTTAAGACTAGTGAAAATTGTAGCTGCTAAACTGTGAATGTCAACCAGTGATTTCTAATTCCTCTGAAAATCAAATTTCCCTCACAACTTAGGCTGGTTTCAAACAGCAACAACTACTGTTAGACTCCTAATTTAATGTTTTCCTGTCTTCTATATTGCTCCTCTATCCTATTTTTAGCTTCTTGATGAAATTCAAGTGTAGTCTCTTTAAAGACCTGCTCCTCCCATGCCAATTTTAATCAGCAGGGTGTGGGTCCCCAGGTGCACCTTGGCAGATTGAATATTTTTCAGTGCCAAAGTGAAAACGGTTGAGTGGCTTTACTTTACATAGTAATAGCCCAGTAGAATGTGAAGGCTCTTATCAGCAACCAGCTCTCAACCGTCCTGGCTCAGTCAGTCCACTGGCTTTAGTTTTTTCTCTTAGCTTTTACTCTTTTGCCCTTTGATCTCTGTGGTTCTTCTCTGAACTCTCATCACCAAGTTAAACAGGTCTAACTGTTTTATAGGGGTTAGTGCTATAGAGAGCATTCTTAGAAGGCTCCAACCAGCCCGTCAGTAATGACACAACAGAGAAAATAACAACGTCTTGAGTGTTAAGGTTACTGACCAAGGCCCCGGGGTAATTGTCACTGCCCAATCAGGCCAGCGAGACTGACCCAAGGTGCTCAAGTTGGTGGTATCCCAAGGTATTTTAAAGGAAAGGAGTTAAAATATGTACTAGCACCATCATTTTATAACATCTAGTATTTCAGTTAATTTTTGCATTACAGATATTGTCTCATTTAATTTACTATCCATAAGAACCCTGAGAAAGAGGTTCTCACTATCTCCATTTAACAGATGAAAAAGCTAAGGCCCCGAGAGGAGGTGTTAAAAATCAGAAAGAGATTCCAGGCTTGCCTGACTTCAGAGTGCAAGCTTTTACACCAAATCATGCTGTTCTGCAAAATACGGTGGGTTGGGAAAGGGTTCTCAGCCCACCAGGGTGCTTTGGGGTCCTATTCAAATAGTCAAAATAGTAAATGAAAAAAGAAATGGTATATAGCTTGTGGCACAGACTATGAGGTGTGTTCACACTTACTAGAAAATTGTCCTCTATAAACATCGAAGTTTCTTCTTCAATGAGTGGTTCTGAGTCAACCAGAGAGATGTAAATGTTTTACAAATGTTTTACAATGGCATATGAGGCCTCATAACTTTGCAGAAACCAGCAGCTTCTATTTCACTTTCCTTACCCCAGTTTAATACTGCTTGGAAGGGTGGGAAAAGGTGACTAGGAATATAAGAAAAAATAGAGAGGAAATTGATATGGTACCAAAGATATAACATAGAAATATTTTTCTAAAATAGACTTTGGGATGCACAAACAGGATTTCTAGGAGGCTAGATCCAAGTTAGTGGTAAGTTGTCCATGCAGTTTTTGGGTCCGGGAATATTCTTGATTACTATAGAAAGCTTTGGCTGCAATTTCTATATTAATGGGGTCTACAAGCATGCCATTTTCAGACTAACATTTGTCAATGGCTCTATACTGTCAGCGTTCACTTGTCTCTATCAAATCTGTGGACAGATGGTCCCTATTTTGAGTTTATGTAAATTATTTTAGATTAATGTTATAGTTTATCATTTCTGGGTTTTCCATTCTGCCTTTTTTCCCCCCGATCCCCTTTCCAACATACCAAAATGATTTTGATACTAATTCTGTTTTCCACAATTAACTATCCATGCAGATTATCTGTAAATGAGTACGTCTCTCAGTACCACCTAGGACTTATTCCTGTAAAACACTTACACCTCTCTGGTTGACTCAGAGCCACTCATTCAGGAGGAAAATTCAACGTTTATAGAGGACAATTTTCTAGTGTGAACACACCTCATAGTCTATGCCACATACCGTATCATTTCTTTTTTCAAAAAAGTAGATTTTATAAAGATATAATTATAATCACCAAGTATTATTTAATGTCCATAAAAGTACTATTGATACTGTGTTATATTTGTTTCATACTAAAAGTCAGAGTTCTTGGTAAAATAAATCTTTTCCTCTGAAACTCAGAAATTGCCATATAGGATAATAATACATTGCATATAAACTTCTAATGATAAGCATAAGAATTTGCCTCCTCAAAAAGGGGAGTTATTTTGAGGTAGGTACATTTTTCAAATATAGCCCCTAATTCACTTTCTGCTACTAGAAGTTTATGTTTGGCAGGTGGAGAGATGAAGTGATGAATTTTTATTTTCTTTAATGTGTAATTTTGACAACTAAAGTGAGAGCATGTAAATTGCCCTTCATATTATTTTTATTAATGTTTGTATACTCCAATAATTGTTCAATTATAATTAAACTATGCAGTGTTTCCATCAATTTAAAGAAAAACAACAGAAAAGATTAAGTGGAGTGGGCAAATTTATTCAAAGCATAAAGTTAGAGTAAGATTAGAAGGAAATTCAGGAATATGAAGGGAATTTTATTTGTTGAAATGTTGACATTATGTAGTATGTGTTAATTTCTGTACATTTATTTTTATTCTTGAGACGGGGTCTGGCTCTGTCACCCAGGCTGGAGTGCAGTGTGACTCAATCTCGGCTCATTGCAACCTCCATCTCCCAGGTTCAAGCAATTCTCCTGCCTCAGCCTCCTGAGTAGCTGGGACTACAGGCGCCCACCACCACACCCGACTAATTTTTGTATTTTTAGTAGAGATGGGGTTTTGCTGTGTTGGCCAGGCTAGTCTCAAACTACCGACCTAAGGTGATCCGCCCCCCTTGGCCTCCCAAAGTGCTGGGATTACAGGTTTGAACCACTGCGCCCAGCCTAATTTCTGTTCATTTAAAATGCAGCATGTGTAATATATAATTTTAACTCCATATTATGAAAATGTATAAACACACACACAAGTAGAGTCACATGTAATGAACCATGATATGTCTATCACCCGAGATCAGCAATTATTAATGTTTTATCATGGTTACTTCATTCAACTATTTCTTCTTATCTCTCTGAGATTTCTGGTTATTTTATCATTTTTCATGTCATTTTATCCTTATTTCTCTAAAAAACTGTGACATTTTCTTACTCATAATACCAGCAAAAAAGTAATGATTTCTTAATATAATGTAAAACCCAGTCCATATTCAAAATTCCCCCAATTATCTCATAAATGTCTTTTTATACTTGGTTTGTTCAAATCAGGATCTAAATAAGTTCCACTTATTGCATTTAATAGTTATGTCTCTTAAATCCTTTTTTCTCTTCATATTTTCATTTATTCATTCTTTTTTTTTTTTTTGAGACAGAGTCTTGCTTTGTTGCCCAGGTTGGAGGGCAGTGGCGTGATCGCAGCTCACTACAACCTCCACCTCCTGGGGTCAGTGATTCTCCTGCCTCAGCCTCCCAAGTAGCTGGGATTACAGACATGTGCCACCATGCCCAGATAATTTTTGTATTTTTTCTAGAGATGGGGTTTTACCATGTTGGCCAGGCTGGTCTTGAATTCCTGGCCTCAAGTGATCCACCTACCTCAGCCTCTCAAAGTGTTGGGATTACAGGTGTGAGCCACCACACCTGGCCTGTTCACTGGTTTAATTTAAAAAATCTTTTCTATGTGTTTTTACTTTTTAAAAATAATGAACTCATGAGTTTTTATAAATTTAATGTGTTTGAATAAATTGCAGTCATTTTTCCTCTTAGATGTTCCATTTCTCATCTTGGACAGTGGAAGAGTCTTTTCAAGCTGGCCCCATGTTCTTCTAATATAACCAAACTAATCTTAAAGAGTCTCCTTGTTTACTGGTGTGTGTGTGTGCGCGCGCGCGCGCGCACACACACACACTCCATCTTATTCATTTCCTATTTCAAGTTTCAAATCCATGATATTCGAAGCACCTGGTTGGTATCTCCAATGGGCCACAATTTTGATACTAGATGTGCTCATTGCTTCTGAGTTATTAATGTTTTTAAGTCTTCTCAGTGTACCAAAGTAGGAAATAGGTATTTTTTTAAATTGTGGCAAAATACACATAACAAATTTATCAACTTAACCAGTTTTAAGTATACAATTCAGTAGTGTTAAGTACAGTCATGTTGTACAACCAATCTCCAGGATGCTTTGCATATTTCAAAGCTCTGTACCCATCAAATAACATTCTCTCAGTCCCTCAGTCCATGGCACTTCCAAGTGTGAGGAAGTCCCTCACACTTCCATTTTCTGCCTCTATGAATACTCTACTCTAGGTACCTCATGAGTGGAATCATAAAGTATTCGTCTTTTTTTGTGACTGGCTTATTTCACTTAGCATAATGTCCTCAGGTTCATCTATGTTGTAGCATGCGTCAGAATTCCATTCCTTTTTAAGACTGAATGATATTCCATTGAATGTGTGTGCCACATTTTGTTTATGGACAAACAAAATGGACACTTGGGTTGCTTCCACCCTTTGGCTGTTGTGTATAATGCTGCTATGAACATGGGTGAACAAATACCTCTTAGAGATCCAGCTTTCAATTTATTTATGTATATATGAGAAGTGGAATTGCTGGATCATATGGTAATTCTAGTTTCAATTATTCAAGGGACCACCATACTGTTTTCCATAGCAGCTGAGCCATTTTACACTCCCACCAACAGAGCACAAGGGTTCCAATTTCTCCACATCCTCACCAGTGCTGGTTATTTTCTGGGTTTTTGTTTTGTTTTATTTTGTTTTAATAACAGCCATCTTTATGGGTGTGAGGTGGTATCTCACTGTGGTTTCAATCTGCATTTCTCTAATGATTAGTGATATTGAGCATTTTTCATCTGTTTCTTGGCCATTTGTTTATCTTCTTTGGAGAAATGTTTATTCAAGTCCTTTGCCCATTTTTAAATTGAGTTGTTAATTTTTTTGTTGTTGAGTTCTATATCTTTGTATATTCTGAACATCATACCCTTATCAATGATATGATTTGCAAGTATTTTCTCCTATTCTGCATGTTGCACTTTCACTCTGATGATTGTCTTTTCAATGTACAGAATTTTCAAATTTTTATGAAGTCTAGGCCAGGTGTGGTGGCTCACGCCTGTAATCCCAGCACTTTGGGAGGCTGAGGCAGGAGGATCTCCTGAGGTCAGGAGTTCAAGACTAGCCTGGCCAACGTGGTAAAAACCCATCTCTACTAAAAATACAAAAATTAGCCAGGCCTGGTGGCAGGTACCTGTAATCCCAGCTACTTGGGAGGCTGAGGCAGGAGAATCACTTAAACCCAGGAGGTGGAGATTGCAGTGATCCGAGATTGTGCCATTTCACTCCAGCCTGGGTGACAAAAGCGAGACTCCATCGCAAAAAAAAAAAAGGATAAAATCTAATTTGTGTATTTTTCTTTTGGTGCCTGGTTTTTGTTTTTGTTTTTGGTGTCATATCTAGGAAATCCTTGCCAAATCCAATGCCATGAAGCTTTCTCCCTATGTTGTTTTCTAAGAGTTTCATAGTTTTTTAAGTTTAGGTCTTTGATCTGTTTTGAGTTGATGTTTATACATGACGTAAGGTAAGGATTCAATATCATTCTTTTGCATGTGAATATCCAATGTTCCCAGCACCATTTGTTGAGGGGACTAAAATGTCTTGGCACCCTTGTTGAAAACCATTTGACCACACCATATATATGAGGGTTTATTTTTTGGTTTGCTATTTTGTTCTATTGGTCTATATATCTATCTCTATTCCACTATCACACTGTTTTGATTACTATAGCTTTGTAACAAGTTTTGCAATCAGGAAGTGTTTCTTCTTTTTCAAGATTGTTTTGGCTATTCAGGGTCCCTTGAGATTCAATATGAATTGTAGAATAAATTTTTATATTTCTGCAAAAATGCCACTGGAATTTTGGTAAGGATTGCATTGAATCTGTAGATTAGTGTCAGATATATTGACATCTTAAGTCTTTCCATCCGTCAGGATATCTTTTCCTTACCTCTTCTTTAGTTTCTTTCAGTGATGTTTTATAGTTTTCCCTGTACAAGTTTTTCACCTCTTTGGCCTAAATATTTTATTCTTTTTGATGCTATTGCAAATGGAATTGATTTCTGAATTTCCTTTTGGGATTGTTTATTATTAGTGTATAAAAACACAACTGATTTTTGTGTGTGTTGTTTTTGTATCTTGCAACTTTGCTGAACTGATTTGTTAGTTCTGACAGCTTGTACAGGTGTATATGTGTAATGTTTAGGGTGTCCTACGCGTAAGTCATGTTGTCTTCCAGCAGACATAATTTTACTTTTTCCTTTCCAGTTTGCATACCTTTTATTTCTTCTTGCCTAATTGCTTTGCTTAGGAATTCTAGTACTATGTTGAATAAAATTGGTGAGAGTGGGCATCCCTGTCTTGTTCTTGATCTTAGAAAAAAAGCTTTTAGTCTTTTACCATTGAGTATGAGGTTAACTGTGGGTTTTTCATACATGGATTAAGTAACAGGAGTTCTACAGAGGTAATAGTCAAGTTGAGATCTGACTGACAAGAAGTAGTCATGTAAAGTGCATTTAAGACAGGGGAAATGGCAAGGACAGAAACTCCAACATAGGAATAAATTTAATGAGGTTATGGAATAGAAAGAAGGTCAGTGTGATTAAAATATAGTAGGCAAGGAGGAGATGTTTTTAGATGAGGTCAAAGAAGAAGAGGGGTGGTGATTTTATTTTAAGTGCAAAGAAGAACAACATAATTGTATACACAAAGCACTGTGTTAGGCATACAAACACGTAAGATATGGCCATTGCCCTTAGGAAAGATAGAATTTTTAAGGTCTCTGACAAAAAATAGGTAGTTGACAAATTTTGGAATGACAATTGAAAAATCTTAGCCATGCCTGTTTGTAATGACATATAACTCTGAAAATGTCATATCATCCTTTCCACGTATGTACATATAGTTGTTGAGCGATCAAGGGGGCCTAATAGCACTCCCACACCACCCAGTTCTGTGTCAATTAAGAGACAGACAAGGAGTAACACAGAGATGAAAACACTTTATTACTATTGAAAATATTGATATTGGAGATCATGGCTCACATATGCAGACAGATTGACTTCTCATTCTTTAAAAACAACTTTTTGGCCAGGCACGGTGGCTTATTCCCGTAATCCCAGCACTTTCGGAGGCCAAGGTGGGCAGATCACTTGAGGTCAGGAGTTCGAGACCAGCCTGGCCAACATGATGAAACCTCATTTCTACTAAAAATACAAAAATTAGCTGGGCATGGTGGTGGGCGCTTGTAGTCCCAGCTACTCGGGCGGCTGAGGTGAGAGAATCGCTTGAACCCGGGAGGTGGAGGTTGCAGTGAGCTGAGATCATGCCACTGCACTCCAGCCTGGGTGACAGAGCAAGACTCTATCTCAAAAAAATAAAAAATAATAAAAACAATCTTTCTCTTTAGAGATAGGATCTTATTCTGTCACCCAGACTGAAGTGCAGGGATGCATCACAGCCTTGAACTCCTGGGCTAAAGTGATCCCCCCATCTCGGCCTCCCTAGTAGCTGGGATTACAGGCACAAGCCACTGTGCCTGGTTTGACTTCTTATTCTTGAAACACCAGAATTACAGACTTGCTTGCCTAGTCACAATGGAGCTAGAACAGGGCAGACACTGTCTCTGCAAAATTATACAAGAGATCAGAGACAGTAAAGTGGAGAGAATAAATTCCAGACTCTGGAGCCAGACTGACAGGGTTCCAATCTTGGTTCTGTAACTTAACAGTTATGCAATTTAACATCTGTTGTCTCAGTTGCCTTGCTTATAAAATGTGGGTAACTTTTTTTTTTTTTTTTTTGAGACGGAGTCTCACTGTGTCACTCAGGCTGGAGTGCAGTGGCACAATGTTGTCTCACTGCAACCTCCGCCTCCCAGGTTCAAGCGATTCTTGTGCCTCACCCTCCTAAGTAGCTGGGACTACTGGCACGAGTCACCACGGCCAACTAATTTTTTGTATTTTTAGTAGAGACAGGGTTTCACCATGTTGACCAGGCTGGTCTCAAACTCCTGACCTCAGGTGATCCATCCGCCTCAGCCTCCCAAAGTGCTGGAATTACAAGCGTGAGCCACTGCGCCCGGTCAAATGTGGATACTATCAAAATTACTTTGTTGACCAGCCTGGCCAACATGGCAAAAACCCATCTCTACTAAAAATACGAAAAAAAGCCAGGCATGGTGGTGGGCGCCTGTAATCCCAGCTGTTCGGGAGGCCGAGGCAGGAGAATCGTTTGAATCTGGGAGGCAGAGTGAGCCAAGATCGCGCCATTACACTCCAGCCTGGATGACAAGAGCAAGAATTCGTCTTTAAAAAAAAAAAAAAAAAAACTTCACAAAAAGGATTATGTACTGCAACGCATTGGGCATCTTGTTAAACTTGTCTAACTAATTTTTATTTAAAACTGATAATTATTCTATTCCTTAGATGTATTTGAATTTATTTAATCAGAGGATAATTGTTTAAATGTAAGAATGCAGTTCCATCTATTCTGTAAGCTAGAGATCACACATCAACAACATTTACTGGTGAAATTTCGAATGAAGTGCTTCATTTCCACAAGCCAGTGTTCTGACTATAAGAGAAAAATTGTGTAGTTGACGTTTTTGGCATGTGGAAGCCACTGGAAAATTATAGATAATGAAGGATGTTATTTTTATCATAAAAGGAGAAGGGTAATTAAGGACTTCAGTGTAAACTTAGCTAAATGAAGAAAATAGTCAGGAATACAAAAATATTAAAGAGTTTAACCATCAAAACTTTTCAGATTAAGATTATTTCATTCTAGTACAATAACACAAAATGCAAAATTCTTTCAACTTGAAACGTTACCCAACGGGCACCCATATGCAGTTCTAAATAGGGAATTCTTGTGATCATAGAGGAACAGTCTATGACATCAGCCAACAACAATGCAGAAATCTTAAAGTAGAAGCGTCACAGGACTTGTTCTTCCAAATGCTGCATGGCAAATATTATTAGGAAATATACTTAACATTTATTTATTTTTATTCTCAATGTAAGTAAAAATTTACAATGGTTTGGTTATGGTGATTTTTAGATATGATTTGAAGTCATTTAAGTCCTAATATGTAAATTGGAATTTGAAATTAAAAGTTCATTTCTCTTTGAAGTTTATCTTACCTTGAAAAGTAGACATAAACAGCACACTCTTTAGTTGTGCGGTTTGATCACGAAAGATTCTGCTTTTTCTGTTCTACCTCTTGCAGGTTAAATAACATGCAGTGAAAATCATGTCATAAGAAAATATTTGGAAGCACTATCTGATGTTTTAAATATTGTTTTTGATTAAACTAATCAATATACGACTCACAGTTCCAAGGCAACCACAATGACATTTGTTTAGGCAGGTAGTCTATAAAAGAACTAATCGTGTAAGTGCTTAAAATAGTTATTCTTAATGTTTTGTGGTTAAGATCTCATTCAAACCACAACAATGCAGATATATATGTGTAAGTAAAATTCTGTCTAGAATTTTAGGGGTTTCATGACATCCCATTCATAGGCATGAGGCAAGAACTCTGCCTAAGATAATATGTTGTGGGGATTAATTTGAGTGTTGTGCGGGAGGGCGGGAGGGAGTTGCAGGGGAGGTGTTCTTACTTAGCCCAAATGCCTTTTTTTAAGTGAAAGGTATCCTTCCTACTCCCTAATGAATCTGGCCTGAAATTGAGAAGTTCCTAACTTAAAATTGCAACTGCTAACTTTCCTCGAGATGCAGTTAAATGAGAAAATAAATAATATTTTTTAAAGTCACTAGCTTTAACGCATTGGCAACACGATCATTTCCTGTAGTGAGTGACCCTGGTTCCTAAAAATAACTCCAGTGCTATTCAATTGCTTATATTGGGCATTTTTTTTAATTCTTATTTGGGAAGGACATTCTCTTCCACAGCTGAAGAAACTCAGTGTTTGAAAAGAGCTGCCTAAAACACTGTTTCCCGTAGGCTGTTAAAAATGTTCAGCATCTGAATGCTGGTAAGGAATGCTCACACCCATTGGAGGCAATGCTGTGTGGACTTGAAAAGGAAAAAATGGGGCCCCTATATATGGAAAACAGGAAGCAGAACCAGTTGAGGAAGGCTTACTCATCTGTGACCCATATTCAAAGCCATAGTCCAGCCACTGTTAGTTACCTAGAAAAGGAAAAGACTGAATGGCTAGCCTAAGCTCTAAGGGACACATTGCAAATCAGGTCAGGCTGTTGTGCCATTTTCCACCTTATTTTCAAATAAGCAAAGAAATGAAGCCTCAGTACCGCCTGGTGGATACACTGATACATGCCATACCTAGTCAATTGCTGGTTGCCTGATAGCAAACTTAATTTTTTACAGTTCCTCTGGCAATACTCTGCTGTGAGTACTGAGGAGTGCTCACTAAATGGAAGCCCTCAAGCAAAAAAAAAAAAAAAAAAAAAAAAAAAAAAAGTTGCAAATTCAATACACTTCCAGTTTCTCTGCGTTATATGACTATTTGCATGTTATTTATACATATGGAGACTGAAAAAGGAGGAACTGGCAGGACTGTCTCACCCCTTCTTGTTTTTCAAAATGTCAATAATTCCCAGGGTTGCTTTACACCAATACACACAGATTCACATTTTTAGAGATGGGTCTCACTGTGTTGCCCAGGCTGGACTATGGTGGCATGATCATAGCTCCTGGGCTCAAGTGATCCTCCTGCCTCAGCCTCCTGAGCAGCTGGGACTACACACATGCACCACCACACCTGGCTAATTTTAGTCCTTATTTTTTAGTTGGGGCTGGGGGTCGGGGGCGGGGGTGGTCTCACTACGTTGTTCAGTCTGGTCTCGAACTCCTGGTCTCCAGCACTTCTCCCGCCTCAGCCTCCTGAGTAGCAGATTCACATTTTAAAACAGTGATTTTAGTTTCTCAGGGAAAGGAATGGAGTTATTTATGATTCAGAAGCACTTCTATGTTAGTATTATAGGATGTTATCAGAGACCTCTATTCCTTCCATCCCTATCCCTTCATCTTTTTCTTTTTTAATGTTTACAGAAGGAGTTACATTCAAAGTAACTGGAAGTGACGGATGAGAAAAATATATCTAGGTTAGTCTATAGAAACAGTCCTTAGAAAAGTGGCTGAAGTCTTACCTAGCCATTGTCAATCAATTTGCTCCAAAGCCATCACATACATTTATTATCCAATGGTATTTAAAATCCAAGTCCCATTTATCAGCCAGGGTACTGTTATTAAGAAAAAAAATAAGATTTTTTTCTTAATAAAATCTCCTAGTAGGGCATTTTCATCACATAGCAACTGCCTAATTCTTCATACTCACCCCCACGCTGCAACTCATTTTCCCCTTATTATCACCAATGTTGAAATTAGTCTTCACCTATAAACCTGGAACCTGATTTGCAATATATCCTTATGAATCCCCTTTGAATTTCTAAAATTATTCTTCTTATTCCTTATTATCTGGACACTCTTATTTATAGAGTGATCATATAAATTATCATCTATACTAGGACATACTTTTGAGAGTTAAAAGGGGTGCTAATTAATAATAATATAAGTCAAACTAATACAAACCTGGGCATCCAATAATGTCTTTCTTGCTGAACAACTTTGAAACTTTACTTTGCAAAATGTTAGATGAATAAAGATACATTTTGAAGAGCAAGTAGTAGTATCACCAGTGACAAAACTAAAGGAAACACCGACTTTAATTATTTGACATAATAATGACTTAAGAGATGGCAGAAGACAATTGATAATAATTGGGAGACAGTGTAGGTAAGGTATGGATTTATCTTGAACTCAAGATACTTATGATGTTCTATTAGGTTGGTGCACACAGCCATCTGGTCGACCTTAGACACGGGAAGGCAAGCACCCCCTGGTTGACCTTAGACATGGAAAGGTGAGAGCTATCTGGTTGACCTTACACATGGGAAGGCAAGACACATCTGGTAGACCTTGCACCAACCTAATATGATAAAAGTTGCAGTGTGGCTTGCACTATTCCTACTTATCAGGATTTCCTGTTTAGCACGTATGCTGACCAACCTTTGCTTAGAGTATTCATAAATTTCATAGCTCACTGTCCACCCATTATTTGTATGAAATCACAAGTAGACTCGTATTCTTGACCAATGACTGCAGTTTTTAGAGAACATGTTTCTTTAATTTCTTTTTCCTCAAAACTCATGACTTCTGTACACAAATTGCTACCTCACACATCAGTTTAGTCAAGTGCTCTAGCCCAGTCCTGGGAGAGCAAAAGGACCCATTTATTCATTTATCAGATATTATCTGAGCCCCTATTATCTGTCCTTGCAACAGTGCTTGACGGTGGTGTTAAAAAGCTCAGTAAATTGTCCTGGAGGAACTAATTTAGTTTAGAGTTGTGCATATGTAAATCTCATAATGTTCTTGTAGCAAAGACTAGCTAGTGCCTCCACCAGTCACGTACAGGGAAAAAAATTCTGGAAATTGTAGTGCAAATCAGGCACGGACCAATTATGCTTTTGAACTATACAGTTTTCTGTGCTGAGACTGGGCCAATTCTGATGAATTCTGAACAATGGTAAAACCGATACCTTTAAAATTCAAGAATGTTGAGTTCTAATGGCAGTTTGACCATTGAGATATTAATATAGGAACATCATTTAGCCTCTTAAGCTTGAACATCCATTAAGTGGGAAAAATAGTGCTCATTTCCTAGAGGTCTTCAGATTGGCTAATCAAGTTTTGATTTTGCTGGTAAGTAATGAGCAAATTTTCTTAGATGTGATCGCTTCATTTTCTCTTATATTGATTGGCAGCAGCCAAATGGGCATTCCAGTCCCTAATCTCCTGCAAGAGAAACACTTCTATTTCATAAATCTGGTAATTTTTGAGCTCTTTTCCCAACAGGGTGCTGCAGCTCACCAAGCGGAACCCACAGCATTTTCTGCTACCAGGATAGCAGCTTGCCAGTAGCATATACTAAATTACTGGGTTTCAGTATGATTTTGGCTGGTACAGACTTCAATCATCGAATCGACATGCGTTCAGCCATTCTCATAATGAATGTTTCCTTCTCTTTCAAACGTTGTTTCCAGCCCCAATCTCCAAATTTTTTTTTTTTAAGAGGTGAAACAGAAACTGTACTCCTTAGGAAGAAACTTTTCCTTCTCATCCCTGTTCCCCATAAAGGTACCTCCAGATAAATCTATCAAAAGCAGGACGCAACTCACCAGGTTTTCTAAAACGTTCCCCAGTCTCACCACCCTTCGTGACACCCATGGGTTTCCCAATTCTTCACCTTTCTCTTAGACACAGGCAAGCACATTATCACTCCAGAAAAGCAGTCCTGGCTTAGCCAGTTCCCTTCCAGAAGGACCACGTGGTTTTTGGCCCCATGGAGCCCTGCAGGGTAGGGGGGCTCACGGTCCCGATTTGCCTCGGGACTCAGGGGGCTTCCGAGATGCAGGATCTCCCGGGCTCGAAACGGGACATCAGTGGACAAACGGGAGCGAGGGTCGAACGCGCGGCTCCGAGGAAGAGGAACTTAAAGAACACGGGCCCAGCAGGCTACACCAGGAACGCGCGGGGCTCTAGGGCGCGTCCGACTCCTCCCGCCCTTCGCAGAGGAGGAAACTGAGGCACGGCGACTGTCTCAACGCAGTCCCGGCCCTGCCCCCCGCGGCCTCCCTCAGGCGCGCTCCCGCGCAGCCGGTTCCTTTGTCCCGGTCGCACTTCCTGCCCCATCCTCCGCCTCCTCCTAGCCCCGGGCCGGGCTGACGCGGCGGGAGAGGAATGCGTTTCCGGAGGGAGAGGGCGGCGGCGGCCTCGGGAGCGGGATCAGACGCGCAGAGGAGGCGGGGCCGCGGCTGGTTTCCTGCCGGGGGGCGGCTCTGGGCCGCCGAGTCCCCTCCTCCCGCCCCTGAGGAGGAGGAGCCGCCGCCACCCGCCGCGCCCGACACCCGGGAGGCCCCGCCAGCCCGCGGGAGAGGCCCAGCGGGAGTCGCGGAACAGCAGGCCCGAGCCCACCGCGCCGGGCCCCGGACGCCGCGCGGAAAAGGTAGGGGCCGGCGGGCCTCGGGTGTGGGAGCGCGGGCCGCGGCCTCCGGTCTCCTGTGCGCGGCAGCACTTAAAGCCGCCGGCCGGGCCGCGCCGGGACCTTTGTGCCGGGCGTGGGGGTGGGGGCGGGGGCGGGGGCGGGGGCGGCCGCCAGCGGTTGGGGGCTGGGGCAGGATTCCAGGCTAGTCCAGGAGGAAGTCCGCACGCCGCCACCCGCCTCGGGTCCCCGGCGCTGGCAGCCCCCGGGCGCAGAGCCAGCCCAGCCGCGTTCCGAACGTGAGGGTCGCCGGCCTGGGCGCTGTCACGTCGGGGCTGCCGGAGCTGCGGGGGACCGGGCCCGAACGGCCCCTGACACCTGCGGTCTCCCGCCGGGCTGGGCAAGCGCAGGTGGGAGCCAGCGAGGCCACCCGGGGCTCGGCGTTTGGGACTCGGCGCTCCCCTGGACGGGTCCGGTGCCTTTGTCTCTCGCTCCCTCGCGAGCTGCTGTCCTTGGAGCAGCGTCGAGCCAGCCGTCGGCGCCCGCGACGGGGACTGGTCTCCTCCGGCTGCCAGGAGGCGGCCCTGGGGCCAGCGCCGCGGGCGGGGGCGGCGGGAGCCGGGTAGAAGTTGGCTTAGTGGAGCCGCTGGGGACCGGGGGTGCGGTGGCGGCAGTGCAGTCCACTTCCCCGTGTTTATAAACGTCAAGAGTCGCCGGTCCCTGCCGGGCACCCCGGGACCAGGACGCATGGCCATGGCCAGCTTGTGCTCAGACCCGGTCCGCGAGCCTGAGAGCCCGGCCTGTGTCTAGTATCATTTTACCGCGTGTCATTTCTTAGGCTTCATAAATTGGATTTATGAGACTCCTACTCTCTAAGTAACTTTTATTTAATCAAATTCGTGCTTTTGAGTCCAAAACTTTGCACTCATTGGTATGATCATTAGTAAGTTGCATTCTCTAAGCTTCCGTTTCCTCATCTGTGAAATAGGAACAGTAATATCTACATTAATAATTCATTTTTATAATAATGACAGTGAGGGCCAAGTTTAGCTCTAGGCATTTTACATGTATTATTTAATTCTGGAACCGCTCTAATGAGATTGGTACTGTTTCGATTCCCATTTTCCGAGTGAAGAAACTGAGGCACAGGGAGCAAAAGTAAGTTGCCTGTGGTCATCAGGAGCTCCTGGAGAAGGCATGGGGTCTAGTTCCAGAGTCCGCGTTTAAACCACAAGTAACCTTCCTAACTATAGTTCTGAAAATCAAATGCAAAATGTAAAAAACTTAGCTTGAGAGTAGATGCTCAATGAGTATTGACTCCTTTTCAGCCCTTCTTTTATAGTAAAAAGATGTTAAAAATATCTCGGAAGATAATTGGTAACATCATTGGTAAGGTTTCTTTGGGCCAACATGCCACATGGTTAACTTAGGTGGGTAGAATTACTAGGTTATTTCGTTTTGTTTTGAGACAGGGTCTCTGTTGCCCAGGCTGGAGTGCAGAAGAGCCATCACAGCTCACTGCAGCCTCAACCTCCGAGGCTTAAGTTACTTTTCCACCTCAGCCTCTTGAGTAGCTGGGACTACAGGCGCCTGCCACCGTGCCCGGCTAATTTTTTTATTTTTTGTAGAGACAGGATTTCACTATGCTGCCCAGGCTGGCCTCAAACTCCTGGGCTCAAGCTGTCCTCTCTCACCGAGCTCCCAAAGTGCTGGGATTACAGGCGTGAGCCCCTGAACCTGGCCCTTAGGTTTTTTTATTTTTTTTTTTTTAATTGTAGTTTTAATGCTACAAAAATAACATGCTAGAGGAATTTAGATTAGACACCTTTCTTAAACCACATACGTCCTTTACGATAGGTTATACAGTAGACCAATTTTAGAAATGATTAAGGAACTTCAGTTGGCAGTTACCTGTTCATTTGTGGACATCAAGGCCCAGAGGGGTTAGGACTTAGAGTCTCACTATAATTCTCATATTTTTAAATAATGTTGACTCATTGATCAATATTATATAAGTGACTGAAGATGGTGAAGTGTTAAATAAAAAACATTGGTATTTTCATTACAGGCATTTGGGGAGAAAGTCATTTTACTTATCCCAAAATTGAGTATGAAGGTGGAAGATGTTATTAGAATGCTAGTTAAAAGGACAAAGAATGTGGTTAATACTTTAATTCTGTAAACAGGAAGCAAATAGATTGTTTAACTCGTCTGTGTTGACTTCAGACCTAAACCTACAATTTTAAGTGTTTGTGATTTTCTTAATGTAAAGTTCTATATTAAAGTTATTTTTTAATACCCTCAACATTCTGCACATGAGAAGCATGGAATCAGCAATTCTGAAAGTCACTGGATTTAGTAATTTTAACAATTAGGCAGCTTTCTGGTCAGTATAATTTAATTTAAATCAGCCCCGAATTACCATCACGAATGAAAATGTAGCTCTACATTGGTGTTCTTCCTAACTCTGGGAGTGACACTGGGGACATCTGGTCATATTATAATAATGAAAAGTGGTCAAACAACTTAACATGGTGCCAGTTTTCCTAAGCGTGCTTGCCACTGATTGTAATGCTTTTATTGTTTGGCTTCTTGATAAGTAAGTTATGGCTTACAGCGGTGAGTAGTATAGTGTTCTGTCTGAAAACATATTCATTAATATTCTGTAGCTGCTCTGGTTTGCCCTTAACTATGCTGCTAGTGTGATAAGCTGAAACATCTTGTAACTGGTAAAAGTTTCAGAGAACTTAACTTTCTGAATATGTAACAAGCTGCATGTATCTGAAAGGGTTCATTTAGACTTCTGTTAGATATTAGCAGATTTTCTCACTCTGCCAGAGAGTTAGGATCTGTTAGGTTGTGGGTGGAATCCTGGAGATTATGCCGGGTAAATATGTAAGTACCTGTATTGTATTAGCAGTGTTTACTCTGACTTGGTTTTAGGTTCTGAGAGTTTGGCTGGTTATTTTTTCAGAGGTGGGAGGTATGGAGTAGAGACGTTAAGATACAGAAAGGTACATTCGTCTTCTGAATCCTGAAGTGTTATGCTAGAGGTATCTATAGCTGTGGAAAACTGAAAAGATATTATGGTATGTACCCAGCTTAAAGGGGGTACAGTCCGTAAAAGTCAGAATATTAGCAGCCTTCCAATATGTCTGTCGGTAGGTGAAAAAAAAAGTTTCTCTCTTTCAGGAGCTGTGTACAAAAGGATCCAAACTATACTTTGTACATTTGTTATTGTTTTAAAAGTGGCTGTGAGTTTTTAGAGGTCAGCTAACTTTAAACTTGCCGTTTGGTTTGTGACTTTAGAAGGTAGAGTTAACTATATTTAGCAATATGCTTAAGCGTGTGCATATCACCTCATGAAACGTGTGTGTGCATGAGAAAAGCTGCCTCCAGTACACATACATATGTATATACACACATACACACAAGCACATATATGTATGTATTTCTTATAGGACCAATCTCATTGTACATAATTTCAAAGCACAGGTTCCTATCTCCAGGGATGCATAAAAAGACTCACTGAAGTATAGGGAGAAAATTTTAGGTCTACTATTATGTTTGTTGATCTCATCACTTTAAAATTTAAAATTTTGATTATGATTGATAATCTTACTATATTGCTGTAGAAGTACATGTATCTGAATTTATAAATTGCATTTATTTTGGGTACAGGTATGCCTAGAATTTTTTTGCTGATAAAGGTGAGTGGTCAGAAAGCTTTGCAGATCCCTATATGGAGGATGATTTGAGTGGGGTTCAAGAACTACTGTATTTGGGAGGGAGAACTGATAAGACTTGATAAGAGAAATAAAAGAAACCCAGTGTGACACTGGTTTCTGGCTAGGAGGTGCTGTTCACTGAGGTGAGAGGGTGACCACAAGCTGGGGGTGCTGGTTGGCTGGAGCAGAGGGGAAATGATGACCTTATGAGGCCAAGTTTTTTTTTTTAAGGTGACCATGGGACATAGGTGGAGATGTCTAAATTGCAGTTGAATACACAGATTGAGAGCTTAAAAAAAGAAAAAACTCTGAGAGATTTCAATTTGACAATTCTTAGTCTATTGCTGGTTGAAGCTATAGGCTGTGCATGCAAACACCAAAGGAGGGTGTGGAGTGAAAAACGGGCTGAAGGAGGACCTGGGAACACTTTTAATAGTCAAGGGGGGGTGGAGGAAGAGGAATCTAGAAAAGCATTTACCTTCCCCAGTTTCTTCTCTGAACTTCTAATTCCTTTGAGTGGCATTTTTGTGAGTGACATAGGTATTTCTGGGTTTTTCCAGTGATTGGCATGTTTGAGTTAAAGACAGAAAGACTTCATTGGTCACATTTCTTTGTGGTAATTTATTTTCAGATACCTGATCAGAGAAGCAGTTTGATGTACTAAAGGCTTCTCGATTGGGAGACAGGAAACCTGGGTGTCAGTGCCGGGTCTGCCACTGAATTTCTGTGTGACCTTTGTCAGAGTACTGTACTTCCAGAGCGTTGGTTTCCACATCTACCCTATAAAGCAGCCTGCATGTTTCTCTCATTCTCTCGTTCGAGGAGTTGGAGGATAGCTGCTGCCTGATGTAAGTAGAGTGCAGTTCTCTCTCCATGAGCAACTTTTTTTTTTTTTGTATCACCAGAGAGTGTAGGCACTGTGCCACTTACTCTGTTAAGGATACCTGCCAGCGCTGACCAGCAACATCTGTCCCTGTCAGCTCTGCATCAGGATGTAGCTTGGCTGTACATTACATTTTATTCTATCAGTACATTGAGTACCAGTTACCTGAAAAATGCTTTACTCAGTGGACATGAATCAAGAAGTTGGCATGCTCTTTGATGTTGAGTCTGTTGTCTAATTGGAACAAGTTGTGTTCAGTTCAGGAAAACATAAATACCAAAGAGTGTTTTATACAATGTACTGTACCATAAAATACTGTACCATGTAATATTCCCTAACAATGTTAGAAAAATCTCAGCATTGGCTTGTGTGGTTTTGGAACACGTTGTGTAGGAGATGAGGCCTGAGCTTGGAATGGTATGAGCGAAGGTTGGATGACAGATGGTTGTCACATTCAAGGACAGCATGGGAAGAATCCAATCTAATTTCACAGATAGTACCTGGCCACTTTGTTACCTATTAGGAGTTATGTATAATATCATATATATCAGAAGGATATGTGAAGGCTATATAAAATGAAGGCCTGGGTTCTTGCCCTCCAATACTAGCCTGATGAGAGACACAGACATGAATACAATTAGTTACAATAGAAGTTTGAATAGAAATAACACTATATTATTAAGCATCACTGAAGATTTGTCATTCACTCTGCTGGGCACTATCAAAGCTGTTTTGGAACCACAGAGAAGGAGTAGTTAATTAAGTTGATTGTGGTTGGTGAGGAGATGAAGAGGCAATAAAGACAGAAAGGAAGAAGAAAAATCAGCATTCTATTTTGTGTAGGGAGTATAGTTTCAGTGGAGTGATGAGGAAAATATTTACATACGAAATTAGGTATGTACCATTTGGAGTATGGAAGTCACATTTTTCTGTATAAATGTTTATTGAATGAATATGTAAATAACTTAAGCTTTCGTAATCTATGAAATTAGCAATAGATTATTCTTCTCCATGTACAATATTTTATGGTTTATGTATGATTTTCTTCATATTATGATTTCAGTGCTTCTTTTAAAGGGGTGGTACAGGGTCATGTTTATTGGAGGAGGAAATTGGAGTTTGAAAAAGCACATTTGGTAGTATAATGTTATGTTAGAAAAATGTTACAAAAAAGTACAATAGGGAGTAAGATTTATGCTTATTAAAGAAGCATGGATTAAAAAGATTGAGAAACATTTATTAAAGAGTCACTGAGGTTCTTGTTTTAGAAGGCCATGATTAATGAGTTGGAGAACAAGAAGCAAATTTGGTAATCATGTAAATTATGAGCTGCTGACCACCTAGAAATATATTTGCTGATAAGAGCTTTCATATAATGATCATATTTTATCTTTCCAACAATTAGATACTGTTTACAGCTTACTGATGTGTAAAATGAGAAACTTTTTTTCCTATGTTTATCATGGTTTTAAAACATTTATCATGTATTTAAAATACTGTATGCACTCCACCACAGACAGGATGGAGAGGAAGATGTGACAAAAGATGTGGTCAAAATTAGTTTTAATCAAGGAAGCATTTTGGAATGATCTGCTTAAAAAGTGGATATAATTACGCAGTTTGAGAAGATAATTCTCCTTAATTGAAATTACGGGGAATAAGTCTTGCTCTCAGGTGCTTATTGATACCGTTGATCATGCTGGTTCTTTTGCTGGCTCCACTCACAATTATCTTTGACAACTTGCCCCAAAGTAAACTTTCTCAACCAAAACCGTTCCCAACTTCTTTCCTCCTCACAGGGAAAGGCAAAAAAGTCCGCAGGCATAGAGAGTGGAAAGAAGGAACAGCATACTAGGCTGGTTTGAAAAACAATCAATTGCTAGGTAATAATGTCTTACCTTTTGAGTGGAAGGAGGAGCTGGGAAGAATTAAGTTCGGGCAGGTTTTTTGCTCATTTTGGATCAGCCCTTCATATTATGGCTTAATAGCTTTGTTTATAGTGTATTTTTCTGCTTTTACGTTCATCCTCTGAAGTCTTGAGTTAATTTTGTGCCCCTTTACCCCCATTTGAATTAAATGCTTCATTTTTTTCCCGTTTCTCACATAAAGCTATTTTTTTTTCAGGACAGGGAGGGGCTGGTGGTGGTGGTGGTGCTGTACCAGTTGTCTGTTTATGAGATCACCATTAGACAACGTTTCTCATTGGCTTGAATTATTTGAATTTTGTGTGATTTTCCTGTTATGTTGATTCTGTTCTTGGTGTCTATGAGTTCTGTAGAGGATTCCAGCCTAAATTTTCTTCCTTAGTTCTGTTTACTTTTCCTCGACTTTTGTGGTTTTGCTCTTTGATCACTGTCAAGATCTATTTGAGATTTTCTGACTTTCTTGAAGAGCAGAATGAGATCTAGATTTTCTCTTATTTTTAAAGAAGATTCTTCACTGACTTCCTTTCACTTTTTGTTCTGTGGAAGTCTTTCCTAGGTGTTAAGTTTCCAGGCTTTACCTCCCCCTACCCCCAACGTATTATCTTTAGGCATTTTGTTTGCCAATGCGTACTATATCCATTATTTATCTTTCCCTTGCACTTGTAGATTGGGTGGTGATAAAAATCTTCCATATTTCATTTTCCTGGAGAAGGCGGGTAGAGTCACTAGTGATGAATTTTATCTTCAATCTGTTGTATAATTTTCTTAAAGTATCTCGCCGTGTTGTGAGCTGTTCTCAGATTTCAAATTGTTTTGTGAACCTATAGCTTTGGAGCAGCCAAACCTTTGTTGTTAGAGCTTCTTAGCCCAGGCTATCATTATCATTGTGTGAGAAGGGGTTAGTGCTCTTTAAAAAGCCATTTTTCTTCTGGGTGGGAGTGGTGAATTTTAGATGGTTTTCTAATTCAGACTACTTTTCTGTTTGTCAAGGAGAGGAGAAGAGGACTTCAAATGTGGTGTTACATCTTTGGGATCCCTTAGCCTCTTCTCTTTCATGTCTCCTTTTTTTTCTTCTCTATTCTTTCTGCGAAGTTTTGTTAATCATTAATGCTAGCTTATTAATATTTGGGCCATAAACACCTCTGTAGTGACCAACACACCTCTTCCTGCCAGATGGAAGGAAAAAAAGTGTTGAGTTTTAATTGTTCTTCCTGTAAGGGGAAAGGTTCCCTTTCCATGGGAGGAACTCATCTCCACATGTCACCCTCTCAGATGGTACAGAATTCAGAAAGATTTCTCAGTTTCTTCCATTCATGTTTTTCTCGTTTTTATTACTCTCTATGTGGGATAAGTGGGAGGAACCTCATGTCTTTCAATTTGGCTCTGTGTTCTTCTTCTGGAATATATTGATTTTTAAATACTAAAATCTGTTATTGGCCTATTTCTTCCCCTTTTAAAAGCAGATACAGAAAATAATGATGGTAGAACAGACTTGGGATGAATCCAAGTTTATTATAATTTTTAGGAGACATTTATGATATACCTCTATAGGTATCAGAATCTTTTCTACTATTAAGGTGAAAAGATTTGAGATTTTGTGAAATCTTTTGTGTATTCTTTTTATTTGAGTTGGCTTTTAGGTGGCTTATTTTTCAACTCTGAAATGAACATAACATGTTACATATGTTACATATGTTACAATTTTTTTCTAAAGTGTAGTTGTTTAATTTCTACAAAGATAGTCCATATAAAGTTTCTAAAGATTGTAAATTTAAAAGGAAATGCCAAATGAATTATTTGTAAAATTGTTTAAAAAAATTAATAAATAATGAGTGTGTATTTAAAAGTTTGAACATGATATAAAACCATACTTTTATGGATAAAGATTAGTTTACAGTGAAGATTAAAACAATTATGCACTATTTTTGACAGTGGAAACAATTGCACATATTTGGGTTAACCACTAAAATGAGATTATTTGTGGGTGGTGTTTAAGATTGTTTATTGTTCAGGGAATGAATTATGACCCCTTAGATAAAATTTCATATGGTAAAAAATGACCTTAAGGTGAAATGCTTTTATAGGAACAAGACACAAAACCTTTGTCTGTACTTATGAAATATGGCAATTAAAATAACTTTTCTTGGCCTCTATTAAGTTCAAATGCCCAAGAAATAAACTCATAGAACATTATAAGCCCTTTCCATTTCTGTGCCCTGAGTCAGTTCTAACACTAGAAGGATGTTCTTTGTTTTAAAATAGTGATTAAGTAGGCTTTGAAAAAATTACAGTTTAATGAAGTCAGGTCATAGCTTCTGGATACAGATGGTCAGGTTTCAATTCCACCTGTGCAACTTTTGATTCCACCATTGCAAGTTGTTTAGTCTCTCTGGTTTTGTTTCCTCATCTGTAAAACAAAGACACTATTATTCTTCACCTCATTGAGTTACCTGGAGGAGATAGATGCTATTATTTTATCATTATTATTATCATATCCATTTGAAGGTGCTGAAATAAAATTCTAATTTTTTAAAGTTCTAAATGAAATAACTTTTTGTTACAAATTACTTTAAATCATCAAAACTTAGTGTATTATACTCTTCTTCTTGCCTGTGCCTAGTCTGGCCCTCTCAATTGAGAAGTCAGTCTTTTTTTTTTTTTCAGTAATCCACAGTGAGCAGCAGTCCCTGAACGAAATCATATTGCTAGTTGGGTTTGATTAATAAAACACAGAATTGGTATTCTAGTCCTTTCAGGGGGGTTTGCTTCCTTGTGATGTAAGAACCTTGTCTTAGTCTTTGTGCTGCTATAACAGAATGCCACAGACTGGGTAATTTATGTCAGGGTTCTGGGGGCTGGGAAGTCCATTATCAAGGGGTTGGCATCTAATGTCTTTCTGTTGCATCATCCCATGGTAGAAGGTGGAAGGGCAAGAGAGTGAGAGAAGAGAAGGAGGCCAAACTCCGTCTTTTATCTGGAACCCATTCTCCACTCCTGTGGTAATAGCATTAATCCATTCATGTGGGCAGAGCCCTCATGACCTTATCACCTCTTAAAAGTCCCACCTCTCATCACTGTTGCTTTGGGGATTAAGTTTCCAACACGTGAACCTTGGGGACACGTTCAAAGCATAGCAAACCTCAAAGCTTCCTCCTTATTTCTGTTTGTATTAGGTATGTTATTCCCTCCCCTCAATCTTTTTTTAAGGGTTTCTGTGATATCAGTGTTCAGAGCATTTGTATTTTGTCTACTATGTTTTTATGATATTAGTGTTCAGAGCATTTGTATTTTGTCTAACATTTACTACCTTAAATATTTTGTCAGTATAAAATATTTAAGGTTTTGCTGCTTTTATTACTTTATGAACACATTTGTCAGGAATCTGATTGTTAGAAAGCACATTAAATAGAATTCTACTTGGATGTGGAATCTATAAAGAGTATAATAAGGTTTTGATATTGAGGATGTCAGTGTATGAACAGCTATAACAATCCACATTAATCTATTTTCTGTAGTTGTGTTACTTCTAACTTTCAGACTTTATCCTTTCTTTCATATCTTGTGTCTTCCCTAAAGTGGATCCAGTCAGTTTTCTGGTTATAATTACAATTGAAAAAAAAAAAAAATTCAACCATAGTTACTTCTTTATTCAATTACGTTGTTATTGAGCGCTTCCTGTAACATTTGGTAATGATCATAACAAGTAACACCCAGGTACTTACAATTGGCCAGACATTGTTTTAAATGTTTTATGTGTATCAACTTATTTAAACTTCACAAAACCCCTACAAGGTAAATACTGCTGTCCCCATTTTAAAGATGAGGAAACTGAGACAGATTAATTTGCCAGTGTAACTCTGCACTACACAATGTTGTACAACGGTAGATGCCACAAATATCTGCTGTCATGAAGCTCAGTGTTTTATTTTTTGATACCTCAGAGTATCTCCAGTTGTTTTTATCGTTAGTTTCTTCATTTATTCAATATAAAGACATTGCGCTAGATACAGAAAACATGGAGAAACTTCTAGAAGATGACAATTTATAAGGCAAGTCAACCATGTACATCATTAGTAGATGTATAAGAGCTACATATGCCCCAAACAGGAAACCTTTTAAATGAAGATTATTATATATGTTTTAACATACTGTGTGTATGTACGTACACACACACACACACACACACACACACACACACACGGCTATATGTGAATCACCTGGCTTTAGTCTTTCTTTCCTCCCCAGTTCTTGCCATAATTCGAGGGCTTCAAGAGTTCATGCAGATGATACTTCTCACACCTTGGTCTAGCAGTTTTCTTTCTTTCTTTTTTTTTTATTTAATGAAATTTCAGTTTATTCAGATAAAGACTAATGTATGCCTCATAACCTAGTGATAATCTATAAGTTTGGGAGTTCACAACATTTTTACAAAGCACATAATATTAACATTCAAGTGAGGCATTATAGAAAGTTTTATAAAGAATGAAGTAGGCCAGGTATGGTGCCTCATGACTGTAATCCCACCACTTTGGGAGGCAGAGGTGGGTGGATTGCTGGAGGTCAGGAGTTTGAGACCAGCCTGGCCAACATAGCAAAACCCTGTCTCTACTAAAATACAAAAATTAGCCAGCCGTGGTGGCACATGCCTGTAATCCCAGCTACTCAGAGGCTGAGGCAGGAGAATTGCTTGAACCCAGGAGGCGGAGGTTGCAGTGAGCCAAGATCATGCCACTGCACTCCAGCCTGGGTGATCAAGTGAAACTGTCTAAAAAAAAAAAAGAAGTCTTTACTATAATTCTTTTAAAAAACCTTGGTTCATCTTGAAAGACTGATGAATTTTTGAAATACCTGCAGAAAAGGAAAATAATCCCCCCCCCCCCCCCAGAAATACATACAAACCACTTATTGGCACTTGTGTTTTAAGTACCTGGAGAAAAACAGGACAGATTTTTAAAGGCAATTAATAACAGCTTATACAAGGCCTTGTTTCATTTGCTTTAGCACCAAGTAAAGTAAGAGTAAATATGCTGTGGAAGATGGTCAGGTTTTTCCTCCTTCTCTCATATGCCCCACTTCTCCTACCAGGTCACAGTACATCAGCAGCCATCCTTGTTGCCCCACTGAGGAATCACTTTAGATTCCAGTATTTAAATGGCTGCTCAGATGAAACCAGTAGAATTCTTTCCCCTTAAGATAAGGTGGCAGTGAATGCTAGCAGGTATCAATTTCTTTGATCAGGAACAAAGAACTCCTTCAGAAAACTCACTTTTTTGGTCTTTGTTAACCTATCCTGTGAATTCTTTTTATTGGCACACCTTGTTTACGAATCATGATTGATTGCTATTTATGCCAAGGGAACATTCCGCAGGCATGCCTGATCTATTTACTAATGACAAAGTATGCTTACTTTACATAATTCCATAGGTTTTCTCTTTTATTTTTGGGAGGAGGGGTATAATAACTTGTTATTTATCAGGGCAGATCATATATTTGGATCAAAAAGAGAAACTGGCAAGTAGATCCTAAAACACATTTCTTAACCCGAGTAACATCTGAAAACATAGATTTCAATTATATTTTGTTGAAAATTCATTCAACTTTGGTGCTTATCCAAGAACTTATAATGTCAATTTCTGACAAAAATTATAACCCTCAATACATATGTATTTTCAAAAGAAGAGTCATCTTAAAGTAATATTTTTCTGTATGTTAATTGATACATTTTTATAGCAAATTGAAAATTCTGAGTAAATTGAAAGTATGTTTAACAACAAAATAAATACAGCATATATGGTTAGCTTATATATTTATTAGTGTAAAGGCAGCAGTGAATTTGTATCTTACAACAAATCTGTGAATCCAGTTGCTTTTTTTTCTGGAATTTTATGTAGTATCACCATGCTCCACAATGCTAGAAATGTGGCATTAATCTGCAAAAATTTCTGATGAGATACTTTCCCCAAATGACATGTAACTTTTTAAAACTTTTCCAAAAAATATGGACATTTTATCAATCACTTAATCTTTTTTTTTTGAGACAGAGTCTCGGTCTGTCGCCCAGGCTGGAGTGCAGTGGCGTGATCTCAGCTCACTGCAAGCTCCACCTCCCAGGTTCACGCCATTCTCCTGCCTCAGCCTCCCGAGTAGCTGGGACTACAGGCGCCTGCCACCACGCCCGGCTAATTTTTTTGTGTTTTTAGTAGAGACGGGGTTTCACCATGTTAGCCAGGATGGTCTCGATCTCCTGACCTCGTGATGCACCATCTCGGCCTCCCAAAGTGCTGGGATTACAGGCATGAGCCACTGCACCCAGCCTATCAACCACTTAATGAACAAAAAGTTAGATTACTACCAATTGTTCATTTAATTTTGCTCTAACGTGTTTTAAAAGTTAAGACATCTCTGATGGTTTTGCAGGTGACTGGATAAAACACACTAGATGATTTCAAAAGATTAATCTTAGTATCTGACTCGTTTGGCACATCCTCAGTATCCAGAATAAAATCAGTAGAAATAAAAGTAATATAACTTTCAAAGAATTCATACATGCTGGAGGTCTTAGGAAAAGCAGTTTTTAAATTCAAGGAATAGGAGGTTTGCTCATCTTACTAGTTACACACATTTCTCCTCATGGAGTAATGGCAGCTTTCTGGCTTCTTTGTGGAACTTTAGTTTGTAGAAAAGCTTGGTAATATTCCAGGACTGGCTTTGTTTGGGCTTCATAAGCCTTTAGTCTTTTGATAACCGTCTCTGGTTTATCATCCTCATGCTGAATGAGAGGATCCCCAGTCAGATCATCAGTGCCCACAGTTTTGGGAGGGTTGAATTCAATGTTGTAGACTCAGCCACTGGCAGGATGAATCTAGCGAGCAGTAAGGCATTGTTTAATGACCTCAAAGGGCACATTCGGGCTAATCACTTTGTCTGTCTAAGAAGCTTAGTCTAGGGCTTCTGCCTGTGGAAGTGTCCATGGAAAACCACCCAACAGCTAGCTATACTAAGTGAGATTTTTCAGCTCATATAGGGCCAGCTGAGTCATGACATCATCTCGGATGAGTTTCCTTTGGTCAATGAAAGCGTTAGCTAACACATTAATTTCTGTGCCCCGCAGCATGTTGATCCTGGAGCAGGTCTCCGCTAGAGAGGTGCTTCACAGTGTTTGGTGACGCGCGACAACTAGTGCTGTTGCCTAGCCCAGGGCCCCCATGATCACGGCTGCTGCCGCGTAGACGCCCCTTTACAGACCAAGGCCCACGCCGCACCCGAACAAGGGCTTTGGCCCAGCCTGTGAACTTACCTTCTCTGCCGCCCAGGCCCAGCCAGCTGGCAGCGCTGCTAGTGGGCGGGGACTGTGGCTCCCAGGCCTTCCCTGAACTCTGGTCTAGCAGTTTTCTTGTCTCTCAACTTTAGTGGCCATTGGTCACTGTACTGGAAACCTCGTGTGTCTTTCTCACATCCTCTTGGCCTCTGATTCCAGCTGGTGCTGCTGGGAACAGTCGGTGGCTCACTCCTGGCTGACTGCATGCTGCCTCAGGTGCCTCTCTTTTGCTTTTTCCCCTGCGGCTCCTCTAACCAACTTTCTTGTCTGTTCCCTCTTGTCTGTCCCTGGGCACGTGCACTGTAGTTCTTAGAAGTGTTAGTGGAGTTAATGCCCTTTGAGGCGACTTTTTACCTATGCAACTGGAGTTGATCCATTTCCCCGTTGACTTTCACTGGACAGACTTTCTACGTACTTCTCAAAAGTTTTCCACAAGATCAAGCCCCCAGGTACTCAGTATGGTAAAGATAGTATCTTTGTATTGGCTTTTTCTCTTTTTCTTGGTTCACTGTCTTCAAAGTGTCTCTCTCTTTTCCTGGGGTCACCTTCCAATAAACTGCCTGCACACCAGTTCTGTTCCCAGGCTCTGCTTTGGACAGAACCCTAGCTAAAACAATGACCTGGTACTGTATTTTTAATACAGGCCTTTTCCCCCAAGACTGCCTGTCTCTGAAATTGTAAATTCTTAACTGTCGTAGGTTCCAGCTCTTTTCACTTCCTTGTTTCCGTGGTCCCCTCTCCTCTCACCTCCCTGTTGTGATGTCTGGTCTTTTGACTTTTTCCTCTTGTTAACTTTTTGGTAGCACTGCACCTTCTTTGCCCCCCACCCCCACCTTTCCTCTTGCACCTGCCCTGCACACCAGGGAATAGATTTAGTGATTCCAAATTGGAGTCTGAGGGACCATGGGAGGTATTCTCAGAGATTTGGGCATTTCTACAAAATTTAAAAAAAAATCATGCTTTCATGTTAATAATAAACATTTAGTTTATCTGGTTGACCATCTTATAACCCAGTAATATAACTTCAGAATCTATGTTTGTACTTGGAAGTTAATTTTGGTTTCATAATGTTTAAGAGCTATGAGCATGAGACATTTTATATCTATCTATAAGTTGGCTTATATACTTAAAGTAATTGAAAATTTAAGTTGTCACTTGGATGTCTATAGTAACACTTTTCTGTTTAGAGAAGTTCTGCACATTAAGTAATTCTGAGACATTCTTCTGAGTAATGTCAGAGAAAAATGTCATACAATTCAATATGGTTCAGTGAAAATATTTTTAATTTTTTAACTTTTTGAGGCAGGGTCTCACTCCATTGCCCAGCCTGGAATGCAGTGGTGTGATCATAGCTTACTGCAGCTTCCAACTCCTGGACTCATGGCCCCTTCCCCTGGCCCCCACTTCCACCAAGTTTTGCTATGTTGCCCAGGCTAATTTATTTTCTTGTAGAGCCAGGATCTCTAGGTGGGCATGATGGCTCATACCTGTAGTCCCAGTTACTTGGGAGGCTGAGATGGGAGGATTGCCTGAGCCCAGGAGGTTGAGGCTGCAGTGAGATGTGATCACACCACTGCATTCCAGCCTAGGCGACAGAGCAAGACCCTGTCTCCCCCCAAAAAAAAAAAAAAGAGAGAGAGAGAGACAGGGTCGAGGCTAGTCTTGAACTCTTTGCCTCAGGCAGTCCTCTTACCTCAGCCCCTCAAAGTGCTAAGATTGCAGGCATGAGCCTAACAGCAAAGAGTTTTGAGCATGGACTTTGTGCCAAGTATTTCTAGGTGCAATAGCTATAAATAAGATACACCCAGGCCCTATTTTCTTGGAGCCTAGAATCCATCAGGGAAGACATGTTAACAAATAGTTAGAAGTGAAATGAGTGTTACAAATATGCCTGTATAAATTAGGGTGTCCAATACCTGGTGGGCTCTCACCATTGCAGGCTCTCACTGTAATCCCATTGCATCTTCCTAATTTTCTGCAACCCCTAAGCCGTACCTCTTTTCCTAGGAGTTCTTCCTATTTCAGAAAAAAACAGTCATGCATGAATGAACTCTCTTTGCTTTCTCACCTCCTGCTCTGCCTTAGAAGAAAGGCACCATGTCTCTGTTTAGGGTGATCCACCCCCTTGGGCTGCACATGCCATCCCTCTTTGCTCCAAGGAGGCCTGGCTTCATCACTTTCCTTTTCTCTTTTCCTGTGTCTTCACCTCTTCAAGTTTGCCCCCAGTTCTCCTTTCTTCCTAAGTATTCTTTTCATCCCAATCACATCCATTTTCATAAGTTCGGTTAGCACCTAGATTATGACAACTCTCATGTCTGTGTCTCTAACTCTTGACTTATCTCCTGAGATCCATACTCATGTCCTAGCTTCCCAATAGGCATCTTCCCTAGATTTTGCAATAAAACAAACCTCATTTTTTCCCCTAACCCCATTCTCCCTCGTACATCTTCTTTATTTTAAAGTGATGATTATTCTAAATTCCTTTCTTTCTCCCATCCTTCCTTCTCCAAGTAAGCAGCAGATCCCTCATAGCTACCTTCTAATCATTGTTTGTTCGTCTTCTTGTTTGTTGCTGTTATCTGAATTTAGACATTTGTCACCTCTCACTTGAACCTTTGCAGTAAATTCTGTATTTGTCTTCCAGCTCCTGTCTTGCCCCCTGTCCTTTTCTCCACTGAGTTTCTGCCATGTATATGTAGAGGTATTACTAGCCTGCCCAAATTTTTTCAGTTCCCTTCCTATTTATAGAATGGAATCCAAACTCTTTTAGCATGGATGGTATTTGGCTCTCTGTAACGTAGCTCTTCCTGCTTGCTTGGTCTTCGTTCCTGTTATTTCCAACTCATAATTTAAGTCTCAGAAATACTTCAAGATTCCTTTTGGCCTTTCTGATATTTTAAGATTTTAAGATAATATAACTTATACTTACAATAGAAAATTATAAGGATAAAATAATCACTCATTCCACCAACAAGATATAGTTACAAAAACATACATTTTTCTAGTCTTTTTTTCTATAAAGAGAGAAAAAGTGAGACAGTTCCAATTTTGGGTTGCAGGGAGCTGCCCAAATGCATATGCTTAGAAATAAGATTAGGAAGGAGTTATTATAATTCGCCTCGGGACTTCATGGCTTTGTATATGCAGGCCTTTTGCTTGGAATATCTTCTCTCCACTTTTCTCCACACCCATCTCCTATGTGCCTTCAGGTCTAACTGAAACACTGCCATGTGCCTGATGCCTCTGAACTTGTCCAGGCAGATTTCAGTGTCCTCAGTGCACTGTGTCCTTGTTTATTACTGAAACCATCATATCATAATAATTTGTATTTTTGTCCTTGAACTGAAAGTTCCCTGAAGCAGTGACCCTTGTATTTCCTGATATGGCTCAAAACCTGACAGAGTTGTCTGAAGAGGAACCTCCAGAAAGGCAGGGGGAAACCAGTAGAGTTCAAGGGAGTAGAGTGTGTTAAAGAATGGTGAATAGTCTTACATGTTGCTTTGTGTAAATTCTTTGGTAGTAAACCGATGTACTTCTTCAAGTGCATATTGTAGTGAGTCAAAAAATTTGTGAATGAATGAGTGATGAACGAATGAATGCAGAGAGTAAGGTAAGGCCTAGAAAGGGTTCTTTTGCAAGAGTAATTTCACATATATGGTTGGGCATGGACATCAGTTACACAGTTATGTGCCACATAATGACTTTTCGGTCAGTGATGGACCACATACACGACAGTGGTCCCATAAGATTATAACGGAGCTGAAAAACACCTGTTGCCTAGTAATGTAGTGTCATAGTGCAACACATTACTCACATGTTTGTGGTGATGCTGGTGTAAACAAATCGACCATGCTGCCAGTCTTATAAACGCATAGCATCTAAATTACAGTGCATAATACTTGATAATAAACAACTATGTTACTGCTTTATATATTTACTGCACTATATTGTTAATTTTTTTTTTTTTTTTTGAGATGGAGTCTAGCTCTGTCGCCAGGCTGGAGTGCAGTGGCGCAATTTTGGCGCACTGTAACCTCCATCTCCTGGGTTCAAGTGATTCTCCTGCCTCAGCCTCCAGAGTAGCTGGGACTACAGATGCGCACCACCACGCCAAGCTAATTTTTGTATTTTTTTGTAGAGACGGGGTTTCACCATGTTGGCCAGGATGGTCTCCATTACTTGACCTTGTGATCTGCCCATCTTGGCCTCCCAAAGCGCTGGGATTACAGGCGTGAGCCACCGCCCCCAGCCTGTTGTTATTTGAGAGAGTATCTCTCCTTACAGAAAAAGTAAAACAGCCTCAGGCAGGTCCAGGTCCTTCAGGAAGTGGTCCCGAAGAAGGAGATCTTTTAGGAGATGACAGCTCCATGTGTCATTGGAGACAGGATATGCAGGCGCAAGACAGTGACATTGATGATCCTGACCCAGGGCAGCTGTGCAGGCTTTAGGCTAATGTAGTGTGTATTTGTGTCCACAGTACTGTGTATAGTAATGTCAGTAATGTCCTGTTCAGTGTGTGTTCTGTGCAGTGTACTCACTTGCCCCTCTCACTCACTCACTCACTCACTCACTCACTCACTCACTCACTCACTTACCCACCCAGCCATCCAGAGCAGCTTCCAGTCCTGCAAGCTATATTCATGGTAATAGAGGTGCATCAATTTTAAAATCTTTTGTACCATACTTTTACTGTGTAGTTTTTCTGTGTCTAACTGTGCGTAGATACACACATGCTTACTGCAGCATTCCAGTTGCCTGCAGTATTCAGGACAGTCTTGTGCTGGACAGGTGTGTAGCCTAGGGGCAATAGGCTGTACCGTAGAGCCTGGATGTGTAGGAGGCCACACCATCTCGGTTTGTGTAAGTGCACTGTGATGGTTGCACAAAGATGAGATTGCCTTCGCATTTCTCAGAGCTCTTTCTTTGTTAAATGACACATGAAGGTACTGGGTTGAGGAGAGGGAAGGTAGGTAGGAAATGGAGACCAGTGTAGACAACTGTTTCTAGGTCTTTGACCGTGAAGAGGAGACAAGCGTTAGAATTAGGACAGCAACTGAAAGGCATCTTTCCCTGTTATCCCCTCATACTCTGTTTTATATGGAATGCCATTGGGAGGAAACCCCTTCAGGTCCTTTTCTCAGCATAAGAATCACCTGGAGTCCAGGCCCCATGCTCAGGGATTGTGGATTTTAAGCCTAGGGCATCCAGGTAAACCCAATGCAGTTGTTCTCTAGGCCCACTTAGAGAAGTGCTGTCCTGGGAGCTTTGTGGCGTAGGACTTGGGCACCTGTTCCTTCCCCTTCCATGCGCATGTGCAGGGGGCACCCAGTACCGGTAGAAGGGAAGGCCAGCAGCATTGAAAGCGAGGCTCCCTGGCCCTCTGCCTCTCCTTTCCTGTCCGGGTCTCTGTGGCTTGCTTCCCTCAGGCCACTTCTAACTGTGGTCTCCTCTCCGCCCCCTGGTCCTGTAGCTCTTCTGTGTTCTTAATTGGAGTCATCCTCTAGCCTTTCCCTTTCCCTGAGAGAAAGCCTCGCCTTTTACAGATATCACTAGCCAATGGCAGTGCCTCTCTGTTTCTTGCCAGTGCCCCGCCAGTCGCCAGTCGCAGGATCGTTGACATCTGTCATTAAACTGTTTCCAGCTGCTGGCCTTGTTCTCTCAGCTGTTCTTCAACACTGAAGCCTTGTTTCGCCTGCTTCCGGGTTTGGAGCTCTTCCGGAGGCACAAGGGTTTCAGAAGGTTGACTTTTTGCCTTGTCAAGGTTTATAGAAGGAAAGGACAGTGACATTTAAAGTAGTGTGGCTCCGAATGTTAGGAATCATTTTCTGTTACCTAATAACTTCATCTTAGTGGTGATTGTCTAAATTGTATGATATGTTGACAGATTTCTCAAAGCAGTCTCTAGTGATCATTAAACAGCCTGAGTTGTATCCTGAAGAAACATGTATCTGTCCATATATGGAACAAATATTTGTTCCATTCCCTTTGTGTGGAAACTGCCTGCATGCTTCATTCATCACAGTAATGCATTTCCTCAGGAACTTTTAATGTTTCAGGTGTCTGTTGTCATAGCTTTGGAATCGTGATAACATTATTTGACTTGCTTAGAATTATAGTCTAATGGATTTACTACACACTAAACCTTTTAGACAGGCCTTGAAAGGTGAATTTGGTAGGCATTTCACACTTCTGTGACACTCAGATTTTGCTGGTCTCTTGGATACAGTCACAAGTGATATGTAAGCAAAACTGCAAGCTCAGGCATAACAGCCTGCTGGGCTGAGCACGATTGCAGAAGTGAATGACTTTTCACGTTACGCTTAACTCTTTTCTCTCGGGTGCTCAGAGCACAACTTAAAGCATTCTCTCTGAGCCAGGGGAATAGCATCCTGGAATGTAAGCCCTTGAAGATGGAGGTCTGTAAAAGAAATATTCAGTGTTAACTTGGAATTCAGTGAACTTTTTTCATATTAAAGGAAATTTGTCAAGAAAAATAATTGCACAGTTAAATTGTGCTACAGTTGTTTTCATTAAGAAAGTAGAAAGAAGACCCTAACAGTTTAAAAAACAAATGGCCCTCATTGTCTTTATATTGTGCATATAACTCTTTGTTATCTTCAGATTATATGAAACTATTAGTATTATTTTTATATTCTTCTCATCTTTTTTTCTTTTGCCTTGAGAAAGTCACGTTCTTCTCATTGTGTACTTTACATCCAAAATTATTTTGTAACTCTTTTTTTTTTTTTTTTTTTTTTTTGAGACGGAGTCTCGCTCTTTCGCCAGGCTAGAGTACAGTGGCGCGATCTTGGCTCACTGCAACCTCCGCCTCCCGGGTTCAAGCGATTCTCCTGCCTCAGCCTCCTGAGAAGCTGGGATTACAGGAGTATGCCACCACACCCAGCTAATTTTTGCATTTTTAGTAGAGACGGGGTTTCACTATGTTGTCCAGGATGGTCTCGATCTCCTGACCTCGTGATCCACCCGCCTTGGTCTCCCAAAGTGCTGGATTACAGGCGTGAGCCACTGCACTTGGCCCTCTATAACTCTAAATGTTGCTGCATTTTATTATTGCAATGACTAATAAGTCCCTAAACTTGATGCAGTTAGATTTCCCTGTTATTGGATATAGGATATTTACATTTTTGCTCTTGTGAATATACTAGAGTACTATACTGAATGTGTGTGTATATGTGTGTCACCTTTTATATATTTAAGTATTTCCTTAGGGTAAATTCCCAGTAGCTGGATTATTAGAGGGTAGAAATTTTTTTATGGTTTTTGATATAAATTGTCAAATTATTTCCCAAAAAGTTGTATCAGTTCACAGAGCTACCAGTTGGTTTCTCGCAGCCATCTGCTATAGTTTTGTTGGGTTAAAAAACTTTCTATTTTTGCTAGTTCATCTTATGTTGCTTTAATTTACATTTTCCAATAACGATTAAACCTAAACTTTTTTTGTATAAATTTGCTTTTTTGAGTATTTCTTCTTGTGGAGGGACAGATACTTATATATAATTATTAGATTGGCTGCTAGTCCAAGAGCAGTAAGTAGTTAAGGGATCAAGTCAGCAACCAGTGGCCGTAGCCATCTTTGACCAATCAAAGATATAGATTCATATCATCGTGAAAGCTTTGATTCAGAGAAAATAGTTATATATGTACCTAATGGTAGGAAATTGGGGTAGTTGTATTTAGTATATAGAATATTACCTAATTTTTTGGTTAGAGGTTCTAGAAGACAAGACTTTTTCAGTTTGTCTTATGCCCTCTTTTTTTTTGTTGGGGGAGAGGTGGGGGGTCTGGACACTCTAGGAAATTAAAACTGAGTATTTTACTTATTGCATGCATAGAAGTTGATTTTCTTTTCTTTTCTTTCTTTTTTTTTGAGATGGAGTCCTGCTCTGTTGCCCAGGCTGGAGTGCAGTGGCATAATCTTGGCTCAGTGAAACCTTTGCCTCCCAGGTTCAAGCAGTTCTCCTGCCTCAGCCTCCGGAGTAGCTGGGACTACAGGCACCCACGACGATGCCTGGCTAATTTTTAGTAGAGCTGGGGTTTCTCCATGTTGGCTGGGTTGGTCTCAAACTCCTGACCTCAGGTGATCTGCCTGCCTCAGCCTCCCAAAGTGCTGAGATTCCAGGCGTGAGCCAGCGCTCCTGGCAGAAGTTGATTTTCTTAAAAAAGAGAGATAATAGGAAAACAAGCTCAAAAATCTATTTGGGGCCTTATGCAGGATGTTGGCCTTAGCCTGAAGAAATAAAAACTGATGAAGCGCATTGTTAGCAGAGGGATGACTTGATCAGGTTTTTGAAAACGAATGTTCAGCATTGAGGTAACTGAGGCATCTGGATATGCTGGTCTGGGCCCCTGGGAGCCGCAGGAGATAATGGAGATAGAGATTCTATGGGCTGAGACCATTGGTAGGTTTTATGGTGTTGAGGAATACTTAACACTGATTTTTTTTTTGAGCGCTGTTAATTAAATGTTAAAATATAATCGGTTTGCTTTAGAGAAAGGCACGAATGGATTCTGGGGCTCTGGTATGGAAGTTATTTTCGCAGTGTAGGTGCAAGGTGAGGGAACCAGATAGGGAGGGGAGATGGGCGAGGGTCTGTGGAGAGGGGCTGGAGTGAAATGGTTTGAGAGCCATCATGTTTATAAAAGCAATAGAAGGTACGGTGGGGTAATACTTTCTATTTAATGCATTTTTCATTTTATTTCTTTATAACTAATATAAGGCACATTTTACATTTCAGATGAATTTACAACCAATTTTCTGGATTGGACTGATCAGTTCAGTTTGCTGTGTGTTTGCTCAAACAGGTAAAAACAAAAAATTTTCTTAGTTGTCTTTTCATTTCCGTATCTTGTATTGCGCTTTGACCAGTTAGGTTCATATGAGAACCTAAGTCATAATCATGCTGCTCCTTCTGGAAGCCCTGCAATTGTTCCTCTTACTCAGAGAAAGGTCAAGTTCCTTCATGGTCAGGCTCCCCTCACCCCTGCCACCTGGGATGATGGGAGGCAAGTTGGCTGGTGAAGTACTAAAATGCTAGGGATTGAACACACTGCAAGAAGATCTTTTGAGAACATGAGAGTGTGTAAGTGAACAGAAGGCAAAAGCAAGTATATTTAGAAGCAAATGAAATAAATGTGTAGAATGGAGGATTATGAACTGTCCATTATTATCTGCAAAGACTTTCTAGAAGACATTCTCACTCTTTGATAAAAAAGTCTCACAAAATGTTGGCATCATCTAGGAAAGCAGTGAAAATAAAGCTGAAAATGTATTTAACCCTTCTATAAAGATGTGGCTCCACATCTGGAATAATGGATACGCAGTTCTGTCCTCTGAATCTTGAAAAACTACACTGCATAGAGCAGTTCGATATCAGGATTGGAAGGACTTACTACAAGTAGTAAAAATGAAGCAGGAGACCGTAAAAGAAAGTATTGATAAGTTAGTTACATAAAATCAGTAATAACAAAAACATTCTGTGTCAGAACACCGTAAACAAGATGAGAAACTAAACAAAGGTTCCACTTCATTAATGTGTATAGAAATCCAATAAAAACTGAGGAACATAACAAAAAAATTTGCAAAAGACATAACAAAATTATAAAAGAAATGGTTAGTAAAAATATGAAACAATGTAAAACCTGAAATTGATAGGCTTCACCAATGAATTGATATTCTAATTTACACTTATGAAATGAGCAACAGTTTTTTAACATTAAAGCACTTCGGTTGGAAATGTGGTAAAATGGTATTTGTACACTGCCGTTTTGTGGGAGCTTATATTAGTAGTGTTGCCCTATGGTATCCATGGGGAATTGGTTCCAGGACCTCCTTCAGATACCAAAATCCACAAATACTCAAGTCCCTGATATAAAATGGCATGATATTTGCATATAACCTACACATATCCTCCTGTATACTTTAAATCTTCTCTAGATTACCTGTAATACTTAATACAATGTAAATGCTAGGTAAATAGCTTTTACACTGTATTGTTTAGGGAATAATGACAGGAAGAAAAGTATGTACATGTTCAGTACAGACACTTTTTTCCCCCATTTTTGATCCGTGGTTGCTTGAATCCACTGATTTGGAAACCACAGACACAGAGGGTCAACTGTATATTACTTTTGGATAGAAATTAGTGTGTATAGAGAATTTTAGAAATGTTAATATGCTCTTCAACTTAGTAGTTAATTATTCTTTTAGGTTTTATTATAAGGAAATAATCAGATGTGTACTAAGGTTTATATATAAGATCATCAGCATGTGTATGTGCATGTAGTACAGTATGTGTATATGTGTACTTGGGGTGTTTATATGTGCATGTGAGCAAGCATGTGTGAACTGTGCACACATACATTTGGAAACAATCTAAATTTGTCCAGCATTAAATAGAGTACACTTATATTGAAATACATAATCATTAAAAGCTTTTTAATTCTTTTTAAAAAGAATTTGTGATGATAAGAATAAAACACTTAGGATAAGGTATAAAAAACAGTATACAAAACTGTACAACTGTATATATAAAGTGCATCCTCAGTTTCATGTAAATAATACATGTATTAATATATATATGCTTGCTTCCCCTTGCTATTTATCTGCATAGGAAAAAGACTGGAAAGAAATAGGCAAAAATGTTAGCAACAGTCCTCTCTCAGTTAACAGATTCAGTGAGTTGGTTCTTTATGCTCTTGTGTGTTTTCCAGATTTTCTATAAGAAGCATATGCTGGTTTTATAATCTCAGAAAAGATACGTTGGAGACAGTCTGTATTAGCGCTTACCATGTAGAAGGCATACTCTTCCTTAGGTAGATGCAAAGAAACCTAAAACATACTTTGAACATAGAGCCTGAGAAATTCTGGGATTATGGATTAGATGAATATGGACTTTTCAGTTATTTAACATACTGAAAGCAAAGGGAAAGCCTTGAAGATTCTTGTGAGTATGGTAGGAGTTAAATGACAAGAAATAATACTTTGCCCAGTTTTAAGAGAACTCATGACATTTATGACAGTCAAGAATGATAAATTCTGAATTATGTCTTGTCTTTGATACAGAAGACAAGGAAGATAACTTATGTCTCTCTGTGGCTTTCAGTGTCAAGGTGATCCAAAATCACGGTCCCAAATTTTGCATTGTTCTCACCGGTTTGTGGGAGCTAAAAATTAAAACAATTGAACTCATGAAGATAGTAGAAGGATGGTTACCAGAGGCTGGGAAGGGTAGTGAGAAGGTGGGGAGGAAGTCGGGAGTGTTAATGGGTACAAAAAAATAGAAAGAATAAGTATGACCTAGTATTTGGTAGCACAACAGGGTGACTGTAGTCAATAATAATATAGTTGCATATTTTAAAATAACTAAAAGAGTATAATTGGATTCTTTGTAACACAAAGGATAAAGGCCTGAGGGGATGAATACCCCATTTACCATTATATGACTGTTATGCATTGTATGCCTGTATCAAAATATCTCATGTACCCCATACATGTATACACCTATTTACCCACAAAAATTAAAAATTAAATTAAAAAATCCTGCTCTCTTTGGGGAAGGTCTAGTTTAGATGGTAACTAGGTCATAGTATTAATATTTAACATATGTATTGCATTGTCATTGTGATTCTGATTTTTCATTATTTTCTCTCTGACACTTCACATAAAATGTTCTGTTCTTTCTTCTTTCTGACAGATGAAAATAGATGTTTAAAAGCAAATGCCAAATCATGTGGAGAATGTATACAAGCAGGGCCAAATTGTGGGTGGTGCACAAATTCAGTAAGTAAGGTTGCTCAAGTCCTTTCCATTTGTTCTCTGGTCATTTAGTGTGGCTCAGTGCTGTATCCTTCAGAAGCACATATTAATTTTTATGTAAATCATAAAATGAATAACCTAATGGTTTGGAGCTATGTGGTTCAACACAGTAGCCACTAGGCAGATGTGGCTATTGAGCACTTTTGTACAAATTAGAATTGCTCTAAGTTTCAAAGATATACAAGATTTCAAAGACTTAGTATTAAATAAATAATAATGGTGAAATGATAATTTTTGTATATTTAAAAATAATGTTATAACAGTGTTAAAATTTTCTCTTTTTCTTTTTTTAGTGTGGCTACTAAACAATTTTAAAATACATATATTTGTAGCTCATCTTTGTGGCACATATTAGATTTTTATGGGAGAACCTTCAAAAAAATCCTAGTCATTTAGTTTGACTGTTTCAGATTTCCCCTTTTTTGATGGGGAGGTATAAATTAACCTTCTTAATTATATTTGAGTTAAACTACTGGAATTGATTTGCATCCCAATATAAGCTTATTGAGGTTAATTAGGGTTTGGATTTTATTCACTTTTGTCATCTCTATACTTTTGCTAATATGGTACCTTCCACAAAGCCTACTAAATGTTCAGTGAGTCAATGAATGAATGAATGAATATATCAAAAGAGAAGGTAAGGAGAAGTCATTTTGAGGTTGTATAGTTTATTCACAGAATGAATAACTAATATCAGAAGATCAAGGGGTTACTGATTTTGTTTTCATGCAGGCATTTGGGCCCAAGTTTCAAGTGCCTATTTTTGTATGCCTAAGTGGTCAAGTGTCAGATATGTCGTATGGTTTGACCACATGAAAGAAAAAATGAGAGGTTTTGTTGTTTTTCAAAAATTTTCTAATGGTGTTTTCTAAAAGTGGTGTGTTGGGATTACATTGGCAACAGTGGAGGAAATATGGAGTGTTGTGAGTTTGTCTCAGGCAAGGCTTATGTAACTGAAGCTCTTGGTTTTCATATCTGAAAATGAGGATGATAATATCCGCTTTATCTATTGTTACAATAATTAGAATTGATGAACTTAAAGCAGTTTCACTTAAAAACTTCTAAATAAGTGGTAGCTGCTATTATTGTTAACATATCCATTTTATGGGGACTACAGTTTATCTGTAGTTAAGGATTATCTTAGCCTTTGAGCTTTGGAGCATAATCCTTAAAATTTTAAAGGCTTTCTGAATATATTCAGTGAAATTGTATTTGGGTGTCATGATTGTAAATTTCGTGGATTGATTAGTATTTAGAAATGTGTAATTCACTAGGATCTTGTGCTTTGGTAGGTAGTAGTTTAGGTTTAATAAATAGTGCAGCTTTGAATTATCTGATTCTTGGTATTCCCTTCCAGTTGTTGATTACATAAATACTCTCATTAGTATGATGTTTCTCTTAAAAAATCTTATGTAAAAACTATTGTGTATTCTTTAAATTTAAATATCTTCACTTACTGTTACTTTATACAGCACCGTTAAATTGATATTTGATAAATAAATACCATATATAATGTCACTGTTTCCCCCACATTTTCACATTTCTTGAAACACCTTTATTCACAGTCTTTATATAGATCTTTAACAGCAGTGTTTTTGAATTCACTAAGGCACTTTTCAGTTATATGATTAAATTTTTATTTCTAAGTTGTTTGATGTATACCACATTTAAAATCTCTGTCATTACTAGAAATTTTACTACTGCAAATATCCATTCACCTGCCATTAAGAACTTTTTTTCCTTTTTTGAAATTTACCTGCCATTAGGACCTTTTACCCTTGTCATATACTTACTCCTTTTACCCTTGTCATATACTTACTATTTTGCTTTTTAAAAGTTTTTTAAAAACTTATTTACAATAATAGCTAATACTTAAAGTTTTTTCAAACCTGTGGGAATACTTATTTAATCGGTGCTAAATTTCGTGTTGTCCTTTTAAAAAATGCAATAATTAATTGAGATGTTTTTAAGCTCGTCTGTTTTCCCTAAACATCGGGTTGTTCAGCATATTGCGATGGGGAGAGTGCCACATAATATGAGACGCTTTGTAAGGACTTTTCAAAGGGAAATTTTGGAGAAATGATCTGATATTTGGGTGTATGTATACATTATTAGTAGCCATTAACCATGCTCAATTAGTGATTTCACTAAAGAAATTGCTTTTGATTAGATACTCTGAATTACAAGATAGAGCATTTACTGTGTACACTTGGGTCAGTTCTGGGAAAGGTATTACTTTCTTGGAAATGATTGTTTTTTAACAAGAACACTTACCACAGTTTGGATGAAGGGAGCATTTTGTTTAAAAGCCAGAATTGGGGTACATTAGATGTGATTTGATGTTTTGCAATTTAATTGCTTATTTGCAATTATTATGTAAAAAGGTTTGACCATTACAATTTTCATTTATACCTATATTTTATATGTCATTTAGACATTTTTACAGGAAGGAATGCCTACTTCTGCACGATGTGATGATTTAGAAGCCTTAAAAAAGAAGGGTTGCCCTCCAGATGACATAGAAAATCCCAGAGGCTCCAAAGATATAAAGAAAAATAAAAATGTAACCAACCGTAGCAAAGGAACAGCAGAGAAGCTCAAGCCAGAGGATATTACTCAGATCCAACCACAGCAGTTGGTTTTGCGATTAAGATCAGGTATGGAAGCCCAACTCTGTGAATACCTGCGTGTTTACTTGAGGCATTCGACACCAGCTTTATGCAAACTCTGACCAGTTTCTGTTGAAGGCTCGTTTTTACATGTGGACTGGCACTCAAAAATGTGGAATTGTTTAAATTTTAGAAAATTTTTGCAGATATAACAATTGTAAGACATATTTACTTGGAATAATATTAAATGTTGCCTAATATTCAAAGTAAATTTTGTTAAAGATTCAGAAAGTATTAATTAGCTTTAGTGAGTTTTAAAAATGAAAGTGTTCATCCTCTGGTCTAATTACATAATATATTATAAAAGCAACATTTTAACCTGTTCTTTTCCTTTGTATTTGTTTAGTATTATTAAACTGTTAAGGTTTTTGTAATTATGTCTGTTAGTCCCACATCTAAACATGAAGGAAAAAACAAGCCCTCATCCTCGCTTTTCTGGTTTCCGACCTTTCTTGTCAGGAGAATGGTAGAGTGGCCCTGTCCCCTGACTTCCCTCCCGGCCCCTCCTCAACCAGGTCAGCCCTCTCCTCCTCATCCTGCTCTAGCAAAGCTCCACCATCGCCTTCAGCCCGCAGACCCAGGGGACCCTTGTCAGGATTTTTTTTAACTCTTCTGTACCAAGTAACACTTTGTACTTTTTGAAATGCTCTGTCCTTGATCAATGATACCACTCCTCGGTTTTTCTTTGTGTCTCTTACCATTGCCTTCCAGGCCTCTTTTTGTGTCTTTTTTCTTCCTCCCTTTTTGCAGTCCACCTAAATGTCAGTTTTCCTCTCGTGGCTTTAAAACCCAATTGTATGCTGCAGCAACACAGACTTTTCTTGAGCTCCAAACCCATTTCTCCAATTGCCTATTAGAAATCTATATAGAGAAAACTACAAGTTAAAATTTTAATTACATTTTCATCCAAACCTCTCTCCTGTATTTCCTAAGTAAATTACATTAACGTCTCTTGTATCTCTCTCTTCTCCTCCTTCATCATCTCTCTCTGGGTTTCTTTTGTAGATTAGCTAGTCTCTTTGCCTCATAATGATAATAAAAATAAAATAATAAATAATAAATAATAATAAATAAATAATTATTTTTAAAGCTGTCTGCCAGGCTTTCTAAAGTAAAGATCGGATCATGTTATTCACTTGCAGGGAGTGGCATCCCACTACACACAGAACAGAGTTCACAACTTCAGTGTCTAAAAAGTCAGTTGTACCCTATCACGTGTTCTGCCTTGCCCTCTCCAGACTAATTTATGGTGTTCTATTTGTTTTCTTCTCTTATAAACTGACTTTTTGTCTGTTTTGTCCACTGTGGATTGGGAATATCTTTTTTATCTTTGCATCCTGAAGGCCTGGTGTTTAAAGTATTTGTTGAATGAAACTGAATACATACCCATTGAGTTACTTATGGAATTCCCAGGTTTTTGTAAAAATTATGACAACATGTTTTATTTTATTGTGTTTACCGTGTAAACCACATTTATTTGGTTTTTCTCGTTTGCGTTTGATTGCCAACAGGCAAGTTTCATTTTCTAATCTCTTGTCTAATTAGGGGAGCCACAGACATTTACATTAAAATTCAAGAGAGCTGAAGACTATCCCATTGACCTCTACTACCTTATGGACCTGTCTTACTCAATGAAAGACGATTTGGAGAATGTAAAAAGTCTTGGAACAGATCTGATGAATGAAATGAGGAGGATTACTTCGGACTTCAGAATTGGTAGGAATGTTGGGAACATTGACCATTTTCATTATAAAGTCTTGGCAATTCTCAAATGTTGTTTTATATTTTATTCCTTTGTTACTCACAACATACTTGTGAGATAAACAAGCCAGTTTTTTAGCCTTTTCTGAGTGGAAGTTGATATTCCAGTCACACGTTTAATAATCTTTTCTGCCACCTTGTTCCTCTGTCACTGGATGCTACTGTTTGACACAGATTGTACCTCATAGATAATGACTTGCATGCTTATTTTCATACTAACTTGATCATTTATCTTATGACTTACTTTATTTTATTTTTAAGAGTTTCACTCTTGTCGCCCAGACTGGAGTGCAGTGGTGTGATCTCGGCTCACTGCAACCTCCGCTTCCCGGGTTCAAGTGATTTTCCTGCCACAGCCTCCCGAGTAGCTGGGATTACAGGCATCTGCCACCACCCCCAACTAATTTTTTGTATTTTTAGTAGAGATGGGGGTTTCACCATGTTGGCCAGGCTGGTCTCGAACTCCTGACCTCAGGTAATCCAGCTGCCTTGGCCTCCCAGAGTATTGGGACTACAGGCGTGAGCCACCATGCCTGGCCCTTATGACTTATTTTATAAACATGTGTTGAATACCCAGATTTTATCTAATTGCTAATTAGTATGTCTGCACCTGCCCGTACAGCCTGATCTCATCTTAGACCTGGATTTTTCATATGATGATGATCTGCTTTCCAAACCTTATTTTTCCCATTTCATGCATCCCCAGCTTAACCTCTTTTTTGCCTGCTTCTCTCCACTCCTGTTGCTCTAGAGGTTTAGCAACAGAATATTAGAAAGATTTGACAGTTATGAGGCCTAAGAGCTGCCTTTCAAAAATTAGCCCTATTTTAGTGGAAACATTTAAAAATAGCACTTGCTTAAAATGTTCTTTTATTCTGTAAGCATAATTCAAGGACCATGGCATTAGGGAGCTCCTATCAAATTAGTGTTTTTTAAAATGGCCAGAATTCTAGAATATTTGTTTATTCATTTGTTCAGCATGTCATTATTGAGAGCTGGTGTGCCAAGAAAATGAATGTGAGTTATTTTTAAAGTAGGGAGGCAAAATAAAAAGATTGTCTTAGGTCTTAGTCCATTTGTGCTGCTTTAAGAAAATACTATAAACTGGGTGGCTTATGAACAACAGAAATTTATTTCTCACAGCTCTGGAGGTGAGAAGTCCAAGATCCAGGCAGATTGAGCATCTGGTGAGGTCCCTCTTCTGGGTTCATAGATGATACCTTCTTGCGATGTACTCACATAGCAGCAGGGAGACAGCAGCTCTCTGGGGCTTCTTTGATGAGGTCACTGTAGGAGTCTATTCTTACGTTGCTATAAAGACATATCTGACACTGGGTAATTTATGAAGAAAAGAGGTTTAATTGGTTTACGGTCCTGCAAGCTCTACAGGAAGCATGGCGCTAGCATCAGCAAGGCCTCTGGGGAGGCCTCAGGAAGCTTCCAATCGTGGCAGAAGGCAAAGTGGGGAGCAGGCTTCTCACATGGTGGGAGCAGGAGCAAGAGTTGGGGAGAGATGCCACACAATTTTAAATAACAGATCTCATGAGAACTCACTCACTGTGGTCAGAATAGCACCAAGCCATGAGGGATTGATCTGCCCCCATGATCGAAATACCTTCCACCAGGCCGTACCTTCAACATTGGGGATCACATTTTAACATGAGACTTGGGCGGGGACAGATACCCAAACTGTATCAGTTACTAATCCCATTCATGAGGGCTCTGCCCTCATGATCTAATCACCTTCCAAAGGAACCACTTCCTAATACCATCATGTTGGGAATTAGGTTTTCAATGTAGGAATTTTGGGGTAACACAGACATTCAGTCCATAGTAACCTACATTTGGTAACATAGATGAATTTTTTAAACAATGCAAATCTCTGTCTTTCCATCTATCCATCCATTCATTCATTTATGTACCATTTTTTTCTTGGCAGGATTTGGCTCATTTGTGGAAAAGACTGTGATGCCTTACATTAGCACAACACCAGCTAAGCTCAGGAACCCTTGCACAAGTGAACAGAACTGCACCAGCCCATTTAGCTACAAAAATGTGCTCAGTCTTACTAATAAAGGAGAAGTATTTAATGAACTTGTTGGAAAACAGCGCATATCTGGAAATTTGGATTCTCCAGAAGGTGGTTTCGATGCCATCATGCAAGTTGCAGTTTGTGGAGTAAGCGCATTCATTTCCTATCAGGGGATATTGTTTCTATTATGTGTGTGAATTTTAAGTGTGATTTTACTATGATAATAGAAAAATTGACCTTAATTTTCATAGATTTGATTATCTTAGAGAAGTAATTTTAAGTAAACCCTTAAATTGCCTGTATACATAAAGTGCCTTTATAAAAGCATATTTAATCTTTATGCAAACCACACAGTTAGTTTATTCATGCGGGCTTTTAAAAGACAGAATGCTAACCATTTGAAACAGCGGGGCAACCTCTCTGTACTGTAGCTGGTGGTCTGGATTTTAGAAAAGCCCATGTGTCCTAACTTTCTGGCTTTGTACTAGAGATAGAATTGATGTTATTATCTGAGGCATCACCAGGAACCTTGAAATTGCTCAAAGGGAGAGTGTCTTGTATCATTTTCCTTTGGTCAGTTTTCTTCTCACTGTCTTTGAAAGACACATCTTTCTCCTGTGTCTTAGTAATTCAAAAAGAGAGAACTTTTTAAGCTCTAGTTTTTAACCTATATGAATAGATGTATTTTGAGAAGTGATACAATATTTGTAATTTTAATTGTAAGATTTTCAGTAGCAAGCCCATCCCTATTGGTTCAATAATTTGTATTTTATGATCCATGTAGCAGCTATGTATTTTGAGATGACACTTTAATGATGTGGCTGAGGCTGAAACTAGAAGACATTGTCATGTCAAGTTTGTCCTGCGTACCTACTCTTGTCTCATTTTTGTTCCCTCCAGTGCCCCCATTCTCTAGATGACCTTCTTTGATTTTAGAGGCCTCTTAGTGGTTATTTTTCAGTCAATTTTTGCTAAGGTGCTAATTGATGCCCAAAATAATAAGTGAAGGAATATGGATAGTAATTAAGAATTTTTCTATCACCACTGATGCTGGGCAATTTACTCAGCCTCTCCAGGGCTGTTTTCTTCTCTTTAAGAAGGGATCATGATAGTATCTACCTCATAGGGCTCTTGTGAAGTTAAAATGCATCAATCTCTATAAAGTACCAATGAGCATTCAGCAAATACTAATTCCTATATTGTTATTACTTTCGACTTTTCACTAGAGTGTTTGCAATTTAAGGTTAGTCCCTGCTGTTATAGCCGAAGCAAGTAGCATTCCAGGTAGTACCTAGCCTTACACCTCTTTTCTTACTAGCCATTGATGTGTGAGCCTGTTAGCAGCTCGTTGTGGGGAGGGCATTCTCTGGGCTGCCTCTAACTAGGCCTTAACCTGTGGTATTAAACAAGCCATAACACCCTTGATTGTGGCTGTTTTTCTGTGTTGGTCATGCTGATCCACTCCTCTAGATGCAAAAGAATCAGACATTCCACTTTTGAAAGATTGCCAGTATTAATAAATGTGATTCCCACCTTAAAGTATTTTACTGTCTTATGAAGATCTAAACAGACGTATTAAATAAATTAACGAAAGCAGGTAAATTCCTATAGTCCTATGATTTTATAATTATAAATTACCATAGTGACAAGAAGATTTTACAGTTACTTTAGATTCTTTATTGGAAAGGGCAAGGATAAAGTAAATGAGTGCATAAACAGTACTGATTGAGGAGTTAGAATGGGTGAAATTATCCTTAAACAAGATACTTATTTCTGTTATAAAAAAAGGAAGCCTCATATGGTGGGCTGATAAAGAAGGTGCATGGCATAGAACATAGAGCAGAGATGGGTGGATGGGGACAAGACAGCAGCAGTGGGGTAAAGTAAGGATAGGCTCAGACACTTTCATTTATTCAGCAAATGCTCATCAAGGGCTTACTGCTTGCCAAGCAGTGTGCTGGCTTGCTAGCTGCTGGAGATATGATGATAAGCAGAACTAAACCAAACCAAACAAAACAAAAAAACAGTTTTTAAAAAGAACTGAGAGATTGAGAGATACGGATGGTCAGGCAAGATATCGTTGTACATGGGATGGAAGAGCTTCATTCAGTGGGCTTTGTGTGTTTCTCAGCAAGATAATTACCATTGTATAAAGAGAAGACACAGAAAATACAGAATTAGGTTAAAAATACAATGGTGGCCTATATGAAAATTAAAGGATTTTTGTTGAATTACTGTGAATAGTGTTTTAAAATTGAAATCCTTTTCTTTTCAAGTCACTGATTGGCTGGAGGAATGTTACACGGCTGCTGGTGTTTTCCACAGATGCCGGGTTTCACTTTGCTGGAGATGGGAAACTTGGTGGCATTGTTTTACCAAATGATGGACAATGTCACCTGGAAAATAATATGTACACAATGAGCCATTATTATGTAAGTGCCTGGTTCCTTACATAGTGAATGTGTTTATGTTGGATTTTAATGTTTAATACTAAGAGCTTGTGGGTGACTGGCTTGGGGTTTCTCAGGGTTTGAGGTTTTGCTGTTTTGGTAAGTAGGGGTCCTGATTGAAAGTGCAGGAAAGCTAGTGTTGCTGTTTGTGAAGATGCAGCTTTGTATTTGCTTCCTTCTGCTCAGACAAGGGCCTCACTGGGGTGGGAAAGGGATGCCCAGATGCCACTTTCACTCTTTGCCTCAACTCCCCGCCCACAGCATTTGGTAGCACAGTCAGTACTCTTTCTAAATAAATAATTTATCTAGTCTCATACTCTTTGTTTTATACGATTTTTAAAAGCAGTCACTCTGCCTTTATTGAAAATAAATATTGGCAAAGCATTCAAGTTCTAGAAGAAATCCAAATGGTAAATCTTGGTCTTTTTCTTAAGTTGTAGATAATAGAATATTTAATTACTGACTATTCTTTAATTTCATTGTCCTTATATTTAATATACATAGATAAACTTACTATTTAAAACCTTTTGAATATGGAATTTTTTATTCATACATGAAAGTAAAGAGAAGAGGATTAGCAATTCATGTATACACACGACTCACTTCAGCAGTTTATATTTGATACTGTTATTTGAAAGCAGTCTTGTAATCTAGTTATATGTATGCAACTAGATGTAATCTAGCTATATATGGATTATATATGTAATCTAGTTATCTAAAGCAGTCTTGTAATCGAGTTATGTGTAATCTTGCATGTATAACTAGATTGAAAAATTAGAAGAGATTATAAGGGTGTATTTAAATACTAAATTATATTACTTGATTTCTTAGGATTATCCTTCTATTGCTCACCTTGTCCAGAAACTGAGTGAAAATAATATTCAGACAATTTTTGCAGTTACTGAAGAATTTCAGCCTGTTTACAAGGTAAATGTGTGAGATAAAAAGAACAAGATTCTAAACATTTTTGATTGTTAGAGGCAAATCATGTCTGAATTGAAATGTGGGAAAATGCCACCAGATAGGCAAACCGAATTTTACAAAAGTGGTTTATATTAATTTTTAATCACATATTATAAAACTGGTTTCTAGGTTTGACTCCTAAAGTTAGTTAGGAGGAAACATGGGAACTGGCATTTAAAGATAAAAGTTGCTCAGTGGATCCTAATTGGTTGAATGAATAGCAGTTGTATTTTACGTGTTTTATCTTTTAATTGCAGGAGCTGAAAAACTTGATCCCTAAGTCAGCAGTAGGAACATTATCTGCAAATTCTAGCAATGTAATTCAGTTGATCATTGATGCATACAATGTGAGTACATCTTAAATAAGATCAGTTTTGGACAATACCCTGTTGAGAATACTTTGTACAAAGAAAGTAAAACTTCCTTCATACACACTTTAGCGAGCCCAAAGTACTACAGAAAAACTTAAATTCTGTATGTATCTAGAGGAAAAACTTTATACATATTGTCTTACAAAAGCAAGATTCATGGCCTAAACAAAGTGAAAATGTGATAAAGGCATGTGGGGAGTATTTCCAAATAACTGTTTGTTTATCATTAAGGAATAGATCTCCTTGTTAGAAAGCAATTGTAAAACATAACTTACATTTAAACTTACAGGATTTCTCCAATCTTTTTCCTCCCCAAAATATCCTTTATAGAGTCATCTATTCTGATGAATTGTGCTAGAAAAGTTTTTTTTTTTGCCAATTCTTCTCTTCCCATATATTCAGAGGATATGGGTTTCTATTTCAGGAGGTACACACTCATATATACGTATACCATAAAATATATAAAAATGTAAATATACATGTGATTTGCCTATTTCAAAAAGATTTATAGTGTTGTTTTCCCCTCACAGATGGGAGGAAGTTGAATTGAAATTAAAGAGGAATTGGCTTATCCTTTTTGAGCATAATTCAGTGTACTTTAATCACACCGAGTTAGCCTTCATTAATAATCATTTAAATAATCTGAAGGCGGTTGTAATTTGGTAGGTAACCCTTGTGTGTCTCGTGCACCACTTTCAGCCCCCATCCCCCTAACCCTTTGGCAGCTTGAATTTTAGACATTTTTACTTCATGTCATGGGGGTACCATAACGCTTTGGAAAGGCCAGCCTACCATATGAGGCTTCCCTTTTTTATGGGGTACCATAATGGTTTGGAAAGGCCTGACTTGGAGGGGTTTTTATAAAGGTTTTTAATATTTTACTTGTTCCACAGCTTTTCCCATTCTCCCCTGTCTTAGATAATTTTCCTAACTCTTGTTCTTTCAGGGGTGTGAACAAGAGATAGCTTGCCATTGTACCCTTCTCCATTTGTCCTGAATAGTCTCATATGTTAAACAAGCCCTGGCTTGAATCCTTCCTTCTTGGGGGATTTTGTTTTTTTTTTTTTTTGGCTGGGCTACAATGGTTCCTTAAGCAAATTTGTTCCTAGACTGCATAGTTGATTGTTTACCCTAGTCCATAGTTAGCTGGAGAGGTAGGACTACAGAAATGCCATTTTGCCGATGGGGAAGACAGCATTTATTTCGTTTTTTTTTGGGGGGTTTCTGTTTTTGTTTTTGTTTTTGTTTTTTAGATGGAGTCGCACTCTGTTGCTCAGGCTGGAGTGCAGTGGTGTGATCTTGGCTCACTGCAACCCCTGCCTCCCGGGTTCAGGCGATTCTTCTGTCTCAGCCTCCCGAGTAGCTGGGATTACAGGTGCACACTGCCATGCTTGGATAAATTTTTTTTTTTTTTTGTATTTTAGCGGAGATGGGGTTTCACTGTGTTGGCCAGGCTGGTCTCCAACTCCTGAGCTCAGGCAGTCCACCTACCTTGGCCTCCCAAAGTGCTGGGATTACAGGTGTGAGCTACCACACCCGGCCTATTCCACATTTTTAAGACTCCTCCTAATTAGTAACAGCCCTCTGCACTGTGTGATCCTGAGTATTTTAACTCAGTGATTAAAACAGGAATACTCTTTTCAATTGTGTATTTTATTTTAAAGATTTGATCCTTATTAATTAAAACCTGTTTCTCTGGCCTCTGTGTTTTCTAGTTACTCAATTGGATTTGGCTTGTAGATACTTTATTGAAATATATTTTTTTCTGAGCAGTTTATCCATTGGTTTTATGCATTCAAGTAGCATTTTGTTTGACTTTTCCTGTGTATAATTAGGCATTCTTTTAGTCCCTTTCCTCAGAAGTCATTTTGGAAAACGGCAAATTGTCAGAAGGCGTAACAATAAGTTACAAATCTTACTGCAAGAACGGGGTGAATGGAACAGGGGAAAATGGAAGAAAATGTTCCAATATTTCCATTGGAGATGAGGTATGTTGTATAAAGCATTTTCTGTAGAAAACATTGGTTATTTATAAGCAAATTTAGTTTATAGTTTGAGAAACATTAAAATAAGTGAGCAACTTTTTGAAATATTTTTTAGTAGATTTAAATTGTTTAGTTGGTTGTTAATCTTTTTTTTCCCTTCAAGGTTCAATTTGAAATTAGCATAACTTCAAATAAGTGTCCAAAAAAGGATTCTGACAGCTTTAAAATTAGGCCTCTGGGCTTTACGGAGGAAGTAGAGGTTATTCTTCAGTACATCTGTGAATGTGAATGCCAAAGCGAAGGCATCCCTGAAAGTCCCAAGTGTCATGAAGGAAATGGGACATTTGAGTGTGGCGCGTGCAGGTAAGCTGGGTGTTGTCAGACAGTGACAGAGCTACATTGGTTTAGAGAGTATAGGCAGGTCATATTTTGGGACATCCAGAGAATATCTCTCTATTTGGAGCAAATTATTTTTTCCAACCACGGTTGCTCACCACAAGATCAGTTTGATGATCTTGTGTGTGATATTTATAGAAAGTTCCTTCCTGCCTTTTTTTCTTAAAGTGATTACTCTTTAAAATAAAAGATTTTATAGCCATGAAAGAAGTATATTCAACAAATTGTTAAGGTAGCGTTTCTCTCATGTGAGAGCAATCAATTTTCTAGAACAAAATAAGCTTGTGTAAAATAACGTTTATAGGAAAATGTTTTGGAAAAACATCAAACCGATGATGGCGATTTCGTCTGGGAAATGGAATTATGAAGCAGTAGAAGATGTTTGTCTTGTACTACATGTACTTCTGCATTGTTGGAATAATTTTTAAAAAATAAATATGTGTTGTAAAATACAAAAGAGAAAATGGTATTTTCAGTATGTAGAATCTAGTACTAAGAAAACTAACAAAATTACTTCAGATTTTATTTTCACACTGTGGTTACTTTTTGTAATTGAAAATGAAAAACTGAGTATACATTGAATACCGCTTTCTCTGTAAAAGAATAGGAAGAGGGAAGAGTGTTTAATCCAGTGTCAGCCCCAAAAGACTAGGCTTAGAAGGCTATTGACTATGAAAGAAATATATGGCTTTAGCTCACTATCAATTTTTAATTGTCTGTGCTAAGTAACAATTTAAATGTTAGAGTTTCTTTATCTTCCATGTTGTACATATCCTGTTTTAATCATGCAGGTCCATTTTTAGTAAAATGTCATTTAACCAAAAAGATTATCTTGAAAATACTTTGCCTTTCTTTCCTTTATATTTTTACCAGATACAGAATCAGTGCAGTCAGTGTCCATGAGCATTATGTGTTCTAAAAATACACAGGGAACCTGAAAAGTCTGCACATGTAGGATATATTTATTTTTAAATAGTATACTAGTTATATTTTAAGTGGTATACACAGTATGTTTTTTTTCAACTTCCATACACTTTTTTGCATGTGTTTATTGTATTTTTTTAGGTTAACAGACCATTGCTTTAAATTTAGACAGTTCACCTGGAATAGTAAATGTAATAGCATACCATTTGAAAATGTAACTAACGTGCTCTTTAAAATTAAGTTTATTCTGCCTTTCCACATGTGTCATTCACTATTCATTGCTAGATTACATTTTTGTCTTGACCAAAATGGTTACTTTCCTGAAGAAATTTTTTTCCTAGACTCTTGCATATATTCCATATGAACTTGAGTGGCTGGAATGTACATGTGCGCCTGTGTATGTTTGTCCCTGCTTGCACATGTGTGTACACTTTACTACACGACTGTGACTTGTGGCATGGACACTCCCACCTAACAGATTAGGAGCTTGAAGAGATTTTTTATAGTTTTATTTTCTTTCCCAGTTTTTCCCTTTTAAATTATTATTATTATTATTCCCTCCAAGATGATTCTTCTTCTTTTTTATTATACTTTAATTTCTAGGGTACATGTGCAAAACGTGCAGGTTTGTTCCATATGTATACATGTGACATGTTGGTGTGCTGCACCCATTAACTCGTCATTTACATTAGGTATATCTCCTAATGCTATCCCTGCCCCCTACCCCCACCTTATGACAGGCCCCAGTGTGTGATGTTCCCCACCCTGTGTCCAAGTGTTCTCATTGTTCAGTTCCCACCTATGAGTGAGAAGGTGCAGTGTTTGGTTTTCTGTCCTTGCGATAGTTTTCTCAGAATGATGGTTTCCAGCTTCATCCATGTCCCTACAAAGGACGTGAACTCATCATTTTTTATGGCTGCATAGTATTCCATGTTGTATATGTGCCACATTTTCTTAATCCAGTCTATCATTGATGGACATTTGGGTTGGTTCCAAGTCTTTGCTATTGTGAATAGTGCCGCAGTAAACATACGTGTGCACGTGTCTTTATAGCAGCATGATTTATAATTCTTTGGGTATATACCCAGTAATGGGATGGCTGGGTCAAATGGTATTTCTAGTCCTAGATCCTTGAGGAATCGCTACACTGTCTTCCACAATGGTTGAACTAGTTTACAGTCCCACCAGCAGTGTAAAAGTGTACCTATTTCTCCACATCCTCTCCAGCACCTGTTGTTTTCCTGACTTTTTAATGATCGCCATTCTAACTGGTGTGAGATGGTATCTCATTGTGGTTTTGATTTGCATTTCTCTGATGGCCAGTGATGATGAGCATTTTTTCATGTGTCTGTTGGCTGCATAAATGTCTCCTTTTGAGAAGTGTCTGTTCATATCCTTCTCCCACTTTTTGGTGGGGTTGTTTGATTTTTTCTTGTAAATTTGTTGGAGTTCTTTGTAGATTCTGGATATTAGCCCTTTGTCAGATGGGTAGATTGTAAAAATTGTGTCCCATTCTGTAGGTTGCCTGTTCACTCTGATGGCAGTTTCTTTTGCTGTGCAGAAGCTCTTTAGTTTAATTAGATCCCATTTGTCAATTTTGGCTTTTGTTGCCATTGCTTTTGGTGTTTTAGTCATGAAGTCCTTGCCTATGCCTATGTCCTGAATGGTATTGCCTAGATTTTCTTCTGAGGTTTTTATGGTTTTAGGTCTGACATCTAAGTCTTTAATCCATCTTGAATTAATTTTTGTATAAGGTGTAAGGAAGGGATCCAGTTTCAGCTTTCTCCATATGGCTAGCCAGTTTTCCCAGCACCATTTATTAAATAGGGAATCCTTTCCCCATTTCTTGTTTTTGTCAGGTTTGTCAAAGATCAGATGGTTGTAGATGTGTGGTATTATTTCTGAGGGCTCTGTTCTGTTCCATAGGTCTATATCTCTGTTTTGGTACCAGTACCATGCTGTTTTGGTTACTGTAGCCTTGTAGTATAGTTTGAAGTCAGGTAGCGTGATGCCTCCAGCTTTGTTCTTTTGGCTTAGGATTGTCTTGGCAATGCAGGCTCTTTTTTGGTTCCATATGAACTTTAAAGTAGTTTTTTCCAATTCTATGAAGAAAGTCATTGGTAGCTTGATGGGGATGGCATTGAATCTCTAAATTACCTTGGGCAGTATGGCCATTTTCACGATATTGATTCTTCCTATCCATGAGCATGGAATGTTCTTCCATTTGTTTGAGTCCTCTTTTATTTCGTTGAGCAGTGGTTTGTAGTTCTTCTTGAAGAGGTCCTTCACATCCCTTGTAGGTTGTATTCCTAGGTATTTTATTCTCTTTGAAGCAGTTATGAATGGGAGTTCACCCATAATTTGGCTCTCTGTTTGTCTGTTATTGGTGTACAGGAATGCCTGTGATTTTTGCACATTGATTTTTGTATCCTGAGACTTTGCTGAAGTTGCTTATCAGCTTAAGGAGATTTTGGGCTGAGACGATGGGGTTTTCTAAATATACAATCATGTCATCTGCAAACAGGGACAATTTGATTTCCTCTTTTCCTAATTAACTGATGGGCTTCCCTTTGTGGGAATATTGTTATGTGTTATTTCTTTCTCCTGCCTGATTGCCCTGGCCAGAACTTCCAACACTGTGTTGAATAGGAGTGGTGAGAGAGGGCATCCCTGTCTTGTGCCAGTTTTCAAAGGGAATGCTTCCAGTTTTTGCCCATTCAGTATGATATTGGCTGTGGGTTGATCATAAATAGCTCTTATTATTTTGAGACACATCCCATCAATACCTAGTTTATTGAGAGTTTTTAGCATGAAGGGCTGTTGAATTTTGTCGAACACCTTTTCTGCATTTATTGAGATAATCATGTGTTTTTTGTCTTAGGTTCTGTTTATATGATGGATTACGTTTATTGATTGCCTGTGTTGAACCAGTCTTGCCCAGGGATGAAGCCAACTTGATTGTGGTGGATAAGCTTTTTGATGTGCTGCTGGATTTGGTTTGCCAGTATTTTACTGAGGATTTTTGCATCGATGTTCATCAGGGATATTGGTCTAAAATTCTCTTTCTTTGTTGTGTCTCTGCCAGGCTTTGGTATCAGGATGATGCTGGCCTCATAACGTGAGTTAGGGAGGATTCCCTCTTTTTCTATTGATTGGAATAGTTTCAGAAGGAATGGTACCAGCTTCTGTTTGTACCTCTGGTAGAATTCGGCTGTGAATCCGTCTGGTCTTGGACTTTTTTTGGTTGGTAGGCTATTAATTATTGCCTCCATTTGAGAGCCTGTTATTGGTCTATTCAGTGATTCAACTTCTTCCTGGTTTAGTCTTGGGAGGGTGTATTTGTCCAGGAATTTATCCATTTCTTCTAGATTTTCCAGTTAATTTGCATAGTGGTGTTTATAGTATTCTCTGATGGTAGTTTGTATTTCTGTTGGATCGGTGGTGATATCCCCTTTATCATTTTTTATTGCATCTATTTGATTCTTCTCTTTTCTTCTTTATTAGTCTTGCTAGCGGTCTGTCAATTTTGTTGATCATTTCAAAAAACCAGCTCCTGGATTCATTGATTTTTTGAAGGGCTTTTTATGTCTCTATCTCCTTCAGTTCTGCTCTGATCTTAGTTATTTCTTGCCTTCTGCTAGCTTTTGAATGTGTTTGCTCTTGCTTCTCTAGTTCTTTTAATTGTGATGTTAGGGTGTCCATTTTAGATCTTTCCTGCTTTCTCTTGTGGGCATTTAGTGCTATAAATTTCCCTCTACACACTGCTTTAAATGTGTCCCAGAGATTCTGGTATGTTGTGTCTTTGTTCTCACTGGTTTCAAAGAACATCTTTATTTCTGCCTTCATTTTGTTATGTATCCAGTAGTCATTCAGGAGCAGGTCATTTAGTTTCCATGCAGTTGAGCAGTTTTGAGTGAGTTTCTTAATCTTGAGTTCTAGCTTGATTGCACTGTGGTCTGAGAGACAGTTTGTTATAATTTCTGTTATTTTACATTTGCTGAGGAGTGCTTTGCTTCCAATTATGTAGTCAGTTTTGCAATAAGTGCGGTGTGGGGCTGAGAAGAATGTATATTCTGTTGTTTTGGGATGGAGAGTTCTGTAGATGTCTATTAGGTCCACTTGGTGCAGAGCTGAGTTCAGTTCCTGGATATCCTTGTTAACTTTCTGTCTCGTTGGTCTGTCTAATGTTGACAATGTGGTGTTAAAGTCTCCCATTATTATTGTGTGGGAGTCTAAGTCTCTTTCTAGGTCTCTCAGGACCTGCTTTATGAATCTGGGTGCTCCTGCATTGGGTGCATATATATTTAGGATAGTCAGCTCTTCCTGTTGAATTGATCCCTTTACCATTATGTAATGGCGTTCTTTGTCCCTTTTGATCTTTGTTGGTTTAAAGTCTGTTTTTTCAGAGACTAGGTTTGCAACCACTGCCTTTTTTTGTTTTCCATTTGCTTGGTAGATCTTCCTTCATCCCTTTATTTTGAGCCTGTGTTTGTCTCTGCACGTGAGATGGGTCTCCTGAATACAGCACACTGATGGGTCTTGACTCTTTATCCAATTTGCCAGTCTGTGTCTTTTAATTGGAGCATTTTGCCCATTTACATTTAAGGTTAATATTGTTATGTGTGAATTTGATCCTGTCATTATGATGTTAGCTGGTTATTTTGCTCATTAGCTGATGCAGTTTCTTCCTAGCATCGATGGTCTTTACAATTTGGCATGTTTTTGCAGTGGCTGGTACCAGTTGTTCCTTTCCATGTTTAGTGCTTCCTTCAGGAGCTCTTGTAAGGCAGGCCTGGTGGTGACACAATCTCTCAGCATTTGCTTGTCTGTAAAGGATTTTATTTCTCTTTCACTTAAAGCTTAGTTTGGCTTAATATGAAATTCTGGGTTGAAAATTCTTTTCTTTAAGAATGTTAAATATTGGCCCCCACTCTCTTCTGGCTTGTAGAGTTTCTGCCGAGAGATCTGCTGCTAGTCTGATGGGCTTCCCTTTGTGGGTAACCCAACCTTTCTCTCTGGCTGCCCTTAACATTTTTTCCTTCATTTCAACTTTGGTGAATCTGACAATCATGTGTCTTGGAGTTGCTCTTCTCAAGGAGTATCTTTGTGGCTTTCTCTGTATTTCCTGAATTTGAATGTTGGCCTGCCTTGCTAGGTTGGGGAAGTTCTCCTGGATAATATCCTGAAAAATGTTTTCCAACTTGGTTCCATTCTCCCTGTCACTTTCTGGTACACCAATCAGACATCGATTTGGTCTTTTCACATAGTCCCATATTTCTTGGAGGCTTTGTTCGTTTCTTTTTACTCTTTTTTTTCTCTAAACTTCTCACTTCATTTCATTCATTTGATCTTCAATCACTGATATCCTTTCTTCCACTGGATCGAATCGGCTACTGAAGCTTGTGCATGCATCACATGGTTCTCATGCCATGGTTTTCCGCTCCATCAGGTCATTTAAGGTCTTCTCTACGCTCTTTATTCTAATTAGCCATTCGTCTAGTCTTTTTTCAAGGTTTTTAGCTTCTTTGCGATGGGTTTGAATATCCTCCTTTAGCTCGGACAAGTTTGTTATTACCGATTATCTGAAGCCTTCTTCTCTCAACTTGTCAAAGTCATTCTCCGTCCGGCTTTGTTCCGTTGCTGGTGAGGAGGTGCATTTCTTTGGAGGAGAAGAGGTGCTCAAATTTTAGAATTTTCAGCTTTTCTGCTCTGGTTTCTCCCCATCTTTGTGGTTTTATCTACCTTTGGTCTTCCATGATGGTGATGTACAGATGGGGTTTTGGTGTGGATGTCCTTTCTGTTTGTTAGTTTTCCTTCTAACAGTCAGGACCCTCAGCTGCAGGTCTGTTGGGAGTTTGCTGGAGGTCCACTCCAGACCCTGTTTGCCTGAGTATCACCAGCGGAGGCTGCAGAACAGCAAATATTGCAGAATGGCAAATGTTGCTGCCTGATCCTTCCTCTGGAAGCTTCGTCTCAGAGGGGCACCGGGCTGTATGAGGTGTCAGTCAGCCCCTACTAGGAGGTGTCTCCCAGTTAGGCTACTCGGGCTCAGGGACCCACTTGAGGAGGCAGTCTGTCCATTCTCAGATGTCAGACTCCGTGCTGGGAGAACCACTACTCTCTTCAAAGCTGTCAGACACGGATGTTTAAGTCTGCAGAAGTTTCTGCTGGATTTTGTTCAGCTATGCCCTGCCCCCAGAGGTGTTGTCTACAGAGGCAGGCAGGCCTCCTTGAGCTGCAATGGGCTTCACCCAGTTTTAGCTTTTTTTTGCTTTGTTTACCTACTCAAGCCTCAGCAATGGGGGATACCCCTCCCTCGGCCTCCCTGCTGCCTTGCAGTTCAATCTCAGACTGCTGTGCTAGCAGTGAGCGAGGCTCCATGGGTGTGGGACCCTCTGAGCTGGGCATGGGACCCTCTGAGCCAGGCGCGGGATATAATCTTCTGGTGTTCCGTTTTCTAAGAGCATTGGAAAAGCGCAGTATTAGTGTGGGAGTGTCCTGATTTTCCAGGTACCGTCTGTCACAGCTTCCCTTGGCTAGGAAAGGGAATTCCTTGACCCCTTGTGCTTCCCGGGTGAGGCGATGCCCCGCCCTGCTTCGGCTCACACTCCATGGGCTGCACCTACTGTCCAGCAAGCCCCAGTGAGATGAACCCAGTACCTCAGTTGGAAATGCAGAAACCACCTGTCTTCTGTGTCGCTCACGCTGGGAGCTGTAGACTAGAGCTGTTCCTGTTTGGCCATCTTGGAACCTCTTAAATTATTTTTGTTTTGTGTGATTGCAATTTTGGCATGTTTCTTCAGGTGCAATGAAGGGCGTGTTGGTAGACATTGTGAATGCAGCACAGATGAAGTTAACAGTGAAGACATGGATGCTTACTGCAGGAAAGAAAACAGTTCAGAAATCTGCAGTAACAATGGAGAGTGCGTCTGCGGACAGTGTGTTTGTAGGAAGAGGGATAATACAAATGAAATTTATTCTGGCAAATTCTGCGAGTGTGATAATTTCAACTGTGATAGATCCAATGGCTTAATTTGTGGAGGTAAGTAAAGGGCCTGAAGTGGTTGTAAGATGTGATCCCATCTAATGCCACGAAAAATCTTGAGTTTAGTTGGTGCATAAGTAGAAAAGGGGTAGCTTGAGGGTCAGTCTCGCCCCTAGGTATACTTTCTCACATGTTGTTGCTTATTTTACTTTTCAGTCAATACTGTGATTGTATATTTTTACCATTTTGAGAAATGATATGCTTAATTGCAGGAAATGGTGTTTGCAAGTGTCGTGTGTGTGAGTGCAACCCCAACTACACTGGCAGTGCATGTGACTGTTCTTTGGATACTAGTACTTGTGAAGCCAGCAACGGACAGATCTGCAATGGCCGGGGCATCTGCGAGTGTGGTGTCTGTAAGTGTACAGATCCGAAGTTTCAAGGGCAAACGTGTGAGATGTGTCAGACCTGCCTTGGTGTCTGTGCTGAGCATAAGTAAGTATTTCCTAATTGCTTGAAATAGTTGATACTTCCTCTTGGCTCTCCTAAGCCTGTATTGTTTCTAGAACCAGAACAGTGCCAATATTAAAATATACTGTAAATAAAATGCCTGCCATGTGGAAGCCTACTCTTTAATTCTTAAAAGTTCTTTCTCAACAGCTAGTATATATTACATGGTATGAAGTGTGTCATGTGAGAGTTGTACTATTATTTTGATCTGAATGTGCTAGATAATTGAATTTACATGGTAACCTTTATTTTGGCAATTAAGATTTAATTTAATTTAATTTGTCATTACCAATTTCTTAATTACTGTCTTTTGACAAAACTAAGCCAAATTAAAGATTTTTCCTCTTGAAGGATTATTATACTAGTAACATATTATTTAAATTATTATGATTTTGGCCGAGCACAGTGGCTCACACCTGTAATCCCAGCACTTTGGAAGGCCGAGACAGGTGGATCACTTAAGGTCAGGAGTTTGAGACCAGTCTGGCCAATGTGGTGAAACCCCATCTCTACTAAAAATACAAAAATTAGCCAGATATGGTGGTGTGTGCCTGTAATCTCAACTACTTGGGAGGTTGAGGCTTGCTTGAACCCGAGAGGCAGAGGTTACAGTGAGCCAAGGTCACACCACTGCACTGCCTGGATGACAGAACAAGACTCCATCGCAAAAAAAAAATTATTATGATTTTATGTTACATATTTAATATGTGATAGGGCTAATTTATTTTACTATCTTTTATTTCTTAATAGGGTTTTAATTTGAACTGTAATAAATCTTTAATTTTATTATGGAAATTAGCATCTTTTTACATAATTTTTCTATCCACAAATGTAATGTTCCTCTTCATTTATTGAAATCTTCCTTCATAGCTGTTTGTTCAATTTGGTCACAAGAGTTTAGCATGGGAAATATGTTTAAGCAAATATTTACTGAAATAATAAAATGTAAATATCATAATTTGTGTTTTTTGTAACAGAGAATGTGTTCAGTGCAGAGCCTTCAATAAAGGAGAAAAGAAAGACACATGCACACAGGAATGTTCCTATTTTAACATTACCAAGGTAGAAAGTCGGGACAAATTACCCCAGCCGGTCCAACCTGATCCTGTGTCCCATTGTAAGGAGAAGGATGTTGACGACTGTTGGTTCTATTTTACGTATTCAGTGAATGGGAACAACGAGGTCATGGTTCATGTTGTGGAGAATCCAGGTAGAAATGCGATGATTGCAGACATTCTTTTCATATCTTGTATGTCTTGTTTCTGCTTATTTAGGCCTAACATCCAGAAACAGCCTCCAGCTGGAATATTTTAGGTCAAGTTGGGAAATTTTTCATCTCTCAAAGCTTAAAATATTATCTAATTAACTGTATAAGAAATAAGGAAAAGAGAGTTCCACTTTTAAGTTTTCTGAGTGGAGAGTTTGAAGATTAAATACAGTGATTTATATAAGACGCTTAGTGATTTATATAAGACACTTAGAACGATGCCTGACACCAAGTGCATATTAAGAGTTTTTTGATGATTGATGATTTTAAAATTAGAGCTTGATTTAAGCTTGAATACTGGGAAAGATAATTTGTTAAAGGATATTAATATAAAGTGTTGAATTTGTTCAACTTCTCCGGAGGTGAAACTTTTTTTTTTTAATCTTAGTTTTCCTAGTAGCCTTTTTGTAGATTCTTTGGAATTTTCTACCATAGTGTACATGTTTTTGTGTGAACATAAGCTTTCATTTCTCTTGGGTAAATACTAAAAATGGCATTTTGGAGCATATGGTAAGCATATGTTTAACTTTGTTAAGAAGCTGCCAGACTCTTAGACTCCCATACTGTTTTGAATTATCAGCTAGGTGTTTTGCAAATATTGTCTCCCAGCCTGTGTCTCCTTATCATTTCATTTTTTTAAGTGTCTTCTGAACACCACAGGTTTTAATTTTGATTAAGTACAGTTTACCAAGTTTTTCTTCTGTGGCTCTTGCTTTTACATTGTCTTTAAGAACTCTGCCTAACCCAAGATTATAAGGATTTTTCTCCTCTGTTTTTTGGTAGAAGTTTTATAGTTTCTGGGGTTTCACATTTAGATCTGTAACTCATTTTGAGTTAGTGTGTGACAAAAGGCTCAGTTTTTTTCATGTCAGTGTCCACTTGTTCTAGGGGCATTTGTTGAAAAAAGACTGTCTTTTCTCCACCTTTGTTGAACATCAGGTGACCTTACATGTGTAGGCCTGTTTCTGACTCTGTATTCTGTTCCATGTATCTGAGTGTTAGCTATACCACATGGTCTTGTAGCTTTCTTTATAGCTAGGCCTGAAAGCAGGGTCTTCCAACTTTATTCTTTTACAAAAGTGTTTTTGAGACACTTCCTTAGTTCCCTGCCTTCCATGTAAATTTTAGAAGTGGCTTACTGATTGCTACAGAAGTTCTGCCAGGAGTTTGAGTGGGATACCATTGAGTTTATAGATCAAATTGGGAAGAATTGACGTCTTAACGGTATTAGGTTTTGTAACTCCTGCACATGGAATATCTCTCCATTTATTCAGTCTGAAAGATTTCTTTTTATCAGTATTTAGTAATTCTTAACATGCAAATCTTGCATATATTTTGTTAGACTTATATGTAAGTTTTTCATGCTTTTTCATTCTGTAGTAAATATTACTGTTTAAAAACTTATATTTTCAATATGTAGAAATAAATTATATATATAGAAAAATACATGATTTTTGTTCATTGATCATGTATCCTGCAACCTTGTAAACTCACTTGTTAGTTCTAAGAGCTATTTTATAGATTCTTTGGGATAGTGTGCGTTCACTCTCTTGGGTGTTTATTCCTGTATGTTTTTTATAAGACACTGCACAGCTCTTTGTGGTGCTCATTATTACCTTCTTATTTTCCAGAGTGTCCCACTGGTCCAGACATCATTCCAATTGTAGCTGGTGTGGTTGCTGGAATTGTTCTTATTGGCCTTGCATTACTGCTGATATGGAAGCTTTTAATGATAATTCATGACAGAAGGGAGTTTGCTAAATTTGAAAAGGAGAAAATGAATGCCAAATGGGACACGGTAAGTTACAAAACATCCAAAAAGCAAAGTGGCTTATAAAGTAAATGTAATACTCCTAAGACTTATGTATTAGCTGTCAGGCTGATTATTAAAGTCCTTTCTAAGTATTTTATTCCCCCAAAAGTTTCTTACTCAAGGAATTTGCATTTAGTGAAAAACAGAAAGCATCCTAAATATATCCCATTGAAACAAAACATTGATTATAAGCATGTATATTCTGGTTACTGTGGCCAGTATTTTTATTTCTTTAATAGTTTTGATCCTAAATCTGCCTTTTCATCTAATGTGAAGTAGAATCCTAAATAATGTTATCTGTGTAGCAAGCTATTCAATGGAAAGCTGCTTCTTTCTTTAAAACAAACAAACAAAAAAAACCTTCAGTGAAAGCCAGATTCAAAAGGTTATATACCAAGCTTGTCCAACTCGCAGCTCGTCGGCCAGGACATGCAGCCCAGAATAGCTTTGAATGTGGCCCCAACACAAATTTGTAAACTTTCTTAGAAATTGTAATTATTATTATTATTTTTTTTTGGTAACTTTTTTTTAAAGCTCATCAGCTATCGTTAGTGTATTTTATGTGTGGCCCAAGACAATTCTTCTTCTTCCAGTGTGGCCCAGGGAAGCCAAAAGATTGGACACCCCTGCTATATACTATATGATTCCATTTAGAGGACATTCTGGAAAAGCAAAACTGTAGGGGCAAAAATCAGTGGTTGCTAGGGGCTGGAATGGGGGAAAGTGTTGACCACAGAGGGGCGTAAGGGATCTTCCTTGGGATGATCTTGATTGTGGGTGGATTTATGTATTTGAAAACTCACAGAACTATGTACTTTAAAAAGATGTATGTTCCTCTATGAAAATTATATCTCAGTAAACTTTGGCTTATAAAAATCTTAAAAGCCCTAAGTGACCGAAAGGTTATGTTAGCATTGAGTGCTTTGAAATATGGAGTCAGAGGGTGGGGTAACCAAATGTTGGCCTTTGTGTATTCATCTTTTGATACAAGAAAGCAATGCCAATCTTCAGTATTTTTAAATTGTAAATGAATTTTGTAGTTAGTTGCACTTTACTACAATTTGCTTGGGTTTTTAAAAATTATCAATTTTTTAAATTACAAATTTCAGAAGGGTAGAAATAAAAAAAAAGACATTTATAGTGTTCAAACACTATAAAGGGATTTTTTTTTTCTGATGAAATCATTAGAAACTATTTCTTTTACTTTAGCAAGAAAATCCGATTTACAAGAGTCCTATTAATAATTTCAAGAATCCAAACTACGGACGTAAAGCTGGTCTCTAAATTGCCGTTCGTATTTTGTTTCACTTTCTGCCTTTGCATGTGAACTTCTATCTTTTTTACTGCACTGTGTGTCCTTTATCACTATTGCTGTTCTTTTTTTAAGTCTGGCTTTAAATATCGCTATTGTGGCTTTTCTTTTTGTATGTTAACTTCGCGTTTAGAAAGACCGTAAAATAAGTAATGTGATATAGAAACAGCAGCCATGTTGTAGTGAAAAGAGAATGTGCTTTGCAATCAGTTAGACCTCAGGTCAAATCCCACCTCTTCCACTTAGTAAGTAGAACAGCATTGAGTCACTTCACTTCTCTCAACTGTCACAGGGAGTCAGTACTCTGTTTTGTATGGGGTGGTTGTATTTGGCAAATGCACTCCAGTATATGAAATCAGCCTGTCAGCTCTAATCCTCATAACAGTCCTGTGCCTAGAATGATATTATCCTATTATCTTTTGTTCTTTTTCTGTTTATTTATTTATTTATTTTGAGACAGTCTCTCTCTGTCGCCCAGCCTGGAGTGCAGTGGTGTGATATCAGCTCACTGCAACCTCTGACTTCCAGATTCCAGCAATTCTCCTGCCTCAGCCTCCCGAGTACCTGGGATTACAGGTGCCTGCCACCATGCTAGGCTAATTTTTTTGTTTTTAGTAGAGATGGGGTTTCACCACATTGGCTGGGCTGGCCTTGAACTCCTGACCTCCAGTGCTCTGCCCACCTCGGTCTCCCAAAGTGCTGGGATTACAGGCGTGAGCCACTGTGCCCCACCAGTATTATCCTTAAATAACAAATTTGTTATGAGTAAATTTTAGGGTTGGATAGTGAAAATTGATCACGAAATCCAAATTGCAAAATAGAAAAATATAACCTACTATGATATTTGTATGGTATGCAACTACAATATCATTATTGGTTCTCAAAAGATTTGAGATCAATTTCTTGAATATAACTTGAAATTTCATTAAAAGCCAGAAGACCATATATATGTATGTATATTATATATATATGTGTGTGTGTCTGTGTGTGTATGTGAGAATGATTCTAATTTTCAAATGTAAGTTTGTAACTGTTCATATCTGAATTTTCATGAAATGCTTCCAGCATATTCTAATAAAATCATGCAAGCCCCTAAAACTCTGATAACAAAGGTTAATTGTGATTAGAACTAAATTCTCCTGACTGGTGGTTGAGAACTCTTCTTCTCTTTCCCAACTGACTGACTGTAATAGGGCCTGGAAGATTTCTGCTTTTCTCACTGCCTACCTTATTGTGCAGATAAAGATGGTATTGGGAACACTTACATAAAAATCACTGTGTCTCAGGCATGATTCTGACCACTTAATCTGTGTTTAATCTTCATAGTGAAAGTTGTAGGAATGTTTTACATATGAGAAAACTGAGACACATAAGGGTTATGTAACTTGACCGAGTTCCCACGGCTGGTTAGTCAGAGAGCTGAGATTTGAACCCAGGCAGTTGGGCTCCAGAGTCCATGTTCTTGTCTATGACATTGTACTTGGTAGCAGTTATGTATCTTCAGAAGTCCCGTTACCTGGTTAGGAAGAGGTAGATCACTCTTTATAGAGATTTACAGCCCTTTTACAATTTGTTGTTACTCTGTCAGAGTTAACACTGCTGCTGTTGGCAAACATCATGTTAGGGAAATCACTTTAATACATGGAACCCAGTGCTGTTGTTGTGTTTTTTGACTATTGAGAGTGTGCTTACAAACTGATCATGAATAAGAGCCTACAGTACAGGAATGTTTAATAGTTACAAGTGATATAGGAAGTGCTGATAACATTAGAAATCATTAACTTGTCAGATTTTTATTTCTAAGTAGACCGTAAGATTTTTAAAGTTAAATTTGATGGCAGAAAATTATATTCAAATTCACATATGGGCAGGTTGGTACATATTTGTATTAGTCTGAGACAATATATTTTTCTCGTTCTCACTTAGTACTTTACAGAAAGTCATTTTTAGAGGAAAACTGATTAGCCAATGACATTGCCAGGCTTTTTTTTTTTTTTAATACATATTTTTTTCTTTAGTTGTAGGTCAAAAATAGTCAAATGTTGACAATTTCATGTGGTTATTTCTCACAAGAGAAAAAATTTCTGTCCTACTGAGGTGAAATTTTCACCCTTGCTGTACCTTTCATTGTATTTTGAAGGAAATTATCAGTAAATGTTATTTAAACTTAATGTTTATAATGTATATATGGCTAAAATGTTGCTAAAATAAGCATTTTATGTAATTCAGGAAGCAGAAGTTTGGTAAAAATTTCTCTATGCATTATTGAAGTCCAGGCAATTTGATGGCTACAGATTATTTTAAGAGATGTTTTTCTCAAGAAAAAGTAGAAATTAACAATTGAAATAAATGAATGAGCATCAAGAAATTACATCATGGATTGTAAGAAACTTTTCTGATATGGACCAAGGTTTGCCAGTCAATTATGTCATTGAAATTTTTGAAATAATGGGCAGGCGCTAATTACTTTGGCAGAAGACTACCATGTAGGAACATTAAGAAGAACATGTCACATTATCAGCTTCTAACTGTTGGAGTGGGTTAAAAAAATGGTCTGTCCTCATCTGCTGCTATGCGGGTTTAAATGTGGCTCCCAAATCTCCCACACTTCTGCATTATGTATTTAATACATTGTAGAGATGGTTCTGCAGCTACCACTGTCAGCCATTCCAGAGTGAGCACAAAGATGACATTTTACTGAGCTTGAGGGCTTCCTTTCATAATATAACCCTGTTCTCTTGCTGCGGGTTTTTTTGGGGTGGGGTGGTGTTGCACTCTGAATGATGGAAACTAATTTGAATTATTTTAGTTTACCTTCATTTAAAATGATGCCTAATACAGATAGTGAGCTTAATTTTACCTCTAACCTTGCATGTTAAACTTTTGTTTGAGTGGACTTTGAAATAATAAATACAAATGTTTGTGTATACGACAAGACAGATTTTTCTCCAAAGGTAAGTTCTTCCATATAAATTACACTTTGGACTCATCTATATAGGGCTTTTTTTCTTTATTTTTTGTTTTCTTTTTTTTTTTTGTCCTTCCCTTATAATTCTTGAGTATTAAATACTAGATTTAGCAAATATATTGTATTAAAGAAATTTAATTAGATGCTAATTTATTTTCCCAACATATTTGAAGGAATGTGTAGCACTTAGCCTCAAATCAGATAGGATATAAATGTGGAGTGTAATTTATTTGCACTCTGGCTTTTTAAGATAGTAGTTGCCAAAATCCAGTTTCCTGACCCCCATTTTGAAATGTCTGCTCTCACAGCTGTATAATGTATTAGCTTCAGTTGGGACTAGAGCTGAGAGTTTGATGTACACAGTTTTGTCATCCACATTATATGCTGTTTGTCTCTGAGGGATCCTGAGTTTGTCCATGTTTCTGAAACAACCAGTCAAGGTGTATTTTGAGGAGAGGGGAGTGAGGGCTGAGGTATGTTGTCTGGTTCTGATTGGTATCACATGAGCTGCTGAGCTGAAATCACAGTGGTTTATTTGGTGTCTTGCAGGACCCAGCCTTTATATGTTAATGTTTTTCCCTCATTGGTATGGGATACCTACAGGATGAAGTTTCAGACTTCATAGCAAGGCCTCTAGGACTGTTCTTCCTTTGTCTCCTCACCTCCAATCATATGCCCCCTTAATTCTTTTTTTTCCTCTTTTTTTTTTTTTTTTTTTTTTGAGATGGAGTCTTGCTCTTTCGCCCAGTCTGGAGTGCAGTGGTGCGATCTCAGCTCACTACAATCTCCGCTTCCCGGGTTCAAGTGATTCCCCTATCCCAGCTTCATGAGTAGCTGGGATTACAGGCACCCGCCACCACACCCAGCTAATTTTTGTATTTTTAGTAGAGACGGGGTTTTACCGTGTTGGCCAGGCTGATCTCAAACTCCTCACCAAAAGTGATCCACCCACCTCGGCCTCTCAAAGTTCTGGGATTACAGGCATGAGCCACCGCGCCTGCCCTCCCCTAACTCTAGAAACTTCTGAACTGTATGTATTTCTACTTAAATGTCCCATTCTTTTCCCTACACCTTGACTTTGCATAGATTGCTATTTACCAACCAATAATTTTTCTAGTCAATTTCACAATGAAAATCTCCTTAATCTTCTTAAAGTTAATAACTTTTTTCTTATACTATTCCCAGATTATGTTCATAACTCTATTGTAAACTTCATCAGAGTGCCTTATTTTCATGTCTCTCACCCACCAAACTATACCTTCCTTGAGGGCAGAAATTGTGCCACCAAAAGGCAGATCCAAATACAGTCTGCAATGAAGTGTGAATAAAATTTAAAAACAAAAATTACTTTTAGATCAAAAAATGTTTTAGATGCTTTCTATAAATATTTTTTTAAAAATCACCTGCAGTTGGTTCTATAGTGAGATATAAAACTGAACAACATTCCAAAATCTTAATTTTTTCTTAAAAAAAATTTCCCTGGTAGTTAACAAGTATTTTTTATTTGTACTCACTGTAATTTTCTCTGATTAAGTGTTATTTGGTCACACTTCTCACTTGGCTTTCAAGCCTGCTTTCAATTTATAAGAACAGGAGAAAAAAGAATGCTATAGCAAGTATTTAAATGTAGCAGTTATAGTATAAGAGAATTTTTAAGGAAAAGGGTGATACAGTGATATGTTTTTTTCTGCTTAAAACATCACTGTCAGTATATTTTTGGATCTTGAAAGATCTCTTGTGTTTATGGCTTGGGGCCTGCTTGCTAGGCTTGACTTCAGTACTGTTTACTAAATTATAGCACTGCAATAAGACATTTCACCAATATGATATTGAAGCATAACAAGTTATTTCATAAGGAATGGTAATTATCTAACATTCTAAGCAAATTTGGCAGTGTGACTTGGTGGGGCGCAGTGCTGTCCCTGACACAATGACAGCCTTACTCTCTAAATTAGTAACTTCCGTAGGAGACCCCAGAAGCACACCTCCCTCCCAGCAGTGAAAGCCGAGGATTCCCGTTTTGATTAGCAGGCGCCTTCTGTTCACGATAAAGGGATAAGAATCAGGCAGTGATGGCAGCGGAGTTCATGCTTCATTAAGGCAGGCATTGCAAACTAGTTCAGAGGAGAGAATCCACGATGACAGCACATTCTGTGCCATGGAGAACATTCTTAAATCAAGCCTCCAGTGGAGGAAGGACTCAAGAATGAAATAGCACCAGATAACGGGGCATCATTAGACTTGTAAAGCAAAGCTTCCATTTTCTATTTTTATATAAACCATTATTAATGCCTTTAAAACAACTGTGATATCTGGACAAATAAAATAGAAATGACTTCTTAAGATGATTGCAACTTTTAGTCTTGATTTATAAAAATTATTCTACATAATTTTAGTAGGGTAACTGATAATTTTTCTCACTTTTTTTTTGTTGTAGGGTGAAAATCCTATTTATAAGAGTGCCGTAACAACTGTGGTCAATCCGAAGTATGAGGGAAAATGAGTACTGCCCGTGCAAATCCCACAACACTGAATGCAAAGTAGCAATTTCCATAGTCACAGTTAGGTAGCTTTAGGGCAATATTGCCATGGTTTTACTCATGTGCAGGTTTTGAAAATGTACAATATGTATAATTTTTAAAATGTTTTATTATTTTGAAAATAATGTTGTAATTCATGCCAGGGACTGACAAAAGACTTGAGACAGGATGGTTACTCTTGTCAGCTAAGGTCACATTGTGCCTTTTTGACCTTTTCTTCCTGGACTATTGAAATCAAGCTTATTGGATTAAGTGATATTTCTATAGCGATTGAAAGGGCAATAGTTAAAGTAATGAGCATGATGAGAGTTTCTGTTAATCATGTATTAAAACTGATTTTTAGCTTTACAAATATGTCAGTTTGCAGTTATGCAGAATCCAAAGTAAATGTCCTGCTAGCTAGTTAAGGATTGTTTTAAATCTGTTATTTTGCTATTTGCCTGTTAGACATGACTGATGACATATCTGAAAGACAAGTATGTTGAGAGTTGCTGGTGTAAAATACGTTTGAAATAGTTGATCTACAAAGGCCATGGGAAAAATTCAGAGAGTTAGGAAGGAAAAACCAATAGCTTTAAAACCTGTGTGCCATTTTAAGAGTTACTTAATGTTTGGTAACTTTTATGCCTTCACTTTACAAATTCAAGCCTTAGATAAAAGAACCGAGCAATTTTCTGCTAAAAAGTCCTTGATTTAGCACTATTTACATACAGGCCATACTTTACAAAGTATTTGCTGAATGGGGACCTTTTGAGTTGAATTTATTTTATTATTTTTATTTTGTTTAATGTCTGGTGCTTTCTGTCACCTCTTCTAATCTTTTAATGTATTTGTTTGCAATTTTGGGGTAAGACTTTTTTTATGAGTACTTTTTCTTTGAAGTTTTAGCGGTCAATTTGCCTTTTTAATGAACATGTGAAGTTATACTGTGGCTATGCAACAGCTCTCACCTACGCGAGTCTTACTTTGAGTTAGTGCCATAACAGACCACTGTATGTTTACTTCTCACCATTTGAGTTGCCCATCTTGTTTCACACTAGTCACATTCTTGTTTTAAGTGCCTTTAGTTTTAACAGTTCACTTTTTACAGTGCTATTTACTGAAGTTATTTATTAAATATGCCTAAAATACTTAAATCGGATGTCTTGACTCTGATGTATTTTATCAGGTTGTGTGCATGAAATTTTTATAGATTAAAGAAGTTGAGGAAAAGCATTTCTGGTTGGTGGGTAGTTCACTTATGAAGCTAAAACATAATTCTTTAAAAAAATGTACTAGGGACATAAGGAGAGTGGTATGGTGAAATACAGACTTGAAGACTGTCCTTGGGCTCTCTGAATCATGGTGGATAGATCCTTACTTATCCTGCTACGCTGGGAGAGAGGTTTCATCCCAATATTAAGCAGAATTAACTTTATGAACATCTTAGAGCCATTAGTAGGTGCTGGAAATTGTATCATTTTATTTAAGATATAGATAGGGGATTGTTAACTTTTCTGATAAGAAAAATTAGGAAAAATTTTACTTTTATTTGGCTTTGGTTTCTGTTTGAAAGGATATATCCATAAGTACTACTTGTGTAAAGCTTATTAGAAGAAATATATGCTGCTTTCTTAAGCATACAACAAATGTCAGAAATATTTGGAGGAGAAAAAGTTTCAGCCTTACTAGCCTTTCACATTTATACAATCCCTTCACATCCTGTTAATCTTCTTTTACTTACTCCATTTAAATGTGTTTCATAGCTTAGACTAAAGCATATTTGAGGTGAGAATTACACATTTTTAGTAGTTTGTAAGATCCATGAAAAAAATTATCTGTATTTATTACTCTCTGTCACCCTGTTTCATCTTGTTTTCCACCATCCATAATTCCACTTAGCTTAATTCATTTCCCTGTGCCTTAGGCATAATCAATAGTTGAATTGCATATTTCTGCTCCAGAACTCTGCTCTTATAATGATATTTTAAAAATATATTAGAACAAAGTAACAAAGTCTATCTTCTATATGTACATAATTTTTTTTTCCAAACACGTGTTTGAGGCTGGAATGTGGTGAATTTTTAGATTTTATATTACAATTTATAGCAGACAAAAAGATTTTCTATAGGAATCCCTTTGTTGGAAGTTGGAGGAATTGTATACAAGTTTATTTCTCATGCTGATTATAAGAGCCTAAAATACTTAAATCGGAAGACTCAATTTGACATTTGAGTAATTCTAGGCTTGAAACTGGCAATTTCAAAATATAGTCTGAGAAATTGATAATAGTATATCTATCTCTATGTAGATACACACACCACACATTGAGATGCTTTGACTGAAGCCACATAGAACTTGGTCACTAAAATACTTATTCTCCCAGCAGGAGTACATTTTGATCTCCAGTGAGACACTTTCCAAAAAGCAAGAGTCCAGGAAGCAAAACAACAATTAGAACTTTTTTTTCCATTTAAACTATACTATAGAAATTTACAAAATATTAAGTATCATGAGTACATTGTTTGGCTAATGCCAAATAGTGGCATATTTTACAGTGATTCCATGACATTTTAAAAGTTTTCTTACTCTTTTCCAGTCTTACTTTATGAATTTCCTTAAAACAGGCACCCAGGTAAGACCTTGAGCCACAAGAACAGTTCATAATACCACTTAAAAAGTCACCTGTGATCAGCTTTTTGTTTGAACCTGGAATTTTTCCTTTCTGTTTTTCACTACAGTTTGAGAGATAACCTTGAGTAGAGGCCATTTGTCTTTAGTTTATTCCTTGGAGGCTTAATGTTTACATTTTTAAATGTTCATTTTTGTAGATTCCAGGGGTACATGTGCAGGTGTGTTACATGGACATGTTGCATAATGGCTTCTAGTGTACCCATCACCTTAGTAGTGGCCATTATAGTCAATAGGTAATTTTCCACCTTTCACCCTCCTACTACCCTCTCCCTTTTGGAGTCCCGGGAGTCTGTTCTTTCCCTTTGTATGTCCATGTTTACCCACTGTTTAGCTTTCACTTATGAGTGAACATGTGATATTTGATTTTCTGTTTCTGAATTGTTTCACTTAGGGTGATCCATCCATGTCACTGCGAAAGACATGACTTCATTAAGGCCTAGATATTTCTGATCTGATATGCTCAAAGAAGTTCAGAAACAGAATGAGTATCTCCCCAGGACTCCTTTTGAGCCTATAAAGATCCTTCACTGGCTCTTTAGAATTTCTCTCATGACTCAGGATTCTTCTGAGAATTTAGGGATAGGTGGAAGTGGCTTCTGAGTGATGAGTGGGAGCAGATTTTCAAGGTGGATTAGGTCTAGATTAAGTAGCCCATCAAGTCTCCACTGCTCTGAGGGTGGTATGTCATCTAAGTGTGAACCTTTAGGGTACAAAAATGGTAGGAGAACCATGAGACAAATACTAAGTTCACTGATACGGCAATTCTTACCTTCATTTGCTTCTACAATTAAGTCTTCACTGTACTTTTAATTAAGATTTTAAATTTTTGAGGGTATAGAGTTTCCATAAAAAGTCATCAGTGATAATAAATTTTATTTGACTTTCTACTTATTCCGGATTCTAAAATAGACTGACATATAAACACGTTACTTATGGATCACTTTGAGAGAGGAAACACTATTCAGAAGATTTAAATCCCAGAATTTAATCCATTGCTTTATTGCAAGTTTACAGAAGACTTGTCTTCAGTTTTATCTGCAGTAGTTGATCTATTGACTTTAAATGTTGAAAACTTATACTAATGTTGCTTACTGTCCAAAATTATTCCTGGGAGATAAACATTCAGATTTTCTACAATAACCACTGACTGGCCCCTTAGCAGCCATTTTAAATGTAAATTTGATGATATTGCCCAAACATCCCCAGTCCAGTTCAACTTTCAGATCCTCAAGCCTACCATAGTCCTTTGTGTTTGATATTTCTTTCTTATCCTTAAATGTGGTAGCTCCATGAGCACAGGGACCTGTGTTTTGATTCACTGTCTGCATACTTCACTTTGCAGAACATTTTTAAGGTCCATGCATGTTGTAGCATGTATCAGAACTAGACTCCTTTTATGGCTAAATATTCCATTGCCTGCGTATAGCATATTTATCCATTCAGTTTTCAATGGACACTTGGGGTGTTTCCACCTTTTGGCTCTTACGAATAATGCTGCAATAAATATTGTCATATAAGTATCTGTTCAAGTTCATACCTTCAGTTCTTTTCATTATATGCCTAAAAGAAGAATTGCTGGATCATATAGTAATTGTGTTTTGCTCTTTGAGGAACTGCCAAACTGTTTTCCACAGTGGCTGCACCATTTTACATTCCCACCAGCAATGTATGAGGGTTCACCAGAGAACCCTCAGAACAGAACGGAACAGATACTTCATCAGAGAAGATGAATGGCAAAAAAGAAAAAAATGGAAATGCAAATTAAAATCACAATGAGATACCATTAGATACCCACTAGAATGGCTAAAGTTTAAATGGCTGAAAATACCAATTGTATCCTTAGAACAACATCTGGCACAAAGTAAGGTGTAGGTGACCAGTAAGTATTTGTTGAGTAGATGGATTCATTTCTGTAATTTGCTACCATGCCCACCTACCTGTTAGCATCTGCAGTGACATACTGGCCTTCCTGCCAGTTCTTATAGATAAACTCTCCAAGGGCAGACCTTCCACTTGTATTCGTCTTCCAAACTCCATCACCTCTTGCCTGCTAAGACAAGCAGTTCTCTCCTCTCCTGCATCATCAAGTTTTCCCCTCTTCTGGGTCATTCCCCTCAGTAACAAACATACCATAGTTACCATCTCTGTTTCTCTCTTTCCTTTTACAACTCAGGAGTTGTCTAAGCCATACACCTGTGACCAATTGATGTGTGACAAGGTTTCCAAGTTTGTTCAATGGGGAAAGAAAAATCTTTTCAACAGATGATGCTGGAATAACTGGATTTCCACAAGCAAAAGAGTGAAGCTGGACCCCTAACTCTCACCATATACAAAAATTTACTCAAAATGGATCAGTGACATATCTAAACATAAGAACTCAAACCATCAGACTTTTAGAAGAAACATAGGAGTGTACTTCATGACCTTTAATTTGGCAAAGGGTTCTTAGACAAGACACCAAAAGCATAAATAACAAAAGATAAAACATAAATTGGACTTCATCAAAATTAAAAATATTTGTGCATCAAAGGACATTATCAAAAAAGTAAGGCAACCTACAGAATGGGAGAAAATACTTGTAAATTATATATCTGATAAGGGATTAATATCCAGAATATATAAATAACTACAATTTAACAAAAAGTCGAATTAAAAATGGGCAGAGCAGTTACTAATTTCTCCAAAGAAGATACACGAGTGGCTAACATTTTGAAAAGAGGCTCAAAATCATTAGCCATCAGGGCAATGCAAATTAAAACCATGATGAGGTAACACTTCACACTTACTAGGATGGCTCTAATTTTTAAAAAGTGGAAAATAAGTGTTGGCAAGGATAGAAATCAGAAACCAGAATGCACTGCTGGTGGGAATGTAAAATGGTGCAGCCACTGTGGAAAACAGTTCAGCACCCCCTCAAAGAGCTAAACATAAAATTACCATATGACCCCTCAATTCTACTTTTAGATTTATAGTCAAAAGATTTGAAAGTAGGGACTTAAACAGATATTTACATGCTCATATTAATTGCAGCATTATTCACAGTAGCCAAAACTTGGAAACAACCCAAGAGTCCATTGACAAGTGAATGGATGAAGAAAATGCGTCATATATGGGACAGTGGCCATATATTGCCATAAAAGGAATGGAGTTTTGATACAACATGGTGAGACTTGCAGATGTTATGCTAAGTGAAATAAATAGACACAAAAGGACAAATATACAAATATATGTTCCACTTACATGAAATACTCAGGTAAGTTCCCTACAGAAAGAATAGCAGTTACTAGGTGCTGGGGGTGGTGGAAGTGGGAAGTTATTGCTAATGGCTATAGAGTTCTGTTTGGGATGGTGAAAAATTTTGGAAATAGTGGAGATGTGAAGGGGTGGCCTGCCCCTCCACACTTGTGGGTATTTCTAGTCGGGTGGGATGAGAGACGGAGAAAAGAAATAAGACACAGAGACAAAGTATAAAGAAACAACAGTGGGTCCAGGGGACCGGCACTCAGCACACCAAGGACTTGCACCGGCACCGGCCTCTGAGTTCCCTCAGTTTTTATTGATTATTATTTTCATTATTTCAGCAAAAAGGAATGTAGTAGGAGAGCAGGGTGATAATAAGGAGAAGGTCAACAAAAAACGTGAGCAAAAGAATCTATGTCATAATTAAGTTCAAGGGAAGGTACTATGCCTGGACGTGCACATAGGCCAGATATATGTTTCTCTCCACCCAAACATCTCAGCAGAGTAAAGAACAACAAGGCAGCATTACTGCAAACATGTCTCGCCTCCCGCCACAGGGCAGCTTTTCTGCTGTCTCAGAGTTGAACAAATGTACAATCGGGTTTTACACTGAGACATTCAGTTCCTAGGGGCAAGCAGGAGACAGTGGCCTTCCTCTATCTCAACTGCAAGAGGCTTTCCTCTTTTACTAATCCACCTCAGCACAGACCCTTTACGGGTGTCAGGCTGGGGGACAGTCAGGTCTTTCTCATCCCACGAGGCCATATTTCAGACTATCACATGGGGAGAAACCTTGAACAATACCCTGCTTTCAAGGGCAGAGGTCCCTGCAGCTTTCCGCAGTGCATTGTGCCCCTGGTTTATTGAGACTAGAGAATGGCAATGACTTTTACCAAGTATACTGCTTGTAAACATCTTGTTAACAAGGCACATCCTGCACAGCCCTAGATCCCTTAAACCTTGATTTCATACAACACATGTTTTTGTGAGCTCCAGGTTGGGTCAAAGTGGCTGGGGCAAAGTGGCTGGGGCAAAGCTACAAATTAACAACATCTCAGCAAAGCAACTGTTTAAAGTACAGGTCTTTTTCAAAATGGAGTCTCTTATGTCTTCCCTTTCTACATAGACACAGTGACAGTCTGATCTCTCTTTCTTTTCCCTACAGAGATGGTCACATAACATTGTGAATGTAATTAATGCCACTGAAACAAAGTGGCTTTAATTGCAAAAAAGAAAATGAAAAGGCAAGACATAGTGGGGAAAATATTAGCAAAGCGTATTGTCTGATAAAGGACTTTTATCTAGAACACATAAAGATCACTTAGAGTCTCAAGAATAAGAAGACCCCCCTAGAAGATTTAAACTGGACAAAATATTTGAACAGATGTTCCACCAGAGAAGATGAATGGCAAAAAAAACAAGCAAATGGAAAGACAAAATCATGAGATGCCATTAGACACCCACTAGAATGGCTGTAATTTAAATGGTTTCCAAGGATGTGGAACAACTGGCACTGTGATTTAGTGTTAGTGAGAATGTGAACTAGTGCAACCACTTTGGAAAACAAGTTGGCAGTTCTTAAAAAGTTAAAACATACGACTTAACATTTGAGTCAGCCATTCTACTTTTGAGCATTTACCCAAGTGAAGTGAAAACAAGTGTCCATACAAAGAATTGTTACACAAATGATCCTAGCAAGTCTGTTTATAATAGCCAATAATTGGAAACAACCCAATGTCCATCGACAAGTGAATGCACAAATTGTTGTATATTCAAACAATTTAATACGACTCAACACCAAAAACCAATAAACTGGATATATGCAACAGGCTCCAGGGGAGTCAAGATTTCCCCTTAGTTATGGTTGGAGAGGGTGTTACTGGGCTTCACTGTAGGGGTGACTTGGGAGCAGTGAAAGGATCAAATTGCCCAGCCCTGACTCCACATGTGAATCCTCATGGTGCCCTGGAGGAGGCAGTGCTGCTGAGGTAGGCACTTCCCTCGCTGCCACATTCCTTCTGCTCCTCTTCTCTCTGACCCTCAGAGGTCAAGTGGGACACCCTGGAAAGGGAAGCAGCTGCCCACAAGGCCAGTACCCTCCCCAGTTTTTTTAGGTAACAATCTGAAAGGACAAAGCCACAGGGCACTACTTGGTCCAGCAGGGGCTTGTCAGGTAAAACGTCCAAAGAGAGGAAAGGGAACAAAAGTTTTTTTCTTTAGTTACCTAGAATTACAATTTATTCTAAAGATTTTACTTAAAAGGAAAAAAAGGGACTGATTATCTTGGGGCGGAGCAGCCATACTAGAGAGTGCCCGCTTCCCGCCTCCCTCTGTTGCTCTTATCAACCAGAGACTAAGAAAACTTCAGCTTCAGGGGGCTGAAAACCTAAAACAAATGAAAGAAAAATAGGAAAAAAAATAGGAAAGAAAAAAAGACTGTCGCATTAGGCAGCTAGCTACAAGTCAAAAGTGGGAAAAAAAGAGGAACTTCAAGGACTAAGCTAATGCCAGTGTAGCAAACATAATGCTAGCCTCAGATCACCTATTGACTTATGAACAAACCTCTGGATACAGGAGAAAGTAAAAGATAAATAATATGTTTATAGATAATATTTTGATGTAAATATATAATTAAATATTAGGTATTTTCCATAATCAAATCCAGTTAGAAATTAAAACTTCATATATTTATATACTGAAGAATTTATGTAACAAAGGCTTTTATGCTTCTACAACATAGGTTCTAACTTTAACATTGGTTAATATGCACTAATTGAAAAAAATTCATGAACTTAATAAGCTGGCGCTCAAATTACAAGCCTGGGGATTCCACTAAATTCCACTGCTCCCATAAGCTTGAGAAGATAACTACATATGAAATTTTTTAAAATGAGTATGCCTCACTTTAACTGTAGCCTTGCCCAAGTTTCTCATAGTCATGTATCTGTTGCTGTAAAATATACTATATTGGGCCTAGATGGAAGCTCTGACACAATAAACAATTAAAGTAAGTCTTTGGCACTTAAAAACTTGGTAAAATGCAACCCCGTGAACCTCCAGTTAAGATAATTTATGTGATCCAATATAAGTTGAAACAAGACATTCAATGATTAAAACTAATTTTATAAAATAAATAAAGAGGTGATTATCCTCACTGCTGCTTTCAACAGCCCAATTTTTCTGTGTTTCCAAATCTGAAAAAAAAAAAATTTATAAATACATACACACACACACACACACACACACACACACACACACACACACACACACATATAGAAAGGGCACCTCATGATGATGGATTACTACAACCTTAATGCTGTGGTCCCATCCATTAGGGCTGACATAGTCAATACCTAATTCATTTAAATTGCTAATTTTATTCAGTTACCTGGTAAATCGTTTGCTCTTAAGGGTTTGGCTGAGGGTTCTGTTTAGTGCCTATTTCCATTGCCTCTCAGCTTCAGTTTACCTCCCCTTCTGCAGGGACCCAGTGCAGCCTTCCAGACAGCCTAGGAGGTCTCCCTGGCTCTGTTATTGCACATGACCTTTGCGGACAAGATCTTAGCAACATCCCCCTTCTCCAGGAGCGGGGGGAGGATGTCCTCCTCCAGGAGATTCATGTAATACTTTAAAGTACTTTAGTACTTTTGAGTACTGGTGGAAATGTATTCCTCATTTACAAATTTTACTTTAAAGTCATTAGACACTCCTGTGAATGGCGTCAAAAAACTCCCCTGGAGAAGCTTTGGCAGCCTTTTGCAATGCCTCCTGGAGGCTTTGGACCATTTAGGATGGCCATTAGTTGCCCAGAGCTGCTGATATAAGATATTACCCCCTTGGTCTCCTGGTATCCACCATTAAAACAACAAAGGATCGCTGCCTACTGGGCTGTCTTGGAAATGGGAGACTTTGAGAGTCCTTGAGCCTGTTACCCTCCAGACCCAGCTGCCCCTTATGCTTTGCGTCATGGAAACTGCAGCTTACAAGGTTGGCACAGCTACCTAGGCCTCCTTAAGGCAGGATGGATTAAAACCTGGGCCCCTGATACTTCCACCTGTCGGAGTGGGCAGCTTTCTCTGGCCCAAGTCCCTTGCCAAATGCCAGGAGCTCATTCGTCCCCCACACTCCCTGACTGCCTGGGAATCCCCTTGGGGTTAATGGAGTGAACAGTAATGGGAGTCGTAGACCATGCAAACGTCACTGCTAATCATCCCTGGTGAAGCTTACGGAAAGCTGTTGCTTTCCATCCCTTAGCCAGGATATCCCTAAAAAAGGACAGGACCCCAAAACCACCGCTGGCCAAAACTTAAGGCAGTCAGCACGGGATGTCCTGGTCAACAACTGGCTTCATCTTCATATTTATTGTAAATCTGAAAACTGTCCCCTTCACATCAAACAAACCCTCTAGGAATCTCTTGCATCACAGACACCCAAAGTATTAAAATCACTTATCTCCACACAGACTAAGGTCAAAATGTAGCGCCTTGCTAGGACATTCCTTGTTCCCTTCAGAGTTAACAGATTTTACTAATAACACCCAAGGCATGTGTTTTACTTCTTAGAATACACCACCCTTGGCTCTTGAAAAAGACATTGAATAGAACTTTCATGTCCCTGATAGGTCCCAAGTAACTAGTTTAATTGAAAGATGTAATGATGTCCTCAACTCCTTGAAATTCCAGTACCACAGATAAACTCCTGAAGTTTTCTAGTTTGTCCCGGGCTTTATCTATTATTGTGCTTTTTTTTTTCTTAAATCTTGTCCCCATCCGGTGAGGGCTGGAAGCCAGGTTGAGGAGGTGTCCTGTCCTGGGGCTCGTTAACCACAGATTGTCCTGCAGGCCAGGCAGCTGCTCATTGGATATGGAACACATTTTGGGTGATGGCAGAGCCCTCAGGAATGGGATTAATGCCCTTATTAAAGAGGACTGAGGGAGCTTGTTTGTCCCTTCCACCATCTGAGGACACAGCAAGGAAACAGAGGGTCACAGCGTCTGTGAACCTGGAAATGGGTCCTCGGCAGGCACCCAATGTGCCAGTGCCTTGATCTTGGACTTCTCAGCCTCCAGGACTGTGAGAAATACATTTCTGTTGTTTACAGGCCACCCACTTCATGGCATTTTGTTATAGCAGCCTGAATGGCCTAAGACAGGTGTTCAGGTCAAGGTTTGGTTTTTTAGCTTTTGTTTATTTTGCCTATGGATGTCCAGTTGCCCAATCACCATTTGATGGAGAGGCTGGCTTTCCTCTCATGAATTGCTTTTGCACGTTTTCAAAAATCAGTTGAGCATATTTGTTTGAGACTGTTCTGTCCCATTGATTAATAAGTCTATCCCTTTGCCAATACCATATGGAATTTATTAGGTATGCAGTAAGTGTTAGAGTTGGCATTCTTGTTTTTCAAAATTGCATTAGCTGTCCTAGTTCCCTTGCTGTCCATATACATTTTTATTACAAGATAAACATGCACTTCTTATTATTTCAAAGTACAGTAGTAAGAAAACCTCAGAGTAGCTTCATCACAAATACTGAGCTACAGTTACTGGGAAATCCAAACAGTCCTGCATCAGAACCTGTTTTCCTGATTAACCCAATAATAAAATAGAGCAAAGCCTTTCTTGCTAAACAGGTTTCACTTTCTTTTTATCATCCTAGTCTCTGTGGCTTGGTAACAAGAAAACTTAATGTGTTCACATTTATCTCTTCATAGCAAGTGTCTATGACATAGTTTGGTGGGGAAGAAATGAAAACCCAAGCACAGAAATAAGGGCTTGGTGAGGTTCAAAAACTCCAAAATTTTCATTCTAACTAAATGAGTTGGGTATATATTTCCATTGTCAATGAGAGGGGAAGGGATATTTTAAATGAATCATATATGGAGAAAGAATGAATGGACGCAAATGCACTTATGCTTGCCTAGTTCTTGGAAATAATATTTTTATATACAAAGAATCAGGATCATCAAATCACCATCTTCATCACTTCAATTTTCTTAAGCATGATGACAGCCTCGTCACTGTCCTTTAATTTGAAATTTGTTAACTGTCTTCTAATTTGAAATTTGTTAAGCATGAGCATATGCTTAAGTGCTGATATCTTTCATTTGAAATTTGTAAAATTATAACTGGGACGAGGAGGTCTTTAGAAAATACTGTAAGAATGTTAGATATTTTGTAGGAATGTGAGATTAAATTCTCTAACACAAGTTTTGAGTTAAAAAAAATCCTCATTTCTTACTGAAGAATTTAAAACTGGTTATGTATTTACATATATATTTTAAAATTACCTACACTATGAAAAGTTACCTTTAGTATTTATGCATTGTTTTATGAACATAAAACAAGCGAAACTGAGTATGTTGAATGAAAATTTAGAATTGAAACATCCCATTCCTGATGAATATGAATTACTAAAGTTTTAGTCTAAAATGACTAGATGATATAATGATATATAGCTTGAGAACTGATAATAGCAAGTAAATGAAAGTCAATTTATTCAGAGAATTGAATGGGAAACTAAAACCATTTAAGCCTTTTCTATAAAAAACCATCAGCTTTATGAATCACCAAATTAAAGAATAAATATACTAAGATAAAAGTTTCCCCATTATATTACAGAGAAAACCATGTTCTGAGCTATGGACTTTTATACCTGGATGTCTAATCTGAGGCCATCAAAAGAACTCACTCATAGATCAGTTTGCCTCATTTCATGGTCTGCCTTGGATTCCCCCACACCCACTGATCCAAAGTCTGTGGAATAGGGAGGCACCTTCCAGCAAAGAAGGCAGACATGAAAGTGTACATTGTGATCTCTCTGTTACGAAGTTGAAGAACTGGCCAAACTGATGTATGTTAATAGGAATCAAAACAGGGGCTGCGTGTGGAGGGGTGGACGATGTTATTTGAAAAGTTACAGGACAGATTTTCTGTGTTAATGGACATGAGCCATACATTGAGAGGGCTGCTGGCTACTGAAAGAAATATAAAATTTTAAAATTTCTGAAATCATGCAGTTAACATCTGCACACTTCACTATATTTTAAGTTTTTGTTAATATAAAAGAATAAGAAAACAGAAAAGTATTACTGTTAAACAATAATAGAGAAATGTATACTTTATTTACAAATTTCTCCCTCTAGCTGATCATACAGTTGACCAGTTCAGGGTGCCCGCTGCTGGTTGGATGCCAGGCGGAATGTCAGGGTGTTCTCTGGTGTCTGTTGTGGCTGTGGGATCCACGGTTACTGGGCGGAGCCCTGTGGTGGCTGTGGTGCCATGGAGGGGCTGCGATCTTCTGTGGAGCTGGACCCTGAGCTGACTCCAGGGAAGCTGGATGAGGAGATGGTGGGGCTGCCACCCCATGACGCGAGTCCTCAAGTCACTTTCCACAGCCTCGATGGGAAGACAGTGGTGTGTCCACACTTCATGGGCTTACTGCTGGGTCTCTTACTTTTATTGACTTTGTCTGTTAGGAACCAACTCTGTGTAAGAGGTGAAAGGCAGCTTGCAGAAACACTGCATTCACAGGTGAAGGAGAAATCCCAGCTCATTGGCAAGAAAACAGATTGTAGAGACTGAGGCATCTTTAAAAGATGTCAGGGTACAGAAAAAGTCTTTCAACACCCCCGGCTTTGTAGATGCCTACAAGAAGGTGAATAGCACCAACGAGATGCTGATGGAGAAATTTACCACCCTCGTTCAAGAACTGAAAGAAGAGACATCCTCCAGACTCTCCAGGCAACAAGAGGAGCTGGTAGAGATGCTAACAACGCTGGAGGCCCTGGGAGAGGCCATGAGAGCCACCCCGTCACAAGGAGCTTTTCCACACCTGCCATGCAGCTGAGAGCCAAGCCCTGCTGCTCTCTCCCCCACGAGGGGGCTGGGTCTTAGAGCAGCACTGTTCTTTTCCCCTCCACCCAGGCCTCCCGAGCTGCCAGGCTCTGTGCTCCCACACTGACTCCATCTGAGGGGTCCTTGAGGCCAGTGGATCTGGAGTACCCCGCCCCTGGCCTGGAGTTCCTCCTCCTTCTCACGCTGACACTGCAGCCAGCTCCTCAATGGGCGGTGCCTCCAAATCTAAAGAATATGGAGGTCCTGGAGCACACCAAGAAATGAGGGACTTTTTCTTTGCAGAAAGTTTGAATTCTGTCTTAATGAGACAGAATGCCATACTTGAGCACCTCATCTTTTGCTCAAATTGAAATGTCATCGAACTGTATTTCTCAAGTCAATGGTCTGTAAATATGATTTATGTATTAATCTCCTAAGTGAACAATTTATATTTTATCCTCTACATAATTATCGTATTATGCTTTAAATATATATTTAGTTTATCAATAAAGACATTCAGTACTCAATAGCAACTTTTTTCTGGAGTTTTATTCCCAACAGTTCTAAGTCGTAAGTTAAAGTGCCAGTTTTTGGCCTGAGTATTTGTTGAAAAATGTTATGCAAAGGGAGATTTATTGGGGGGATAAAGTGAAAGGAATGTTTAGAGAGAAGATTTTTTTTTTTTTTTTTTTTTTTTTGGAGATGGAGTCTCGCTCTGTTGCCTAGGCTGGAGTGCAGTGGCGTGATCTCGGCTCACTGCAACTTCTGCCTCCCGGGTTCAAGCAATTCTCCTGCCTCAACGTCCCAAGTAGCTGGGATTACAGGCACATGCCGCCACAGCCAGCTAATTTTTTGTATTTTAGTAGAGACGGGGTTTCACCATGTTGGCCAGGCTGGCCTCGAACTCCTGAGCTTAGGCAATCCACCTGTCTTGGCTTCCCAAAGTGCTAGGATTACAGCCGTGAGCCACCGCGCCCAGTGAAGAGATTTTTTTTTTAATGTTTATTTTAGGTTTGGGGGTACAGGTGAAGTTTTGTGACATAGGTAAACAGGTAACATGTGGGTTTGTTTCATCACCCAGGTATTAATCTTAGTACCCGATAGTTATTTTTTCTGCCCCTCTCCCTCCTCCCACCCTCCCCCCTCAAGTAGACCCCTAGAAATTGAAAGCCTTCTAATCGACTCCAAAGTTAAAAACAGTAACATCAGATACTTTCTTCCAGTACAATTGCTGTGTAGGTGGAGAGATGGATTTCTGGTATTTCCTACTTCTCCATCTTCACAGAATCTTTATTTCATTCTTTTAAATAATTTCTGTCTCATTGATGATGCATTTTGTTCATATGTCATTTTCCCAATTTTTGTCAGTTCTTTGTGTTTTACTTTAGGTCTTTGAGCATATTTCAGATAGTTCCTCTAATGTCTTCATCTAGTGAGCCAAATGCTGAAAGCCAGTAGGGATTTACTTCATTCCTTTGAAGGGATCATAGTTTTTTTGTTTGTTTGTTTTTGTTTTGTTTTGTGTTTTTAATCCTTTGTGGTATTCATTTGAAAACTGGGCATGTGAGAAAACAAACACCTCTCTCAGTCTTTGCAGATCGGTGTAAAAGATCTTCACTAATCAGCAGGCCCTTGAGTTTTAGGATCAGCTTGTCTTCATGGGTATTTTCTGGGAATGTGTCCTTCCAGGGCCTTAGTGTGCCTTTTCCTCCCCAATTTCTCTCATATAGACGGCTGCTTAGATGTCTTAATTTTCCAAAGAGTCTCACCCCAGCTGCTTTTTGGGCCTCACATGTTCTATTATATCCTTCTGCCCATAATTTCTGTGCCTAGACATACATATATCTGCTTTCCCCCTGCAGTTTCCATGTGGCATGGTGCCTACCACTGCCTTCCACTGTTTCTACAGCTTAAGATCCACACTGAGCCTTGAGTCTGGCAAGACAGAAACCAGTCCCTCTGGGTGCCCACAAATAGCTTTGAATGTGGCAAATATTCTCTATTCTGCTTCTTCTGGTTTGAGGGAGAAAACTGGGAATTGGGCTGCTTACTCCTAACTGCCTCATGCCTCACTGGTGGGGCAAGAGCAAGTGAAAATGCCATAAAATTTCCTATGTATATATTTAACGTTTCCATTAGGAACAAGGGCTGAAGCTTCCTAGTCGTCCATCTTTTTTATGTCATTCCTCAAAACTAATGTAAATCTTGTAACTGTGTATGAAGTGTTTATTATCAAATACTACCAGTTTTCCCTTAAATCTTATCAATGGAAGGTACCTCTATAAATTCCTTAGCTTTATTTCTTGCTTCTAAGTAAGACTGTACATGATAATGACACCTGTTAAGTTAAAATCTTGGAAATCTTTGAGCAAGGGTATACAAGCATGACCCTAGGCTCTCTGAAAATTTTCTCTCTTCTTTCCAGACCTATTTGAAACCTTGTTTCTCCATACTAGTGATGCTAACTCTAAAGGTAACCAGATACAAATAAGAGTTTACAACCCAGCTCATAATCCACATCCATTAATCAGGACCGTGCCCTATTTGGTGTTTTTCTCTATATATCTTTTAACCCCTTTAATTTCTGCTTTGAACAACTTTCTGAACTTACATCTGTGTGGTGCATTCTTCCTTTGCCAGTAAGCAGTAAATTCAGTTTTGTTTTAAAACTGCTGTTTGGCCACCCTTTTTATGTTGCTTCTTACATGCCTCATATCTTCATGGCACTTTTACAATTACTCTCCAATTGATCTTCTAACTGGTGGTTATAATAATGCTTTTTCCAAGACCTTTAAGCTTAATTTTCCTTCCCCGAGGAGACAAATACAGTATGTTCTACCCACTTTGGAAATAGAAAACCTAACCTGGCAGTACAATGGTTAAATTATAAAATCCAACATATAGCCTCAAAACAGAAGCTGTTCTTCTGTCCACATCTAAAATTTAGGGCTTCTTATTCATCTTCTCATTTTGCTCTGCAAATGCTCTGTGGTCGATTAGTTTAAATTTACAGACAAGTTGCTAAAATAGTTCAAAGACTTTCCATATGCCTATTACTTTGGGGCTCAATCCAGGCTTTCCATCTTGCTTATCTATACCTATTTCACACTCCAAACATGTAAAACCCAGCTCCCACTCTTCATCATACCTTTACTTATTAATTCAGCCTCAGTATATACATAAAGTGTTTTCAGAATTGTTAACCTGTACTCCTACAAGAAACAAATTTAATTACTAGAATTCAGTGTTTACATAGAGGGTTTTTGTCTTGAATATTAGTTTCTCATGTGATTTCAGTTTTGCAGTCAATATTATGTTGTTAAAACATTTGAGGATTATTCTTAATTAAGCAGAGTATTGATATAATATTAGGAATATATTCTATAATGGAATAAGATATAATGTATCCCTATTCTGTCTTTGAGTCTGAGTAGAACTTTCCTTAATGATCCCACTCAGCAACACCACTTTCAAATATACTATTTAATCTTCACAGCCATAGAGATCATTCTCATAAAGCATTTTCAATGGATCTGTTGAAAATAAACAGATAATGTTTTTGGTGCCAGGCTACACTTTTATTATCTCATTTAATCTCCTTTAAAATATTTTTAAAGTTTCATTCTAGCTTCATCAATGGGTATAACTTATACGATGGCAGAATTAACCCCAATGTTATGAACCATTTCTAACAGTGAGAGACTTCCTACAATTGAGAGAGTAAGATCTCTGTAACCAGATATATAATTAAGTAGAGGCTGAATGATCATCTTTCAAATATTAAGTTGTGACAAGAATCCTACAGGAAGTAGAAAATTACACATCATATATGATTTGTTATAATGTAAACTCTGAGCTCTAGAGTTGCTTAAAGAAATATACAGAACAGAGGTGGGTGAAATGGGATAAACTGTTATCCTTTACTTAAGTCTCAAATTAAAGCCTGTCATTTTTCAAGACTAACTTACTATCCTGATGGAGAATATATCTGTTTTTCTTTAAAATGTGTCTGTGTACTACTGAGAGGCACCACGGATATGACAAAGAACCCAATTCGAATCTATCTGTGGGATCCACAACTACTGTCTGAGCTCCTCTAATATACTGAGCTCCTCTAATAACATGTGAAACAGTTAAACTATTAAACACAAAAACTGAAATACTTACTGATTTTTTTTTCACTGAAGCAGTAGCCTACCAATATAAGCAGGCTTTGAAATGGTGTGATAATTTTTGGATTCTGAATAAGATCTAATATAAATATATAATACTATTCTTTCATTTTGTCGTATTCATTTGGGTTATCAAGTAAATAAGAAACCAAAATGTTAATGCTATTCAGAAATATTAGAAGCTGATACAAATTCCAAAAAGTAAGACAAATTGTCACATAAAAAGAGGCATATGATTAGAGATGATGGTGACTATAATGAAAATTCATCAGTCTCAGGGCCAAAAGAGAAAATAAGACAATATGAAGATACTGGATTCCTAACATTTAATATTTACAAGAAATTTTTCACATAATACTTTTCAATGTTCCTCTTAACTAGTGTCAGTGAAGTAATTATCATTTTAACTAGTATCAATTAAACTTAATTTTCAGGAAAACATTCCCACACAGCATAAGTTCTTTGAGTTTATAAACAATATCTTTCATAGTTCACCTAAATCTGGTAAATCGCTTTGTAGCCTCACTAGGTTTAATAAATGTTATATAAATAAATACTTTGTTCTGATCTCTTCCACACATTTCTAGTTTTAATATGAAAAAAGGTAAAGCAAGATACTCTCTTTTTTAAATTAAATTCCTTTAACTGGAAGTGTAAGAAATGTATGGAGGTGACTTTTCTCTATTAGAGGATCATACAGAATAGACTTGCAAATAATACGACACTTAAAGAACCATACATTTTCAAAACATGCAGAGCACAAGTTTTGTTTAATTGATTTTACATCACACCAGAAAGCATTACAGGGACACTGGCGAATAGAAGTAAGCTGGAACCTCATCACAGAGCTCCTTTCTTACCCTCAGCAACAAAAAGGCTTGATCTTAGAAGTTCAAAATTGTTCCATATGGTAAAGACACATTCTGAAAATAAATCAACAAGTAATTATAATTTTTTTATTTAATTCAACTTCTAATATACACACATACAAACCTTTCTGAAATGTTCAGTCTTGTGCATGTGTTGATGTTGAGGCGTATCTTCCACTAATTGAAAGGCATTTTTCAAAATATTATCTAGAGCTCTTTTCAAAAATCAATGATCTTTCAATCCTAAAATATTCTTTTTAGCTGAACATTGACAATGACTCCCTCCGTGTTCAAACTTTAGCTAGGCTTCTCTACGCCCTCTTCTCAACTAGGCCTCATCCTTGGCCTGCCTTAAGCAAAAATCCTACTAAGTCAGTTTAGCGAGAATCTCTCATGCTTGATATCTAACCAAGTTTCTCACCCCTCGCCGTTAATGTCTAAGTCCTTAATCTGCCTCTAAGAAGAATCTTGTTAGGCCGGTTAAGCAAGAATCCCTCTACACTTGATATCTCCTCTTAACAATTTTCCATCTGCTGACCCCTTCACTCTGCTCTTTGTCTATAAATTCTTAGCTTTCCTTGCTGTACTTGGAGTTGAATCTCCCTCTTCTATTGCAATGGTCTTTAATAAAGTCTTCCTTACCATGTTTATCAAGTGTCAAAAATTTTTCTTTAGCATTATGAGACTGGCTCTTATGGACTTTGTCCTTGTGATGGAGTATATGCTAGAGGTTAAACTCATTGTCTGTAGAGTCCAATCATCTAGTTACCCACCCTTTATCTGTTGCTTATGAGCTTTATGTCCTTAAGCAAGTTAGATGAACTTGTGTCGTGATCCTCGATGATGAATGTGTGCTCTGAACTGATAGACTTAACTATGAGAAGATGAGATCTCACAGGCGAGATTGTATCCACACATACATTTTACCACTGTGACCTCTGCCCAAACTGAAGGGTTTGAGAATTCTGTGCTCTTTGCAAGCAAAGTATGCCTGTAATTGTGGGGTGTGGGGGGCGGGTAAAGAAATGTTGACCATGAGCACCCAGCCTGTAAGCTTACCATCTGCAATTTGGGTACATGACTGGCTGGCTAGGAAGGTGATAAAAGGGTTAGGAAAAGACAGCAATCAAAAGGCCTTTTCTGAGTTTGAATCTGTGAATTCAGAGACTTCAGTCTTTGTCTCAGTGAAACTCTGAGTGGGAGTTCCTGCCTTTAGATTTAAACAATGATAAATGAAAGTTTCAGGCTTCATGCACCAAGATCTCACTCAGTTAAAAGTTATGAGTTCCCTGAATTTTAGTGATCAACACCACTTATTCCTTGGCCCAATGGCTCAATAATTTTGTTGAAAATTCATATCCTATATCCTTTAAGTTATAATTAATGCCCACAACCTATTAAAATTTAATTTTATTTGCCACCCCAGTGCTCATTGACATAGATAAGAACACAACACACTGAGAACCATTTTTAAAATCAGAAGTAGGCAGTTGCCCCTGCATCATAACAATAACTCTATAATCAACTGGTACCTAGGAACTCCCCAGTGAACATACCTTTTGTCTCTGCACCTGGAATCATGGCCCCTGTGCAAAATGTTAGCCACCAACTTATGAAGGGAGAAAAGAAGTTCCTCAAACCCTCCCCAAAAGTAATCACATGTTCTTCTTGAAAAAGAAAATGGGATTTTTGCCTCTAAAAAAGTACTGTGGCATCAAATGGTAACACTATCTTACTAGTCACTTCTGTTGATATCTGATCTCCTGAATGTTTAGGACACTAACAATTTGATTTAAATTACAGATAGTGTAGCCTTAACCAAAACAGTTGGTATTGGTACAAAAACAGACACATAGACCAATGGAACAGAATAGAGAGCTCAGAACTAAGACCACACATCTACAGCCATCTGATCTTCAACAAACCTGACAAAAACAAGCAATAGGGAAAGGATGCCCTGTCTAATAAATGGTGCTGTGATAACTGGCTAGCCATATGCAGAAGCTGGACTCCTTCCTTGCACCTTATACAAAAATTAACTCAAGATGGATTAAAGACTTAGATGTAAAACCCAAAACTATACAAATCCTAGAAGAAAATCTAGGTAATACCATTCAGGATATAGGCATGGGCAAAGATTTCATGATGAAAATGTCAAAAGCAATTGCAACAAAAGAAAAATTGACAAATGGGATCTAATTAAACTAAGGAGCTTCTGCACAGCAAAAGAAACTATTATCAGAGTGAACGGACAACCTACAGAATGGGAGAAAATTTTTGCCATCTATCCATCTGACAAAGGTCTAACATAAAGAATCTACAAGGAACTTAAACAAATTTAAAGAAAAAACCCCATTAAAAAGCAGGCAAAAGACATGAACAGACACTTCTCGAAAGAAGACATTTATGTGGCCAAGAAACACATGAAGAAAAGCTCCACATCACTAATCATTAGAGAAATGCAAATCAAAGCCACAATGAGATACCATCTCACACCAGTCAGAATGGCGATTATTAAAAAGTCAAGAAACAACAGATGCTGGCGATGCTATGGAGAAATAGGAACACTTTTACACTGCTGGTGGGAGTGTAAACTAGTTCAACCATTGTGGAAGACAGTGTGGCCATTCCTCAAAGATCTAGAACCAGAAATACCATTTGACCCAGCAATCCCATTACTGGGTATATACCCAAAGGAATGTAAATCATTCTATTATAAATATATATGCAAATGTATGTTCATTTCAGCATTATTTATAATAGCAAAGACATGGAATCAACCCAAATGCCCATCAGTGGTAGACTGGATAAAGAAAATGTACATATACACCATGGAATACTATGTAGCCATAAAAAGGAATGAGATCATGTCGTTTGCAGGGACATGGTTGGAGCTGGAAGTCATTATACTCAGCAAACTAATGCAGGAACAGAAAACCAATCACCACAGGTTCTCACTTATAAGTGAGAGCTGAACAATGAGAATGCATGGACACAGGGAGGGGAACAACACACAGTGGGGCCTATTGTGGGTTGGGGGAGGGAGAGCATCAGGAAAAATAGCTAATGCATGCGAGGCTTAATACCTAGGTATTAAGGTATTTTCCTCATTCCAAAATCTGTTAATGTACCTTCTACAGCAGTCCTTGCTGAGCCTCCATTCGGTCAAGAGGAACTCAAAGGAGACAATTGTTTGATGTTTGTGTGTTTGGTTGGTTGATTCATTGTTTGGGGTTTGGAAGTGTCTGCACTGGGGCCATGCACTGAGCCACCCCCAAGCCCTTCCTTAAGGCTGTAGGTCTAAGAACATGCACATCGCCCCGAGCAACGACCTCCAGCAGAAGAAAGCAAATGCTGTTTTACTTCAAATCATGGATGCTGCTATCATATAATCTTTGCTAAGCTGCGAAACATGTTTATTTAGCAGATACTGTATGGAATTTTCTGAACACCTCTTTAACGTATGAGGAAACTTGTCCTGCTATGGATGCAATTCAGTTCTTCCTTTTTTATTACTCTTTCAAACATATATATTTATATTAAACTTAGATGATAATCAAAATTTTTTTAAAAAAGGATAAGGATGAAGATAAGGTTGATGGGTGCAGCAAACCACGATGGCACACGTTTAACTATGTAACAAACCTGTACATCCTACACATGTATCTCAGAACTTAAATAAAAAAAAAATTAGAGATAGTGACAAGTAAAGAATGGTGTACTAGAAGGCCCCTTGCCAATTTGAATGGCCTGAACAGCATGAATGGCCCCATACATTTTATGAATAAAATATTATTCTTCCACTGCTTTCTTTCTGGACAGCATTTGTTGATGAATATCCTAATTTATATACCAAAACAGACTTCCCATTTATATTTGGCTTCAGCAGTTCAGATTTGTCTTTAGCAGCACCATCATTAGATCAATCAAAAGAAAAACACATTCAAAAGACTAGAGAAATACTCCCTGTTGTCATTCAGTTTATTTAAAGCATTCATATGATCTCCAGCAAGTTGTCAGCTATTGAGTTTCTCACAATAGAACCAAAGGAATTTTTGAATTTCCAGGGTTCACTGAGTATTCATTCTTAGATCTGACTACCTCATAATCTGGGAGTAGCCTTACCTTTGATGGCAGCCAAAGTCTTTCAAAGACCCTAGACCCTATTCACATTTGCCCTGATTCTGGCCTAATTTGAGCTAATTAGAGTCATTGGTTAAAACTGGCATCCCCTGCTCAATATTAAGGGTTATCCTGCTATCCTGAAAAAGTATTACATTTTACCCCAAAGCTCAGTTGAAAGACTATTCCTGGTCCTACTTCTCCAAGGAGCTATTTTTAGTTGAACCAGTCTAATGACTGGTTCATATTCAAGCAGAAATATTTTCTGTATATCCCTCTGAATAGCTCACTGCCTTCCCAGGTCCTGGTGGCTATTGGATCATTGGTAATTCTGGAGTTGCACAGTTCAATATGGGAGCCACAAGCCACATAGGATTATTCATGTTTAAACTAATCAAATGTATGTAAAATTAAAAATCTAGATTCCCAGTCACACTACCCACATATAAAGAGCCCAAGAGCCACATATGAGTCATACCTCCCATACTGTAGGGCACAGGTGTGGAATATTTTTATATCACAAAACATTCTACTGAAAAGTGCTGAGGAGTCATAATTGCCATGAAAAAGATGGTCTAGGAGGAGGACCATTTAAATGAAGCCAAGATAGCTTGAATCTATTAACTGGGTCTCCTCTGCCAGTAGCTACAGGACCTGGATTAAAAAAAAAAAAATCAACTGCAACCATTTGCATATGGGCTTGGGCATTAGTTTATTTCCCTTGTATCCTCTTCAAACAATAAGCTCCATGGTTCTCAACTCTGGCTGCGTATTAGAATCACACAGAGAATCTGGTTTAATTGGTCTGGGGATGCAAGGCAGAAAACTGGTAGGCTTTAAAAGCCCCAGGTGAGTTCTATTTTGTATTTAGGCTTGAAAAGTACTGATTTAGAAAATGCATTACCTCATTTAATCAAATAAGTATTCTATAAAGGCAGAGCTTCAGTGAAAATAAAACTTCCTCCATGTTTTATAGAAAAGCCTGCTGAATCCCAGACTTAACTAATGGGAATTAAGATAGAGCTGGCATTGTTATCCAGGTAGTTCATAGGGGCAAACTGAGAAGCTGGATTGGATCTAGTTTAGATAACCCTAACAATCACCACCCATTGCAGGTAGTCTTCCATACTACACTAAAACTATAAAAATAATTATAGAAAGAAACATAAAATCCACTTTATTCACAACCCAATTATCGGCAACTTGCAATAACAATTCTGCTATTCATTTCTGCATATATTCTCTCCAAAACCCTCACCAGAGTTATTAATATAGTTCACATTTATGTTACCTTTGGGATCTTTCACAGTTTTAGAGAATAATTGATCACTAGGGAATAATTTCTCCATTTATTTTCTCTTGACAGTTTCATTATGCTGAATTCATGAGTTTTTCTAACCATATAAATTGTTCATTTTTCATTACTATATAAAATGTAAATAATATCTTTACAATGGGAGATTATAAAGGATGGAAACTATTTCAGTCATTTTATTTCACTTTATTTTGTTTGAGTAGAAATCCAATTTTCTTTATTATTTTTTGGCAGAAACATAACTCCAGAATATTTAGATTAATATTACTGCTCATTCCTCTGATTCTTGCTGGGGAAAAATAGGAAAATTTAAGGCATAAAAGAATATTCTGCAAGTCTAAATATTTATGTCAGTGATAACCCAGATTGGGTTTAGGACAATTTTATAGCCAATAATATTTATGCTCTTCAGGGGACAGTAAAAACGCAGTTACAAATACTATTTCAGTGTTATAAAACATTTGATTGGTAAGAATCACATCTTTAAAATTATTAGCAGTTGTATTTTGTGCCATTACAAATTCTACAGAGTATGCTTAACACATATCAGGTTATTGTCATATATTTTTTACATCTTTTCCTTTTTCTAAGTTGGTTATGCATTGTTCAAAAAATTAATATTTTGAATAGGGTGAATATTTTTATTATTTGTGATTTAAAAGATAATTGCATAACTTCTTTAAAATTGAAAAGAAAAGTAATAAAGTAATTTGAAACTTTCAAACTCACCACTGCCTGGTCAGGCCTTCTGTGATCTGGGCCTACCCTGTTGATCCACTGTATTTCCAGCTGTTTTTCAATAAGCACCATCCACACGAGTCAGTATTATTTTCAAAAGGCTTCTATACTTGCAATTTCCTTTCCTGCATTTCTGAATTTGTCATGTTGCTTATCTTGCTCAGAATTTCCTTCATTCTCAAAAGTATGGGTGTGGTACAGATTTTCGGGCAGCAGCATGTAACACTTTAAAGAAAAGTTATGTGTTAATTGAAAAAAAGTTTAATTTTACTCCAGTTGATATAATTTTTATTGTATATGATATCATGGAAAACAGAATGTATGAATAATATAAACAATGAAAATGGAAAATAGTATATAAATCTACCTACCTATTGTTTTTATAGAATGATGCTGTGACATTCTCAACTTAGAGGAGTATAAATATAGATAATGGTTCTCCAACTTTAGCTAGCAACAGAATCGCTCAGACAACTTACTAAAACAGATTTCTGGACCTGAACCCAGAGCTTCTGATTCAGTAGTTCTGGGGTTGCGGCCTAAGAAACTGCATTTCTTAGAAGTTCCCAGGCGATGCCCATGCTGCTAGCCCAGAGACCACACTTTAAGAAGTCTTAATGGAGACATTCAAAAAGTTCCAGTTCACTGGAATTTTGTATTTTGGCATACAAAAAAAATGTATATACTTAATATGCCTATGGTTCTTCAAAAAATCAGTCAGTTTTAAATGAGAGGCCAATTTGTAAACCACAACAAAATTAACTTAGTATCATGGAGGAAATAACAGCAAGTCCATTTTAGGCAGAAGACTCATCTTTAAGCTAATGGAAACTAAGATGGAGTCATAAAATATCTCTTGATTTCAATAATCTTTGTTGCAACATTGTTTGTTACATAGAAAAAACGGGAAACAACCAAAGGGCCTATTTAACAGAGGCTCATAAGCTATGATAGATCTAAATATAAAGGACTTAAAAATAATTTGATTGATTTGGATGTGCTGATACGGAAAGACTTTCAAGATATGATACAAGGCTACAGTAACCAAAACAGCATGGTACTGGTACAAAAACAGACACACCGACCAATGAAACAGAACAGAGGGCCCAGAAATAAGGCTGCACATCTACAACCATCTGATCTTTGACAAACCTGACAAAAACAAGCAATAGGGAAAAGACTCCCTGTTCAATAAATGGTGCTGGGATAACTGGCTAGCCATATGCAGAAGATTGAAACTGGACCCCTTCCTTAAACCTTATACAAAAATTAACTCAAGATGGATTAAAGACTTAAATGTAAAATCCCAAAGTATAAAAACCCTGGAAGACAACCTAGGCAATGCCATTCTGGACATAGGATCAGGCAAAGATTTCATGACGAAGATGCCAAAAGCATGGTACTGGTATAAAAGTAAATACATAGACTAATGGAACAGAATAGAGAACCCAAAAATAAAGCCAAATACTTCAGCCAAATGATCTTTGATGAAACATACAAAAACATAAATTGGGAAAATGACATCCAATTCATTAAATGATGCTGGGAAAATTTGATAGCCACATGTAGAGAATGAAACTGGATCCCTATCTCTCACAATGTACAAAAATTGACTCAAGATGAATTAAAGACTTAAATCTAAGACCTGAAACCATAAAAATTCTAGAAGAAAACCTACATAAAATTCTTCTGGGCATTGGCCTAGGCAAAGAATTTATGACTAAGACCCCAAAAGCAATGATGAGTGGATAAAGAAAATGTGGTGAGTATATATATGTGTGTATATATGTGTGTGTGTGTGTGTGTGTGTGTGTGTGTAGATATGTTGGTGTGTGTGTATATATATAAAAGTTTTATTTATATATGCACATACATATGTGTGTATGTGTGTGTGTGTATGTATATATATATATACATACACACATGCATGGAATACTACTCAGCCATAAAAAGTAATGAAATAATGTCTTTTGCAGCAACTTGGATGGAACTGGAGGCCATTATTCTAAGTGAAGTAATTCGAATCGGAAACCAAATACCACATGTTCTCACTTATAAGTGGCAGCTAAGCTATGTGCACACAAAGGCATACAGAGTGGTATAATGGACACTGGAGGCTCAGAAGGGGAGAGGATGACAGGTGGGTGAGGGATGAAAAACTACCTATTGGGTATAATGCACACAACTCAGGTGATGGGTGCACTAAAATCCTAGATTTCACCACCATACAATTCAGCCAGGGGACAAAAGACCACTTGTACCCCCACAAAGCTATTGAAGTAAAAAAAGAGTTTAGTTGCAGAAAAGATGTGTGATTTCTTTTAATAAATAATAATAAATATACATTTTATATTAAATTATATACACATTTATGTTAATATATTTATATATCTTTATAATTGAATATAATTATATATGTACATATAAAAATATATATATATGACTTTCAGCATAGGATGCATATTACTCTAAACAGGTTTTCTCTTTATGTTATACAAAATGCTTGAGACTAGTTACTTTTTGAGACAGGATTTGGTGAAGGAAAAGTGATTTTAATTATTAATTGTATACTTTTCTATATCATTTGCATTTTAACCATATATATATGCATTATTTCTCATTTTAAAATATCAATAATTCATACCTGCTACAATGACTATCATAAGACAGACAGACAATAACAAATGATGGCAAGGACATAGATAAATGAGAACATTCACACAGTGCTGGTGGGATGGTAAAATGGTACAGCCACTTTAAAAAGTAGTGTGGCAGCTTCCTAAAAATTAAACATAAATTTCCTACACAACCCGGCAATTCCACTAATAGGTATATATCCAAGATAAATGAAAATATATATCCACAAAAAGAATGTCACATGAATGTTCATAGCAGCATCATTCAAAATAGTCTAAAAGTGAAAACAATCCAAATGTCCACCAACTGGTGAGCGGATAAACAAAATGTGGTACAGACTATTCCATTAAAAGAAAAGAATAAGGAATGGAACAAAGCTGGACAGAGAATGACTTTGACGAGTTGAGAGAAGAAGGCTTCAGACGATCAAACTACTGCAAGCTAAAGGAGGAAGTTCGAACCCACGGCAAAGAAGTTAAAAACCTTGAAAAAAAATTAGATGAATGGCTAACTAGAATAACCAATGCAGAGAAGTCCTTAAAGGACCTGATGGAGCTGAAAACCATGGCACGAGAACTATGTGATGAATGCACAAGCCTCAGTAGCCAATTCGATCAACTGGAAGAAAGGGTATCAATGATGGAAGATCAAATGAATAAAAAGAAGCGAGAAGAGTTTAGAGAAAAAAGAATAAAAAGAAATGAACAAAGACTCCAAGAAATATGGGACTATGTGAAAAGACCAAATCTATGTCTGATTGGTGTACCTGAAAGTGACAGGGAGAATGGAACCAAGTTGGAAAACACTCAGCAGGATATTATCCAGGAGAACTTCCCTAATCTAGCAAGGCAGGCCAACATTCAAATTCAGGAAATACAGAGAAAGCCAAAAAGATACTCCTCGAGAAGAGCAAATCCAAGACACATAATTGTCAGATTCACCAAAGTTGAAATGAAGGAAAAAATGTTAAGGGCAGCCAGAGAGAAACACCGGTTACCCACAAAGGGAAGCCCATCAGACTAACAGCCGATCTCTCAGCAGAAACTCTATAAGCCAGAAGAGAGTGGGGGCCAATATTCAACATTCTTAAAGAGAAGAATTTTCAACTCAGAATTTCATATCCAGCCAAACTAAGCTTCATAAGTGAAGGAGAAATAAAATCCTTTACAGACAAGCAAATGCTGAGAGATTTTGTCACCACCAGGCCTGCCCTAAAAGAGCTCCTGAAGGAAGCACTAAACATGGAAAGGAACAACCGGTACCAGCCACTGCAAAAACATGCCAAATTGTAAAGACCATCGATGCTAGGAAGAAACTGCATCAACTAACGAGCAAAATAACCAGCTAACATCATAATGACAGGATCAAATTCACACATAACAATATTAACCTTAAATGTAAATAGGCAAAATGCTCCAATTAAAAGACACAGACTGGCAAATTGGATAAAGAGTCAAGACCCATCAGTGTGCTGTATTCAGGAAACCCATCTCACGTGCAGAGACACACATAGGCTCAAAATAAAGGGATGGAGGAAGATCTACGAAGCAAATGGAAAACAAAAAAAGGCAGGGGTTGCAATCCTAGTCTCTGATAAACCAACAAAGATCAAAAGAGACAAAGAAGGCCATTACATAATGGTAAAGGGATCAATTCAACAGGAAGCAAGTCCTTAGAGACCTAAAAAGAGACTTAGACTCCCACACAATAACAATGGGAGACTTTAACACCCCACTGTCAACATTAGACAGATCAACGAGACAGAAAGTTAACAAGGATATCCAGGTCTTCAACTCAGCTCTGCACCAAGCGGAACTAATAGACATCTACAGAACTCTCCACCCCAAATCAACAGAATATACAATCTTTCCAGCACCACACCACACCACACCTATTCCAAAATTGACCACATATTTGGAAGTAAAGCACTCCTCAGCTAATGTAAAAGCACAGAAATTATAACAAACTGTCTCTCAGACCACAGTGCAATCAAACTAGAACTCAGGATTAAGGAACTCACTCAAAACCGCTCAAGGACATGGAAACTGAACAACCTGCTCCTGAATGACTACTGGGTACATAATGAAATGAAGGCAGAAATAAAGATGTTCTTTGAAACCAATGAGAACAAAGACACAACATACCAGAATCTCTGGGACATATTCAAAGCAGTGTGTAGAGGGAAATTTATAGCACTAAATGCCCACAAGAGAAAGCAGGAAAGATCTAAAATGGACACCCTAACATCACAATTAAAAGAACGAGAGAAGCAAGAGCAAACACATTCAAAAGCTAGCAGAAGGCAAGAAACAACTAAGATCAGAGCAGAATTGAAGGAAATAGAGACACAAAAAACCCTTCAAAAAATCAATGAATCCAGGAGCTGGTTTTTTGAAATGATCAACAAAATTGACAGACCGCTAGCAAGACTAATAAAGAAGAAAAAAGAGAAGAATCAAATAGACGCAATAAAAAATGATAAAGGGGATATCACCACTGATCCCACAGAAATACAAACTACCATCAGAGAATACTATAAACACCTCTACGCAAATAAACTAGAAAATCTAGAAGAAATGGATAAATTCCTCAACACATACATCCTCCCAAGACTAAACCAGGAAGAAGTTGAATCTCTGAATAGACCAATAACAGGCTCTGAAATTGAGGCAATAATTAATAGCTTACCAACCAAAAAAAGTCCAGGACCCGATGGATTCACAGCCGAATTCTACCAGAGGTACAAGGAGGAACTGGTACCATTCCTTCTGAAACTACTCCAATCAATAGAAAAAGAGAGAATCCTCCGTAACTCATTTTATGAGGCCAGCATCATCCTGATACCAAAGCCTGGCAGAGACACAACAAAACAAAAAAAGAGAATTTTAGACCAATATCCCTGATGAACATTCATGCAAAAATCCTCAATAAAATACTGGCAAACCGAATCCAGCAGCACATCAAAAAGCTTATCCACCATGATCAAGTGGGCTTCATCCCTGGGATGCAAGGCTGGTTCAACATACGCAAATCAGTAAATGTAATCCAGCATATAAACAGAACAAAAGACAAAAACCATATGATAATCTCAATAGATGCGGAAAAAGCCTTTGACAAAATTCAACAACTCGTCATGCTAAAAACTCAATAAATTAGGTATTGATGGGATGTATCTCAAAATAATCAGAGCTATCTATGACAAACCCACAGCCAATATCATACTGAATGGGCAAAAACTGGAAGCATTCCCTTTGAAAACTGGCACAAGACAGGGATGCCCTCTCTCATCACTCCTATTCAACATAGTGTTGGAAGTTCTGGCCAGGGCAATCAGGCAGGAGAAGGAAATAAAGGGTATTCAATTAGGAAAAGAGGAAGTCAAATTGTCCGTGTTTGGAGATGACATGATTGTATATCTAGAAAACCCCATCATCTCAGCCCAAAATCTCCTTAAGCTGATAGGCAACTTCAGTAAAGTCTCAGGATACAAAATCAATGTGCAAAAATCATAAGCATTCTTATACACCAATAACAGACAAACAGAGCCAAATCATGAGTGAACTCCCATTCACAATTGCTTCAAAGAGAATAAAATACCTAGGAATCCAACTTATAAGGGATGTGAAGGACCTCTTCAAGGAGAACTACAAACCACTGCTCAGTGAAATAAAAGAGGACACAAACAAATGGAAGAACATTCCATGCTCATGGGTAGGAAGAATCAATAGAATCGTGAAAATGGCCATACTGCCCAAGGTAATTTACAGATTCAATGCCATCCCCATTAAGCTACCAATGACTTTCTTCACAGAATTGGAAAAAACTACTTTAAAGTTCATATGGCACCAAAAAAGAGCCCGCATTGCCAAGTCAATCCTAAGCCAAAAGAACAAAGCTGGAGGCATCACGCTACCTGACTTCCAACTATACTACAAGGCTACAGTAAGCAAAGAGCATGGTACTGGTACCAAAACAGAGATATAGACCAATGGAACAGAACAGAGCCCTCAGAAATAATGCTACATATCTACAACCATCTGATCTTTGACAAACCTGACAAAAACAAGAAATGGGGAAAGGATTCCCTATTTAATAAATGGTGCTGGGAAATGGGGAAACGATTCCCTATTTAATAAATGGTGCTGGCTAGCTATATGTAGAAAGCTGAAACTGGATCCCTTCCTTACACCTTATACAAAAATTAATTCAAGATGGATTAAAGACCTAAATGTTAGACCTAAACCCATAAAAACCCTAGAAGGAAACCTAGGCAATACCATTCAGGACATAGACATGGGCAAGGACTTCATGTCTAAAACACCAAAAGCAATGGCAACAAAAGCCAAAATTGACAAATAGGATCCGATTAAACGAAAGAGCTTCTGCACAGAAAAGAAACTACCATCAGAGTGAACAGGCAACCTACAAAATGGGAGAAAATTTTTGCAATCTACTCATGTGACAAAGGGCTAATATCCAGAATCTACAATGAACTCAAACAAATTTACAAGAAAAAAACAACCCCATCAAAAAGTGGGTGAAGGATATGAACAGACACTTCTCAAAAGAAGACATTTATGCAGCCAACAGACACATGAAAAAATGCTCATTATCACTGGCCATCAGAGAAATGCAAGTCAAAACCACAATGAGATACCATCTCACACCAGTTAGAATGGCGATCATTGAAAAGTCAGGAAACAACAGGTGCTGGAGAGGATGTGGAGAAATAAGAACACTTTTACACTGCTGGTGGGAGTGTAAACTAGTTCAACCATTGTGGAAGTCAGTGTGGCAATTCCTCAGGGATCTAGAACTAGAAATACCATTTGACCCAGCAATCCCATTACTGGGTATATACCCAAAGGATTATAAATCATGCTGCTATAAAGACACATGCACGCGTATGTTTATTGTGGCACTATTCACAATAGCAAAGACTTTGAACCAACCCAAATGTCCAACAATGATAGACTGGATTAAGAAAATGTGGCACATATACACCATGGAATACTATGCAGCCATAAAAAAGAATGAATTCATGTCCTTTGTAGGGACATGGATGAAGCTGGAAACCATCATTCTCAGCAAAGTATCGGAAGGACAAAAAACCAAACACCACATGTTCTCACTCATAGGTGGGAATTGAACAGTGAGAACACGTGGACACAGGAAGGGGAACATCACACGCCAGGGCCTTTTGTGGGGTGGGGGGAGGGGGGATGGATAGCATTAGGAGATATACCTAATGTTAAATGATGAGTTAATGGGTGCAGCACACCAACATGGCACATGGATACATATGTAACTAACCTGCACGTTGTGCACATGTACCTTAGAACTTAAAGTATTAAAAAAAAAGAATAATGTGCTGATAAATGCTAAAACATAGATGAATCTTGAAAACACTACACTACAACTTCTTGTCTGGCACATAAAGAGCTTGGAAGTCATCTCTTCCATTCACATAGTAAGAAAAAAGCTGACCAAACTTAGATCCATATGAGAATTGAGGTCACAGAGCAAACCAGTGCCCCTAAAACTAAAGAAACAGATGAGTAGATACAGAGGAAAATGGCACAGCCTCTGTGGTAAACAGTATGGTGAGTTCTCAAAAAATTAACAATAGAATTACCACATGATCCAGTAATTCCACTTTCATTTATATACCCAAAAGAGTAGAACAGGAACAAATATTTGTACACCCGTTTTTATAGCAGCATTTGTCAAAATAGCCAAAAGGTAGAGGAAGCCCAAGTGTCAGCTGATGGATGAATAATTAAGCAAAATGTGGTATATACATACAATGTAATATGATTCAGTTAAATAAAGGAAGGAAATTCCAACACATACTACAACATGGATGAATCTTGAAGACATTATGCTAAGTGAAATAAGCCAGCCACAAAGAAATAAATAGGTATGATTACACCCACATAAGGTACTTATAGTAGCTAAATTTATAGAGACAAAAAGTAGAATGATGGTTGCCAGGAACTGGGGGTAGGAGATAAGGAATTAATGTTTAATGGGGAGAGTTTCAGTTTTGCAAGATAAAAAACGTTCTGGAGGTAGATGGTAGTGATAGTTGCATAGCAGTGTGAATGTATTTAATGCGACTAAACTGTACACTTAAAAATGGTTAAAATGGCAAACTTTATGTAATGTATGTTTACTAAAATTTTTAAAATAATTTTAAAAATAAACAATATAAACAGTTTTATCTTTAATGAGAATTATTTCTATTTAGTAACAATAGACTTACTATTATTTCTATTTTAATTTCTTCTGTGAATTGCCTACTTATATTCTTTGCCCATTTTCCCGTTAGTTGCCTTTTTTGTTTCATAGAAGCTTTTTGTATAATAGGGTTTTAAAAATCTTTTGATTTTTCTATCAATTCAAGTTTACAGAGAAACTGAAAGAATTCTAGAAGGGATTCCAATCCCTTCTAGAATTTATTCAGTTTTATTCTGTCCTTTTTGCTTTATAATGTTCTCTATGTTCATATGTAGATGTATGTGTTATAAACATTATGTACATATATTTATAAACATGATAAATATTTAATACATAAACTATTATTTTTTCTGAACTATAGAGGGGTAACTTGGAAACATAATGTCTCTTTACCCGTAAAACTTTAGTATTTCTTAAGAAATGATAATATATCATCACAACACAATTACCAAAAATAGGAAATTTAACATTGACTCAACTTACCATCTAATTCATAACCCATATTCAAGTTGCATTTGTCATAATAATGTCCTTTATAGATTTTTTTGGACTAAGATTGAATCTAGGACCATGCACTAAATTTGTGGGTTTTTTTAGTCTCTCTTAATCTGGAATAGTTAATTTATATTTCTTTTTGTGTCTTGACCTACATATTTTTAACACCAGTCTGTAGAATATTTTTCAATTTGGTTTTATCTGAAGTTTTCTCATGGTTACTTTCAGGTTATACATCTTCGGGAGGAGTATCCCAGATGTAATGTTGTGTCCTTCTCAATGGGTTATATTTTTTCAAAATATTGTGATGGCAATTTTGATCATTAGATTGTAATGGTGTCTATTATGTTTCTCTACTGTAAAGTACTTTTTTTACTTTTATAAGTAATAGGTAATTTGGGGCAGATACTTAGTTCCCATAAACTCACCCATTAATTTTTTTAAAAATCTATTGCAATTTTCTAACATGATCATTCTTTTTACCTTTATCAGCTGCCATTCTATTGAAAGAAATAGCTTTTCCTTTTTCCTCCCTCTGCTTCCTTCTCCCTTTTTCTCTCCTTTCCTCACCACCACCTCCTTTTCTTCCTTCTTTTAATTTCATATGAGCAGAGCTCATAGATTTTATTTTGTTCAACTATTTATAATCCATTGGTACTATTAATTACTTCGATGGCTAATCTCTTTAATCTCCTTTTATCTACATTTTCACAGCCTGTTTTGTCTTTTTTAATAAATTGTTCACATTAAAAAAACAGAGTACCCTCAACTATTTTTAAATTGATTTGTTCATTTTCTCAAATAATTAAGTTTTAAGAACACTTTGTATATATTGAATAACAGTTCTTTATCAGATATGTCTTTTGTAAAGATCTTCTCTGTGGCTTATTCTCTTTTAATGTTTTTACAGAGCAGACATTTTTCATTTTAATGAAGTCTAGCTTATCATTTATTTCTTTCATGATTGTGCCTTTGGTGTCATATCTAAACAGTCATTGACACACCCAAGGACACCTAGATTTGTCATCTAGAAGTTGTATGATTTTGCATTTTCTATTTATGTCAGCCATTGAATAATTCTCTTTTTAAAGAATCCCTGATTCATTTTAATGGAGAATAATATTTAGAAATGTAGATTTGGGTGCTAGGTGTGCTCATTCCTATCGATGTGTCATTGCTTTTAGGTTCTCTGAGCAGGAACAGCTAAAGGATGTGTGTGTTTGTATAAACCTGTGGGTTCATGCAGATATTTTCAACTCTAATTCAATATACTACAGGGTTAATCTACTCATTCCTCTCTCCATATTTAAACTTACCTTTTCCAATAATGGGAAAACATGGTGGCTGTTACCCTTAATGTGTTTGCTTGTTTGCTTGAACTTAAAATGCACAAAAAGGATCACCAAGCCATACAGTGATGAAAACCAAACATATGACTAGAGCTCAATATTTATTTGTAGTTCTCATTCTGGGAGTTGAATTTACATGGAGGAATGAATCTTAGTTATTATAACAGGTGAGTTTTGACAATGCCTACAGCTGTGTAACCCACAATTTGATTATGTAACAGAACATTGCCATCACTCTAAGAACGTTTCCTCATACTCCTTTCTAATCAAGTTCTATTAGTACACACTCCTTATAGTAAAAAACTGCTAAACAATTTTTCAAAGTAGTTGTACCATTTTACACCCTTACCAGCAATAAGAGTTACTGCACATTCTCATCAACATTTGGTATTGTCACTTTATAACTTTAGCCATTCTCGTGTGTGTGTGTGTGTGTGTGTGTGTGTGTATAATAGGAGTACCTCACTGTGGCTTTAACTTGCTATTCACTGATGACTAATGGTGAATACTGTTTACATGCATTTTCATCATTTGTGTGTCCTTTGTATACCTTCTTTTTGTGTATCTGCTTTTAGAAAAAATATACTCAATTTTTGAGTGTCATTTTAATATTAACATAAAAGTTCTTTACATATTCTGCAGAGAAGTCTATTATAAGCTATATGTATTATAAACACTTTTTCTCCATTCATAGCGTGCTTGTTTGCTTAATGCTGTCTTTTTATGTGTGAAGTTTTTAATTTTGATCAAGTCTAATTATCGAGCTTACTTTAATGGTTACTAATTTATTTCCCATCAGTAAGGTCGCAAACTTATTCTCCTATGTGTGCTTTAAGGTGCTTTATACTTTGGGATTTAAGATTTAGGTACATGATTCATCTTGATTTCTGTGCATGATTTGAGATAGAATTCAAGGTTTATTTGGTGGTTACACACAAAGCTGTGGAAGTCGTGCTGTATGTGAACTACTCTGCCGTTACTGCAAGTGCATTCCCTTCTTTACTTCTCTTTTGATATCATTTTTTACCTCTTTTCCCATTGACATCTATAAGAATGAGTAGTCTGACATGTTTTTCTTTTAAGTTTTAAGCTTCAGGATTTCCTATGTTTCTTTCTATCATTACGGTTAAACATATTTTCCTAATTATTCTTCTAATTTAAATTGTATTTTTTGGCCTTAACTCTTTAATCCAGAGTTTTGTATATATTGTACAACAGGAGTTCAGTTTCTTTTCATTTTAGTTCTTGAACACTTCATCTTTAATCTTTAGAATTTATTTATTAAATATAAATGTATTTAGCTATGAAAATTTCTGATTTTAATTGCATTATGTAATATATATGTGTGTGTATATATATATAAATATACTTTGGAATTTGATATTTTAATATAGTAAATGATATTGCTGTGTCTCAATACTTTTTTCAGGTCTTGTTATAAGTAGCCGACAATTATAATTACAATTTTTTTTGAAAAAGGCATTGTCCCTTCTTGTTATATTTCTTTCTAAATATTTTATAATTTTTACGGTTTTGAAAAAGGATTTGAATTTCTCCACATCCTTACCAACAGTTGTTATTCTCTTTCTTTCTCTCCTCTCCCCAACCCTCTCCTTTTTTCTTCTAATAATGGCCATCCTAATGACTATGAAGTGGTATCTCATTGTAGTTTTGATTTGCATTTCCCTAAGGATTACTGATGCCATTTTTGTGTCTTCTTCAGAGAAACGTCTGTTTAGATTTTTTGCCCATTTTAAAATCAAGTTATTTGTTTTTGTGCTGTTGAGTTGTAAGTATTCCTTATAAAATTAGGATATTAGCCCCTTATCAGTTATACGGTTTGCAAATTTTTTTTTTTTTTTTACCAGTCAGTAGGTTGCCTTTTCATTTTGTTAATTGTTTTCTTTGCAGTGTGGGAGGTTTTTTCTTGACACAGCCTTATTTATTTATTTATTTATTTATTTTGTTTTTTAGCCTGAGCTTTTGGTATAATATACAAAAAAATCCCTGCCAAAGTCAGCATCAAAGATCTTTTCTCCTATGTTCTCTTCTAGGAGTTTTATAGTTTCAGGTCTTACATGTAGGTCTCCTATCCATTTTGAGTTGATTTTTGTGTATGGTGTAAGATAAAAGTTCAATTATATTTTTTGCATATAGAAATCCAGTTTTCCCAGCACCATTTATTGAAGAGACTATTCTTTCCCCATTGCATACACCTGGAGTCCTGGAGTCCTTGTCAAAAATTAATTGATCATTGGGCCTGGTGTGGTGGGAGTTCAAGACCAGCCTTGGCAATGTAGCAAGATCCTGTCTCTACAAAAAATTAAAAAAATAGCTGAATGTGGTGGTGTGCACCTGTAGTCTTAGCAATTTGAAAGGCTGGGGCAGGAGGATTGTTTGAACCCAGGAGTTAAAGGTGACAGTGAGCTATGATCATGCCACTGCATTCTAGCCCAAGTGACAAAGTAGGTCTCTGTCTCAACAACAAAAAAATAGTCTACCATAAACATTTGGATTTCTGGTTTCTCTGTTCCATTGGTCTGTGTTTCTGTTTTTGTGCCATTACCATATGAGTTTGATTACTATAGCTTTGAAATATAATTTTAAATCAGGACATGTGATGCCTCCAATTGTTTTTACCTTTTATCTGTAACTGCTTTGTCTATTCATGGTTTTTTTTGTGGTTTCATACAAATTTTAGGATTGTTTTCTATTTATGTGAATAATACCATTGGAATTTTGATTGGTATTTTGTTAAGTCTGTATTATTGCTTTGAGTACTATGAACATAACAATGTTAATTATTCCCATCCATGAACACTGAATATTTTGCCATTTATTTGTGACTTCTTCAATTTCTTCCATCAATGTTTTCTAGTTGTCAGTGTGCAAATCTTTCACCTCCTTGGTTAAATTAATGCTTAGCTTTTTTATGCTATCATAAATGAAATTATTTCTTTTAAAGTTTCTTTTTCAGTTAGGTCATTATTTGTTTATAGAAATGTATCTGATTTTTGTATGTTGATTTTGTATCCTGCAAAGTTAGCACTTAAGTAATGTAGTCTTTAGGGTTTCCTATATATAAGATCATGTTGTCTTCAAACAGAGTATTTTTCTTTCTGATTTGGTTGCAATCCAAATTTGTTTGATTGTCCTTGATAGTACTTCTAGTACTGTGTTGAACAAATAGAACTGGTGAGAGTGGACATCCCTGCCTTGTAGCTGATCTTAGTGGAGAAGTTTTAAGGTGTTCTCTGTTGATTATGATGTTAGCTGTGGGTTTTTTTTTTATTATTATACCTTAAGTTCTGGGGTACATGTGCAGAACGTGCAGGTTTGTTACATAGGTATACATGTGGTTTGCTGCACCCATCAACCCATCATCTACATTAGGTATTTGTCCTAATGCTATCCCTCCCCTAGCCCCCCAACCCCCGACAAGCCCCAGTGTGTGATGTTCCCCTCCCTGTGTCCATGTGTTCTCACTGTTCAACTCCCACTTATAAGTGAGAACATGCAGTGTTTGGTTTTCTGTTCTTGTGTTAGTTTGCTGTGAATGATGGTTTCCAGCATCATCCATGTCCCTGCAAAGGACGTGAACTCATTCTTTTTTATGGCTGCATAGTATGCCATGGTGTATATGTGCCACATTTTCTTCATCCAGTCTATCACTGATGGGCATTTGGGTTGGTTCCAAGTCTTTGCTATTGTAAATAGTGCTGCAATAAACATACATGTGCATGTGTCTTTATAGCAGAATGATTTATAATCCTTGGGGTATATATCCAGTAGTGGGATTGCTGGGTCAAATGGTATTTATAGTTCTAGATTCTTGAGGAATCACCACAGTGTCTTCCACAATGTTTGAACTAATTTACAGTCCCACCAGCAGTGTAAAAGTGTTCCTGTTTCTCCACATCCCCTCCAGCATCTGTTGTTTCCTGACTTTTTAATGATCGCCATTCTAACTGGCATGAGATGTTATCTCATTGTGGTTTTGATTTGCATTTCTCTAATGACCAGTGATGATGATCTTTTTTTCATATGTTTGTTGGCTGCATAAACATCTTATTTTGAGAAGTGTCTGTTCATCTCCTTTGCCTACTTTTTGATGGGATTTTTTTTTCTTGTAAATTTGTTTAAGTTCTTGGTAGATTCTGGATGTTAGCCCTTTGTCAGATGGATAGATTGCAAAAATTTTCTCCCATTCTGTAGGTTGCCTGTTCACTATGATGATAGTTTCTTTTGCTGTGCAGAAGCTCTAGTTTAATTAGATCTCATTTGTCAATTTTGGCTTTTATTGCAATTGCTTTTGGTGTTTTAGTCATGAAGTCTTTACCCATGCCTATGTCCTGAATGGTATTGCCTAGGTTTTCTTCTAGGGTTTTTATGGTTTTAGGTCTTACGTTTAAGTCTTTAATCCATCTTTAGTTAATTTTTATATAAGGTGTAAGGGAGGGGTCCAGTTTCAGTTTTCTGCATATGACTAGCCAGTTTTCCCAACACCATTTATTAAATAGGGAATCCTTTCCCCATTGCTTGTTTTTGTCAGGTTCGTCAAAAATCAGATGGTTCTACATGTGTGGCATTATTTCTGAGGCCTTTGTTCTGTTCCATTGGTCTATATATCTGTTTTGGTACCAGTACCATGCTGTTTTGGTTACTGTGGCCTTGTAGTATAGTTTGAAGTCAGGTAGCATGATGCCTTCAGCTTTCTTTTTTTTTTTTTTTTTTTGCTTATGATTGTCTTGGCTATGCAGGCTCTTTTTTGGTTCCAAATGAAATTTAAAGTAGTTTTTTACAATTCTGTGAAGAAAGTCAATGGTAGCTTGATTGGGACAGCATTGAACCTATAAATTACTTTGGGCAGTATGGCCATTTTCACGATATTGATTCTTCCTATCCATGACCATGGAATGTTTTTCCATTTATTTATGTTCTCTCTTATTTCCTTGAGCAGTGGTTTGTAGTTCTCCTTGAAGAGGTCCTTCACATCCCTTGTAAGTTGGATTCCTAGGTATTTGATTCTCTTTGTAGCAATTGTGAATGGGAGTTCACTCATGATTTGGCTCTCTGTTTGTTATTGGTGTATAGGAATGCTTGTGATTTTTGCACATTGCTTTTTTATCCTGAGACTTTGCTGAAGTTGCTTATCAGCTTAAGGAGATTTGGGGCCTAGATGATGGGGTTTTCTAAATATACAATCATGTCATCTGCAAACAGAGACAATTTGACTTCCTCTTTTCCTAAGTGAATACGCTTTATTTCTTTCTCTTGCCTGATTGCCCTGGCCAGAACTTCCAACACTATGTTGAATAGGAGTGGTGAGAGAGGGCATCCTTGTCTTGTGCCGGTTTTAAAAGGGAATGCTTCCAGTTTTTGCCCATTCAGTGTGATACTGGCTGTAGCTTTGTCATAAATAGCTCTTATTATTTTGACATACATTCCATCAATGCCTAGTTTATTAAGAGTTTTTAGCATGAAGGGCTGTTAAATTTTGTCAAAGGCCTTTTCGGCATCTATTGAAATAATCATGTGGCTTTTGTCATTGGTTCTGTTTGTGTGATGGATTATGTTTATTCATTTGTGTATGCTGAACCAGCCTTGCATCCCAGGGATGAAGCCGGCTTAATCGTGGTGGATAAGCTTTTTGATGCGCTGCTGGATTCGGTTTGCCAGTATTTTATCGAGGATTTTTACATCGATGTTCATCAGTGATATTGGCCTGAAATTTTCTTTTTTTCTATTGTCTCTGCCAGGTTTTGGTATCAGGATGATGCTGGCCTCATAAAATAAGTTAGGGAGGATTCTCTCTTTTTCTATTGTTTGGAATAGTTTCAGAAGGAATGGTACCAGCTCCTCTTCGTACCTCTGGTAGAATTTGGCTGTGAATCCGTCTGGTCCTGGACTTTTTTTGGTTAATAGGCTATTAATTGCTGCCTCAATTTCAGAACTTGTTATTGGCCTATTCAGGGATTCGACCTCTTCCTGGTTTAGTCTTGGGAGGGTGTATGTGTACAGGAATTTATCCATTTCTTCTAGATTTTCTAGTTAATTTGCGTAGAGGCGTTTATAGTATTCTCTGATGGTAGTTTGTATTTCTGTGGGATCGGTGGTGATATTCCCTTTATCATTTTTTATTGCATCTATTTGATTCTTCTCTTTTCTTTTTTATTAGTCTGGCTAGTGGCCTATTTATTTTGTTGATCTTTTCAAGAAAACCAACTCTGGATTCACTGATTTTTTGAAGGGTTTTTTGTGTCTCTCCTTCAGTTCTGCTCTGATCTTAGTTATTTCTTGTCTTCTGCTAGCTTTTGGATTTGTTCGCTCTTGCTTCTCTAGTTCTTTTAATTGTGATGTTAGTGTGTCGATTTTAGATCTTCTCTGCCTTCTCTTGTGGGCATTTAGTGCTATAAATTTCCTTCTACACACTGCTTTAAATGTGTCCCAGAGGTTCTGATATGCTCTGTCTTTGTTCTCATTGGTTTCAAAGAACATCTTTATCTCTGCCTTCATTTCGTTATTTACCCAGTAGTCATTCAGGAGCAGGTTGTTCAGTTTCCATGTAGTTGTGTGGTTTTGAGTGAGTTTCTTAATCCTGAGTTCTAATTTGATTGCACTGTGGTCTGAGAGACTATTTGTTATGATTTCCCTTATTCTGCATTTGCTAAGGAGTGCTTTACTTCCAATTAAGTGGTCAGTTTTAGAATAAGTGCATTGTGGTGCTGAGAAAAGTGTATGTTTTGTTGATTTGGGGTGGAGAGTTCTGTAGATGTCTATTAGGTCTGCTTGGTCCAGAGCTGAGTTCAAGTCCTGGATATCCTTGTCAATTTTCTGTCTTATTGATCTGTCTAATATTGACACGGGGTTGTTAAAGTCTCCCACTATTATTGTGTGGGAGTCTAAGTCTCTTTGTAGGTCTCTAAGAACTTTTTTTATGAAACTGGGTGCTCCTGTATTGGATGCACATATATTTAGGATAGTTAGCTCTTTTTGTTGCTTTGATCCTTTTACCATTATGTAATGCCCTTGTCTCTTTTGATCTTTGTTGGTTTAAAGTCTGTTTTATCAGAGACTAAGATTGCAATCCCTGGTTTTTTTTTGCTTTCCATTTGCTTGGAAAATATTCCTCCATCAGCTGTAGATTTTTCATAAATGGCCTCTGTTATGTTGAGGAACTTTCCTTCTATACCTATACTATTAAAACTTTCAATAAAGAAAGAATGCTGAACTTTGTCAAACGCTTTTTCTTTGTCAACTGAGACCATCATGGGGGATCATCTGAGATTATGCTGTGAATATGAAGTATCACATTGACTAATTTACCCATGATCAACCAGCCCTACATGTCAGCAATAGATCCCACTTGCTCATGATGTTCAATTTTGTTGTTGTTTTCAATTAAGTTTGATAATGTTTAATTGTTGTTGTTGAATTCAGTTTGATAATGTTTAATTGAGCATTTTTGCATCAATGTTCATCAGAGATATTGCTCTGTAGTTTTCTTCTCCTATGGTGTCTTTCTTTGGCTTACGTCTTGAGGTGATGCTGGCCTCATAAAACGTGTTTGAAAATACTCCTTCTAGTGCGATTTTTTTGGAAGAGTTTAAGAAGCACTGATAATTCTTCTGTGAATGTTTCGTAGTATTCAAATGTGAAGGTGTGAAGCTGTGAAGCCACCTCGAAATGTTCTGACCTTTTTTGTTGAAACGCTTTTAATTACTTCTTCAACCTTTTTATTTGGTATTGGTTTGTCTAAGCTTTCTATTTCTTCCTGATTCAATCTTGGTAGCTTATATTTTTTGAGGAATTTATTCATTTCCTTTATTTTATCCAATTTGTTGGCATATAGTTTTTCATACTAGTCTCTTATGATCCTTTTAATTTCTTTGGTATCTACTATAATGTCTTCATTTTCATTTCTGATTTTATTTGAGTTTTTCTCTTCTTTTCTTAGTTTGCCTAGCAAGGATTTTGTCTATTTTATTTTATTTTTTTCAAAAAAAGCAACTCTTGGTTTTATTGATTTTTTTTTCTATAGTTTTTCTATTCTCTATTCGATTTAATTCTGGTCTAATCTTTATTATTTCTTTCCTTCTGCAAACTTTGGCTTGTTTTTCTTTTTCCAACTCCTTGAGGCATAACATTAGGCTATTTATTTGGAATCTTTCTTCTTTTATAATGTGGTCATTTATTGCTATAAGCTTCCCTCTTAGAATTACTTTTGCTGCTTCCCATAGATTTTGATACGTTGTGATTCTATTGTCATTTGTCAATATATTTTTAAGTATTGCTTTTGATTTCTTCTTTCACCTACTGGTTGGTTGTTCAGGAGCATGTTTTAAAACTTCTACATATTTGTACATTTTCAAGATTCCTTTTGTTTTTAATTTCTAATTTCATACCATTGTTTTCAGAAATAGTATTAGGTATATTCTTAATCTTCTTGAATTTGTTAAGACTTGTTTTATGGCCTAATATATGGTCTATCCTTAAGAATGTTCCATATGCACTAGAAAAAAATGTATGTTCTGCTGCTGTTGGATGGAAAGTGCTGAAGGTCTTTAGTTTAATTAAGTTCTATTTGCTAATTTTTGTTTTTATAGTGGCTTCCTTGGGGAGACTGTCACCTGCAGATATTGTCTGCAGGTATTAGTTGGGCAAAGTGCAGTGGCTCTCATTCTGGGTAGGCACAGTAGTGGAGTCCATTTCTCAGTGTAAAGGACTTTAAAGATCCTTCTGTTCTAGTTACCCCATAGTAGTAGATTTACCTGAGGGCATCTCTCTTGGTGTTGAGCCTGACACAGGCCAGAGGCAGCCAAGCAGTGCTGTGTTACAGGGAACAGGTGCTCAGAGTGGCTGTGGAGCTGGGGTCTGGGGCTCAGTGTCTTGTTGAACTGCCAGGACACCTGTGGTGTAGGTCCAGGTTTATTCTTTTAGGTATGGGTGATGCAGCTCTCCCACAAGGCCAAGTACTGTGATTCTGAGGCACTTCCCAGTATCTCAGGCCCAGGATCAGGCATGTTGCTGACTCATCCTGGGTGTTAGGGTGCAGCAATGGCATGGCTCTGGGAAGGAAGAGGTTTTCCAGAGGTTTAGGCCCCAATGAGCAGGGTACAATTGCAATTCAGGCTACAGAACCAATAGGACACAGTGGCAATTCATGCACCAAGAACTCTAAGCCCTGGAGTAATGGGACACAGCAGTGGCGCAGGCTCTGTGAGGTCAGGTGCAGTGACAGCAAGGTCCAGGAATGATGGGGGCACATCTGTGGCTTTGGCCCTGGGGGGTGTGCAGCAGTGCAATGTTGGCTTCACTCCTAGGGAGGTGGGGCACCTCAGCAACTCAGGCTGTAGAGGGCTTTCCCAATCCAGGGAGGCAGGGTGCTGTGCGTGTTCAGTCCAGAGGGCAGGGTGATCAGATCAGATTAGTGTTTCTCTAGGAGGCTGGCCTATGCCCATTTTAAAATTGAGTTCTGTTGTTGTGGTTGAGTTGTAGGAGGTCTCTATATATTCTGGATTATTAATACCTTATCAGATATGTGATTTAAAAATATTTTCTCCCATTCTGTGGTTTGCCTTTTTACTCTTGATATTTTCCATTGATGACTGAAAGTTTTTAATTTTGATAAATTCTAACATGTCTATTTTTTTGGACAGTGTGTTTGGTATCATCCAAGAAGTCATTGCCAAATCCAATATATGGTTTTCTCCTATGTTTTCTTCTAAGAGTTTTAAAGTACAGCTCTTAGTTTTAGGTTTTCGGTCTACTTTGAGTTAATTTTTGTCTGTGTAAGATAAAGGGCACAACGTCATTATTTTGCATGTGGATATCTAGTTTTCTCAGCATCATATGTTGTAAAGACTATTTTTTCCATACCGATTAGTCTTAGCACTCTTGTAAAAAATCATTTGACCATATATGTGAGGGTTTATTTCTCAGCTCTCTATCCTATTCCATCAGACTATGTGTTTGTCTTTAGGCCAGTACCATACTGTTTTGGTTATTGTAGTTTTGCAGTAAGCTTCGAAATTATGAAGTGTAAGTCTTTCAATTTTGTTCTTTGTCAAGATTATTTTGACTATCGGGTCCCTTATAGGGGCAGGGTCTCCAACTCCTGGTCTGTGGCCTATTAGGAACTGGGCCACACAGCAGGAGGTGAGCAGTGGGTGAGCAAGGGAAGCTTCATCTGTGTTTACAGCTGTTCCTCATTGCTGGCATTACCACTTGAGCTCTGCCTCCTGTCAGATCAGTGGCAGCATTAGATTCTCATAGGAGCACAAACCCTATTGTGAACTGCGCATGAGAGGGATCTAGGTTGTGTGCTCCTTATGAGAATCTAATGCCTGATAATCTATCACTGTCTCCCATCACCCCCAGATGGGACCACCTAGTTTCAGGAAAACAAGCTTAGGGCTACCACTGATCCTACATTATGGTGAATTGTATAATTATTTCATTATATATTACAGTGTAATAATAATAGAAATATAGTGCACAATAAATGTAATGCGCCTGAATCATCCTAAAATCATTCCCCCACCACCATTCCATGGAAAAATTGTCTTCCACGAAACCGGTCCCTGCTGTCAAAAAGGTTGAGGACTGCTGCCTTAAGATTCTGTATGAATTAAAAAAAAAAAAAACTTACATTTTTCTGTAAAAAAAGTATTTGGGATTTCAATAGAGATTGCACTGAATCCTTAGATCACTTTGAGTGGTACTGATATCTTAACAATATTATTTAATATTCTTAATATTTCCAATGCATGAAAAGTCTAGTTCTGGCTTAGGTGCTTGGAAATAGGCATTTCATGCATTTACTAGCAGAGCTATTAGCCATAGTAATTTGAAACGTTTGCTAATATCTATTAAAATTAAAATGATATATACCTTTAATGCACCAACCTCACTTACATGTTCTTTTTTATAGAAATGCAATCACTGTGACATAAATATATATGAACAATGGTATTTATTGCACCATTGCTTGTAGTGGCAAAAAACGATGATAAAATGTTATTCTGTAGAGGAATCGTTGAATAAATTAGGATGCATTCACATCATAGAATATCATGCAGTAGCTTAAAAATGTGACAGATGAAAGAAATTTCTATCAATTTACCTGGGTCAAAAGTGAGGAGGATATAAGCATATAAGCCTGTGGTTATTCAGAACCACAAACCACTGTTTACATATATATTTTTACTTGTTTGAAGAAAGGTTTGGGAAACCATGCCTCACCCATAAGGTTGGTTGTTTGAAGAAGGAAGCCCAGAGGTTTGAGGTTGGTAAATAGAGACGATGAGAATATAGCATAAAGTTTTATTTCATATGTCTGTATTGTAGTGATTCTTTTACCTTTATAGGTAGGTTTTCCAACTGTATTGGTCACAGTAGGCAGAGTAAATTCAATAGTTTTTTGGCTTAAGGTAACAACTTTCGAATGCCCTAAAAAAATGAGAACAGTGTTATTAAATTATGTGGTAAATTAAGTAATTTCAACTTTTAAAATGTTAAAATAAATCTTAGTATTCTAAAACACAGTTTCCTTACAACTTTTTTTCAGTAATTTAGATAAAGCAGCTTACCTGACACAAATATTTTCTCTCTGATTTTTTTCTTGCCTGGTATTTGATATTTATAAGAGTGCATTATAAGAGTACAAATCAAGAAAAAGAAAGACTAAAGCAAATTAACATAGGATCAGAAAACCAAATACCACATGTTCTTACTTACAAGAAGGAGTTAAACCTTGGGAAAGCATGGACATAAATATGGGAACAATAAAGTGGAGATCCCTAGTGAGGAGAGAGAGAGGGTCATGGGCTGAAAAACTGCCTATTGGGCACTGTGCTCACTGCCTGGGTGATGGGACCAGTCATATCCCAAACCTCAATGTCATGCAGTATACCCATGTAACAAACCTGCATATATACCCCATGAATCTGAAATAAAAGTAAAAAATATGAAAACAAATGAAGACTAGAAAGGTCATAGATAAAAATGTCAGAGAATGAGCCTTTTTGCAGGACAGTAAAAAATGTGAATAATTAAAATGCAAATTTTTAGATAAAGTTTTCATCTCTATATAAAACATTGTATCATTTTATTTAAAAAGAAGTTTATAGTCCCACAATGAGAAATCTAGTGCTATAATTAAGGAGGAGATACTAGAAATGCAATTGTAAAGATACATATTTTGAACACTGCTAAAAACAAAACTATATAATTAAAACTAGTTTCAACACCTGCTTATTTGGAGGAAAAATGCTGACATTAAAAGCAGAAGGTGAAACATTTGAATGGTACTTTCTCAAAGTTAGTAAAATTTTACATTAATATGTTGACTTTCCTCAGTATATTTTTTGCACAGAAATGAAACATTCAATTCTTCCATTCCTTAAGGCAAGTGTTTGCTTGAAAAATGTATATCTGCCATTATTTTTAGATTCAAAGGCCAAATGCTTTCGTGAAAAATTTTAAAATATTTTATGCTATTATAGTTTTCATTCAATCCATAAGAGAAGACCATTATTATTCCTCTGTAATCATAAAGCAAGAGTATAGATATTAGACTATTTAGACCATTTATTAATTTTATTCTCCTCTTTGTTTTCTTTAAGCATTATTATTACTGCTTATAATTAGTATATTCTTCAAATAAAAGTCTTGGGCTTAGAAAAAAAAACCCAAATTATAGGAAAAACCAGGAGCTACATTAATGAAAAGCAGTGTTGTAGGTGATATGAAGTAACAAGTGAACCCCAAATCAATTACATTTATCTAAAATATAATGAACAATGACTAACCCAGCTTGAGAAGCTATAAAAAGCTAGGAGTTCCAACCAACAAAACCCTCCTTTTGAGTCCTAGCCTATCTTGTCAACTTTATTTTGTATCCACTGAAGCCCAGGATTTTGCTTATTATTTTAAACTTTCCTCTTTTGTCATATATAATTTCTAACCATTTTTTCTTCTAGCTCACTGGGAAAGAACATGGATTTCACTTTCTTTGCTTACATTCATTTGCTTTTCCAGAAGCAAGCCCAAATATCTTTTTACTGTTTTCTTTTTCCTTTTATATTGCATGTAGTAAAAAAATAAGTAAAAGTAATAGTCAACTTTCTGCATTTCCTATTGATTTTTTACTTAGAACCTTTATGGATAGAAAGTGCCATGGATATTTATTTTAGAGCACAGAATAAATCAAAGAAAAATGATTTACATTTTTTAAAAGTTTCAAACTCTCAGGAGGCTAAGGCAGGAGAACCCAGAAGGTGGAGGTTGCAGTGAGCCAAGATCATGCCACTGCACTCCAGCCTGGGCGACAGAGCAAGACTCCGTTTATAAAAAAATAAAAAAAATTCAAACTCAATTAACTGTAGAAAATGTACCAGGGTGATAATTATATAATGATGCCTCTGGAGTGACAGATAAGAATCGAATCTTAGTTCTTAGATATTAATGGAGTTAAAAGCCTAGGTAGATGATAATGAAGGGAAGGGAAAAACTAAACATATGATTTATTTTTCTTCTCACCTATCCTTATGTTGTCTTTCTATTGTATGCTCTCCCTGGGGTTGCATAAAAGAGGGATACATAAATATAAGAAAGAGGTTATAAAATGAGTTTATCTCAGTCATCCACAAAATCTGCAGTAGTCAACAAGACAAGAAGGTGGAGAACAGAAATGGAGCTCCAATTTAGTCATAATGGAGAAGAGGAAGAGAAATGCCAGGGACAACTACTCATTGCTAAGAATGAACAAATGTTAGGTGCACTTAACTCACAATTTACTTTCATTTATATTTTGCCAAACTGTTATATGACTAAAGCTATTACAACTTGGTTATTTACATTTAGTTATAGCTTTATTTTAAAAATCACACTGTACACTAAAAATATTAAAAATTACCTGAAGGGAGTTGATTCAGTAAAGGAAGGTGGATGTCTTTAGAAAAGCTTGGACCAGCCCTATATGTTCTATAAATTGCTTTTGAAGGTGCAGTCACATAGGGTGAAGAGTACTCATAAGTTTCCTCTAGAAAAATTTGGAAAATATGTTAGCCATACAATAGATGACATTTGTAATTATTTTTAATACTCACACAGTATATATGCACACAACATCAAAGCATCTAAATATATAAAGCAAACATTTAAAAAAACTGAAAGGATACATAGACTGCAACAAAATTTCAATATCCCCTATTATTGAACAAGAGACAGGTCATCCAGATAGAAAATAAATAAACACTGGAATTGAACTACACATAAGATAAAGCATATTTATCAGACAATTACACAATGTTCTATCCAACAGTAACAGGATACACATTCTTCTCAAGTGCACAAAGAACATTCTCCAGAACAGATCGTATGTTAGGCCACAAAAGAGGTCTTAACAATGTAAGATCAAAATTACATCAAATATCAACTAGATATCAGTAACAGGAGAATAAAAAGAAACTTAATAAATCTTTGAAACATTAAACAATATGCTCCTGAAGAACTACTGTGTCAAGAAGGAAATTAAAAAGGGAAATTTAAATATATCTACAGACAAAAGAAAATAAAAACGTAACATACAAAAACTTAATGGGATGCGGCAAAAGTAGTCCTAAGAGGAAAGTTTATAGCATTAAATGTCTACATCATAAAAGAAGAATCAAATAAACAACCTAAAATTACACTTCACAGAAGTAGTAAAAGCAGAACTAAGCATAAATCTACCAGAAGAAAAAAAAATAAAGATCAAAGCAGAAATAAAGAACACAGAGACTAGAAACGATCAATTCCATTTGCCCCAGCCTGCATTCCATTCTGGTATCCTCCAATATCCTGGTTCATTTATTTTTTCATGTATGTTTTTACTGAGAAAATTATAATGCTATTGAAGGGTGAAATAGGTGACCTTACTGTATGGATTATTGACTGCCATATTTGCCTTCGTTTCTCCCTGCTGTTTGTTAATGGGAGTGTCTTCTGTGGTCTGTCCCTGTCTCACCACTGTTACATTGCATGTCTCTGTGTGTGTGTGTGTGTGTGTGTGTGTGTGTGTGTGTGTGTGTGTTGTCAGAGACAAGTGACATTTCAAAAAAAATCTCTGAATCAAAAGAAGTCATATCATAGAAGCTGCCTCTGAAAATGATTATATATCACAATATCGTGGTCTTTGGCACTGATGCCAAAATTGGATAAGAATTTGTGGGGTCCTGGGAAGAGCTGATTCTATTTTGCATGTGGGAGGGCCATGAATATTCTCAATCAGCAGGAACACTGTGGTGGATTGATTTCAGTGACGGTCTCTGTGTTCTTGCCTACTTGTATTGATGTTCTTCCATACTAACTCTGGTCTTAGTTATATGACTTTGGTGAATATGACAAAAGTAAATGAATGTGAGCAGAGACTTCAAAACTGCTCATACATTGAGGCTTGCCCGCATGCTGCTCTTAGAACTTGAAGACTCCTAGCTAGTTGGCTGGATGATGAGAAACATGCAGCCAAGTCACCTCCTGGGCCAGTTATTAAGTTTAGCCACCAAACCACCCTTCTACACTCTGCTTCATGATACTGGATCTGGGGATTCTGCAGACCACATTTTTGCTTTGCAAAGTAGCTCCAAGGTAGGCCGTGCAAGATAGGCTAGATAGAGGAAATCTGCAAATTTGGAGGAAAAAGGACAGACTTGTTCTTCTCATTTTGTTCCTGGTGGGCTTTGAGAGCTTCCTGTCTCTTTTCAGTTTCTGTGAAGAACATCCTGGTATTGTTTCCTTATCCCAAAAGTAGCAATTCCTCCCATGGCAACAAAGAGTTTGCATTTTTTTCCACCATTTGAAGAACCAGTTTTATTATTCCTCCCCACTTAGAAACTAGCAGTAGATGGCCAGTGCCCCCCGCCTTCAGAAGTAGGGATCCAAGTTCCCCCCTGCAGAATCAGGGACACTAGCATCATCCAATCTATACCCTATGCAGAGGTCTCCTTCAGTTCTGCGTATGGCAATTTCTTTCTGTAATTGCTTCCTCCATGTAACCTTAGACTTCTTTTAATACTTTCAGTTACCAAGTTAACAACTTTATACTTAGTCATCTACTTTTTACACTCTTGCTTTCTATTTTTCTTTTCTTTTTTTTTTTTTTTTTTTGAGACGGAGTCTTGCTCTTTCGCCATGCTGGAGTGCAGTGGCGTGATCTCGGCTCACTGCAACCTCCACCTCCTGGATTCAAGCGATTCTCCTGCCTCAGCCTCCCAAGTAGCTGGGACTACAGGCACGTGCCACCATGCCCAGCTAATTTTTGTATTTTTAGTAGAGACAGGGTTTCACCATGTTGGCCAGGATGGTCTCTATCTCTTGACCTCGTGATCTGCCTGCCTCGGCCTCCCAAAGTGCTGGGATTACATGTGTGAGCCACCGCGCCGGGCCCTCTTGCTTTCTTTTTGAACAACCAGTAAAGTTTCTATTTACTGAATGGGCCCACTCTACACCATTGTCTCAAACAACAGCCAGCCAACCGCCATACATATGGGTGAATTGATAATTTGACCAGAAATGCATAAGTTAGCCCAGCCAAGACAATCATCAGTTACCTAAGTGGTTACTGTTTTATGCTTTTTTAAGTTTTAGGGTAGATATGGAGTAGTAAAACACTAACAAATATGAAAATAAAAATTAAAATAAGAGTGAGATATAATTTAGTAACTTTCGGATGGGTATAAATGAAAAAAAAAAAACAAAACCCAGCAATCCATATTGCAGATACTTACACACAGAAGAGAATTTTCCCTAAAGATTGCTGATGAAAATGTTAATTTTAATAGCTCTTTAGGAAAGCAATCTGGAAATATCATTTAATGATAAAAATCCATGTATAATTTAATAAGAAATCTCAAGCCTAAAAAGTCAATGCTCTTTAGTAGAATGATTGAATAAAGTGTTCTTACTATGAAGTATCATGCTGCCAATAAAAAGGATGAATTAAAACCATTTTATTTTTACGCTTGTAAGAATTTTCCTAAGATATTTCTGAAAAAAAAGTAAGATGCAAAAAGAGTAAATGAAAAAGCATACTTTAAAACTATTCTAGGTAATTAGATACTGAATTCATATCTACATACATAATTCTTTACCTTTATTTTCAAAGGGTGATAAATTGATCACTTTTGTTGGGAATTTACTTGGTGTAATGCTCCTAGTAAAGATACCTTCTTGACGTTGTACGGACATATCTTTGTTTTTAAATAAGTTCACATCTAAAATAAAATTTTAAAAGAAAAAGTGCATGAATACTCTTGACTATTCACACACTAATCCCATCTCCACGTATTTGTCTTTATTTCTGCCTTGGTAATTTTTCTTCCCACATTTTATTAAATGGCCACTTGTTTATTACTTAAATTTCTGTGTAGTCTCTCATCATTTTCTCTTTCTTGTCTTTGTTCTGCATTCTGTGACAGTATCTTCCTTAATTTCAACCTTTATCCCAGCTTTATTTTACTTTGACCAAATGTTCATTTCTATAATTGATCCATAGTCTACATTTAAAAGGATACACTTAGAAAGATAGTTTTGGAGGTCAGAAGTCTATGTATAAGCTACTGGATCCCCCCTGCCCCAATTGAACCAATGTTTATTAGATTTATTTTTCATAAATTCTATTGCTATAAAAGTAACATGGATTATTGTAGAAAACATTTATTTAAACAGAGAATTATAAACCTCATATTTTTTAAAATCATTGTCTAGAGGTTTTAAAACTTTCTAGCTAATTTCCCATTGATAATACGAGAGTTTAACTAATTATATGAGAAAATTCATGAAGACATTTGCCCATGAAATATTAACATATAGGTACTGTTATCATTAAAGATTCATACTTAAACCCCAGAGAAGATAAACTGTAAATATTAGACTTAAAATTATTATTCTTACCATAGTGAGTCCTTAGTTGTGTCTTTATCTCACCAATTGTTTTACTTGAACCAATGGCATTTGTCAAGGGTTCTACATCAGTCTCTATAGACATAAAACACATTTCAAAACACTTTTTAAGGTAACCATTTATGTTACACATGTATTTTAGTTCTTTTTTCTTTTGAAATTTCTTTTTCTTTTCTTTTCCTTTTTTTTTTTAGAGACAGGATCTTGTTCTGTCACTCAGGCTGGAGTGCAGAGGTGTGAACATGGCTGACTGCAGTTTCAACCTCCTGGGCTCAAGTGGTCCCCCGCCTTGGCCTCTCCAAGTAGCTGGGACTACAGGTGTGCACCACCATGCCTGGCTAATTTTTGTATTTTTTGTAGAGATAGGGTTTTGCTGTGTTGTCTTTTGAAATTTCTATATTATTTGCTGATATCTCTGTTACCTTCCTTTTCTTCCTTAAGAATAATTTCCTTTAACTCTAAGAACACACTTATAATAAGTGCTTTGAGGTTTCGTTGGCTAGGTCCAACACCTGGAACTCTCACAAACAGTTATTGTGGCATGCCCTTTTCCTTGGTGTAGGTCACACTTCACTGTTTCTTTGCATGTTAATAATTTTTGCTCAAGTTTTGACAGTTTCCGTAGTATATTGTAGCATCTCCAGGTACTGATTTCCTCCTCCTCTATCTGGGGCTTGTCATTGTTCTCTCCTTATTTATTTGCATAGCGATGTGACTGGGCTATTGTACTAAAGTCTCTTGCCTGTAGTGTGAAGTGCTACTGCTGCTCTCCAAGGGGCAGAGCCTTGAACATGCATCCAGTACCTTGGATAACATTGGTTTTAGAGGGCCGGCTTCGAATGTGTCTCTTTACCTTATTTCTCTGTTAAGCTGTCTGCCTCTTTTTGTATCACACCAGAGATAAAGAAAATTGTATAACTACATAACACCCTTACACCAAGATGAAAGCCAGTAATGTAATCTCTGAATTATGTAACACAAATAAAGTACTGTATTGCAGGTGAGATTTTATAAATTTGCCTGACATTTTTATCAAATAGAAGGAATGGATAACCAGTGAAATAATTATGTGTTATACTCCTCTTGTCATCGCAGTCTTCAGCTAGCCTTTGTGCTTTTGCCTTTCTGCTTTTGCTAATTAAATATCACTTTTCAGAAACAAAAGTAAGTAGAATAGCTTTGGAAATGCCTACATTGAGACTACTCTAAGGTAACTGTAACACTGAATTTTTATGCATTACTTTTCAAATGGATGAGTTTTAAAACCAATAATATGCTAATGTTCCACTGATAGTAAATGCTAGAGCTTAATTAAAGGATATTCATGATGAATTTTACCTATGTAACACTAACATGTAGGCACTATTGTCATTAAATGTCTATACTTAATTTAACTCAGGGAACATAAATAGGTCACAAATATTAGACTCAAAAATTATTTTTCTTACCCTGGTGACTCTTTAATTGTGCACTGATTGGTCCCTTTATTATATCTCTTCCAATAGCATCTTTTAAGAGTTCTTTATCAGTCTCTATAGAATTAAACAGATTTCAAAATACTTTATAAGGTAAACATTACCATACATGTGTATACGTGTGTGTTTAACTAATTATAGAAGGATATTCATGAAGAATTTCACCAATGTAACACTATGATATAGGTACCTATGTAATAATAACATGTAGACACTGTTGTCATTAAAGGTCTATACTTAACTCAGGGAACATAAATAGGTCACAAATATTAGACTCAAAAATTCTTTTTCTTACCCTGGTGACTCTTTAATTGTGCATTGATAGTCCCTTTATTATATGTCTTCCAATAGCATCTTTTGCTATGGAAAGTACTATGATACAGGTACTGTTGTCATTAAAGGTCTATACTTCAATTTAACTCAGGGAATATAAATAAGCCTAAATATTAGACTTGAAAAATTCTTTCTCTTACCTCGGTGACTCTTCAGTTGTGTAGTGATTGGCCCTATTATTATACCTCTTCCAATAGCATCTGCCAAGAATTCCTTATCAGTCTCTATTGAAATAAAACAGATTTCAATATATTTTATAAGGTAAACATTACCATACCTCTGTGTGTATCTGTGTGTGTGTGTATGTGTGTGTGTGTGTGTGTGTGTGTGTAATTATGGAAGGGTATTCATGAAGAATTTTACCTGTGTAATACCAACATATAGGTACTATTGCCATTAAATGTCCACACTTAATTTAACTCCAGGAATATAAATAAACCATAAATATTAGTCTTGAAATTGTTTTCTCTTACCTGGGTGACTTTTTAATTGTGTCGTGGTTGACTCCTTCATTAGACCTCTTCCAGTAGCATAGGCAAAGAAGTTCTTATCAGTCTCTATAGAAATAAAACAGATTTCAGTATATTTTGTAAGATTATCATTACCATACTTGTGTGTGTTTTTGTGTTTAATTATAGGAGGATATTCATGAATAATTTTACTTATGTAACACTATAATATAGGTAGTTTTGTTATTAAAGGTCTATACTTAATTTAACTCAGGGAATATCAATCAGCCATAAATATTAGATGTGAAAAATTCTTTTTCTTACTTTGGTGACCCTTTAGTTGTGCATTGATTGATCCCTTTATTATACCTCTTCCAGTATCATCTGCTAAGTGTTCCTTATCAGTCTCTATATAAATAAAACAGATATCAATATATTTTGAAAGGTAAACATTACCAAATCTGAGTATGTGTATGTGTTTAATTATAGGAGGATATTCATTTAGAATTTCACCTATATAATACTAACATATTGGTACTATTGTCATTAAAGGTTCATACTTAATTTAACTCCGGGAATATGAATAAACCATAAATATTAGTCTTGAAAAAAATTTTTTTTACCTTGGTGACATTTAAATTGTGTTTTAATTGACCCCTTTATTATACCTCTTCCAATAGCATCTGCTAAGAGTTCCTTATTAGTCTCTATAGAAATAAAGCAGATTTCAATATATTTTATAAGGTAAACATTTTATGTGTGTGTGTGCATGTGTAGTGCACATGTGAGTTTTTATTATTATAGTAGAAGAGTCACAACATGTCTTATTGCAGTAAGCATCACAAAACAGAATTTGAAGGGCTATTAGAACTCATATAAGCCTATTATATTGAAGTTCAGAGATGCTTCATGATTTGAACAAGACCACATCAAGATAATGACAAAATTGATGTACAAACTGACACTTTATAATTCCTTAACCACTGACTTTACCATATAATGCATCTCTTATGCAAATTAAAATTATCCTAGAAAGTTTATGATGATAATATAACCTTAAATTTACACCAAGAGCACTATCTACTGTGGGATGTACCTGGTGAGATAAAACATAACATTTTTAAAAATAGGTCAATTTGCAAACCATGGTCTCCACAGTCACAGAGAGTTATGTGGGGCAAAGTACTTTGATTTGTTCATAAAGACTTCATGTCATTTCTAAGATTTGTAACTATAAATCAAGTATGTATCAATAATGTAGAAAAATAATTAGATATTTTGTGGAATATGAAAATGTGACTTTCATATCTTCTTGAGTTTGTAGACTTTGTACTTGGGGAGGACGAAGTAAGTAAACTTGTAGTAGCATAAGCATTGAGATTGCATTCCTTTCCACTGGAGTTTTTATGTGATTTGAATTTTTTGCTAGATTTGAAAATTACTGACTAGGTCATATAACAGGAAAAATACATGAAAGTTATGAAAGGAGAGTTCATATTGAACAGGGACAATTAGAATGGGTGACTTGGGTCAACTGGTGAACCTAATATTTTGTGAGAGAAAGTTGTTTATAGCAGACTATATAACTAAAGTTGGAAACCTATAATGACCCAGATACCATAGAATGGAAGTTTTGCTCTGAAGAAATGTCTGAGCTCTTGAATAAATGTTAAGTATTACAGTGTAACATTTGAAGCCCAAATATACCACCAGTGAAATCTAAACCAAAGTATGGACCAGCTGAGGCATCATTACCAAAATGAACCGAGACACATAAGAATATATTTTCCATAAGTACACAGCTATATTTTGTGAACATAAGCACATCTATAGAAACATAAAAATAGGGAATATGAGCAGTCATATAGCCTCTCCGATTATTACTCCAACTAGCACACATAAGAAGGAATGGTTCATTTCAAGTGAGTATGCAAAGATTCTTAGATAAGCAGAGAGGCAACAAGAAGAGCATTTTAGGGGAGATAAGGTTAAGCATTTAGGAAGAGAATCTATGTGCTAAAGTAATTTACAATCTAGTAACATTCATGTTTCCTCCCTCACAGTATCCTCTCATTGCTTTAATTCTTTTTAAATATGATCCTGCCTGGAATTCACTGAGGTATTTTTACAAAATAAATAACATACCATGCTATATGCCTATGTAAAGTGTTCGATTCAATGTTTTTTAAGATGTTCACATATTTGTGTAGCTCTGACCACAGTCAATTTTAGATTCTACTTGAGTTTATACTAATCAAATTCCAGTGAAGTACAGAAATATTACTCCCATATAGCATTATTCCTTCTTCAACATTTTTGCACTACTATTATGTGTATTACTACTATATATAAAAGACATTGTTATAATTGTTGTTATGATTAATTATTTATATAATACTGTGCCTTTTAATTAAGCTAAGAAAGAAGAGCAAGTACATATTTTTAGTGTTTACTATACTAACCTTCTTATTTATATATTTTTTTGCATTTGTTCCGGTGGATTTGAGTTACCGTCCAGTGTTATTTTATTTTTTAAATTTTTTAAAAAAATTTATTTTTTTATTTCAATAGGTTTTTGGGGAACAGGTGGTGTTTGGTTTCATGATTAAGTTCTTTAGTGGTGATTTGTGAGATTTTGGGGCACCCATCACCTGAGCAGTGTACACTGTACCCAATGCATAGTCTTTTGTCCCTTGCCCCCCCTACTCTTTCCCCAAGTCCCCAAAGTCCAACATACCATTCTTATGCCTTTGCATCCTCATAGCTTAGCTCCCACATGAGTGAGAACATACAACGTTTGGTTTTCCATTCCTGAGTTAGTTCACTTATAATAATAGTCTCCAATTCCATTCAGGTTGCTGCAAATGCCATTATTTTGTTCCTTTTTATGGCTGAGTAGTATTCCATAGTATATACACACCACATTTTCTTTATCCATTCATTGATTGATGGGCATTTGGGCTGATTCCATATTTTTGCAATGGCAAATAGTACTGCTATAAACATATGTGTGCAAGTATATTTTTGTATAATGATTTCCTTTCCTCTGGGTAGATACCTAGAAGTGGGATTGCTGGATCAAAGGGTAGATCTACTTTTAGTTCTTTAAGGACTTTCCACACTGTTTTCCACAGTGGTTGTACTAGTTTACATTCCCACCAACAGTGTAAAAATGTTTCCTTTTCGCTGCATCCATGCCAACATCTGTTATTTTTTTATTTTTTGATGATGGCCATTCTTGCAGGAATGAGATGGTATTGCATTATGGTTTTTATTTGCATATCCCTGATAATGAGTGATGTTGAGCATTTTTCCATATGCTTGTTGGCCATTTGTATATCTTCTTTTGAGAATTGTCTATTCATGTCCTTAGCCCACTTTTTGATGGGATTTTTTTTTTCTTGCTGATTTGAGTTCTTTGTAGATTCTGGATATTAGTCTTTTGTCGGATATATAGATTGTGAAGATTTTCTGCCACTCTGAGGGTTGTCTGTTAACTCTGCTGATAATTTCTTTTGCTGTGCAGAAGCTTTTTAATTTAATTAAGTCCCATCTATTTATCTTTGTTTTTGTTGCATTTGCTTTTGGGTTCTTTGTCATGAAGTCTTTGCTTAAGCTAATGTCTAGAAGGGTTTTTCCAATGTTATCTTCTAGAAGCTTATGATTTCAAGACTTAGATTTATCTTTGATCCATCTTGAGTTGATTTTTGCATAGAGAGATGAGGATCCAGTTTCATTCTTCTACATGTGGCTTGACAATTACTCCAGCAACATTCGTTGAATACGGTGTCCTTTCCCCACTTCGTGTTTTTGTTTGTTTTGTCGAAGATCTGTCGGCTGTAAGTATTTGGCTTTATTTCTGGGTTCTTTATTCTGTTCCATTGGTCTATGTGTGTATTTTTATACCAGTACCATGCTGTTTTGGTGACTATGGCCTTATAGTTTGAAGTTGGTAATGTGATCCCTTCAGATTTATTCTTTTTGCTTAGTCTTGCTTTGGCTATGTGGGCTTTTTTTGGTTCCATATGAATTTTAGGATTGTTTTTTCTAGTTCTGTGAAGAATGATGTTGGTATTTTGATGGGAATTGCATTGAATTTGTAGATTGCTTTTGGCAATATGGTCATTTGTTTGTGTCGTCTAGGATTTCCTTCAGCAGTGTTTTGTAGTTTTCCTTGTAGAGGTCTTTCACGTCCTTGGTTAAGTATATTCCTACCTTTTTTTGTTTTTTGTTTGTTTGTTTTGGCAGCTATTGTGAAAGGAGTTGAGTTCTTGATTTGATTCTCAGCTTGGTCACTGTTGGTGTACAGCAGCACTACTGATTTGTGTATATTAAGTTTGTATCCTGAAACTTTGCTGAATTCATTTACGAGTTCTGGGAGCTTTTTGGATGAGTCTTTAGTGCTTCCTAGGTATATGATCATATCATCAGCAAACAGTTACAGTTTGATTTCCTCTTTACCAATTTGGATGCCCTTTATTTCTTTTCCTTGTCTGATTGCTCTGGCTAGGACTTCCAGTACTATGTTGAATAGAAGTGGTGAGAGTAGGCATCCTTGTCTTGTTCCAGTTTTCAGGGGGAATGCTTTCAAAACCCGTTCAGTGTAATGTTGGCTGTTGGTTTGTCATAGATAGCTTTTATTACCTTATGTTATGTTCCTTTTATGCCGATTTTGCCGAGGGTTTTAATCATAAAGCGATGCTGGATTCTGTCAAGTGCTTCTTCTGCATCTATTGAGATATCATGTGATTGTTGTCTTTAATTCTGTTTATGTGGTGTATCACATTTACTGACTTGCATATGTTAAACCATCCCTGCATACCTGTTATGAAACCCACTAGATCATGGTGGATTATCTTTTTGATATGCTCTTGGATTTGGTTTGGTAGTATTTTGTTGAGGATTTTTTCATCTATGTTCATCAGGGATATTGGTCTGTAGTTTTCTTTTTTTGTTATGTCCTTCCCTGGTTTTGGTATTAGGGTGATACTGGCTTCATAGAATGATTTAGGGAGGATTCCCTCTTTCTGTATCTTTTGGAATCACCTCAGTAGGATTGGTACCAATTCTTCTTTGAATGTCAGATAGTACAGCCGTGAATCCCATTTGGTCCTGAACTTTTTTTGTTGTTGGCAATTTTTAAATTACCATTTCAATCTTGCTGCTTGTTATTGGTCTGTTCAGAGATTCTATACCTTCCTGGTTTAATCTAGGGGGATTGTATATTTCCAGGAATTTATTCATCTCCTCTAGGTTTTCTAGTTTATATGGGTAAATGTGTTCAGAGTAGCCTTGAATAATGTTTTATATTTCTGTGGTATAAGTTGTAATAACTCCTGTTTCATTTCTAATTGAGCTTATTTGGATCTTCTCTCTTCTTTCCTTGGTTAATCTTGCTAATGGTCTATCAATTTTATTTATCTTTTCAAATAACCAGCTTTTTGTTTCATTTATCTTTTGCATTTTTTTGTTTCATTCTTGTTTAGATCTGCTCTGATCTTTGTTATTTCTTTTCTTCTGCTGGGTTTGGGTTTGGATTGTTCTTGTTTCTCCAGTTCCGTGAGGTGTGATCTTAGATTGTCTATTTGTGCTCTTTCAGACTTTTTGATTTAGGCATTTAATGCTATGAACAGTTCCTCTTAGCAATGCTTTTGCTGTATCCCAGAGGTTTTGATAGGTTGTGTCACTATTATTGTTCAGTTCAAAGAATTTTTAAATTTCCATCTTGATTTCATTGTTGACCCAATGATCATTCTGGAGCAGGTTATTTAATTTCCATATATTTGCATGATTTTTAGGGTTCCTTTTGGAGTTGATTTCCAATTTTATTCCACTGTGGTCTGAGAGAGTACTTGATATAATTTCGATTTTCTTAAATTTACTGAGACTTGTTTTGTGGCCTGTCATATGGTCTATCTTGGAGAATGTTCCATGTGCTGATGAATAGAATGTATATTCTGCAGTTGTTGAGTAGAATGTTCTGTAGATATCTGTTAAGTCCATTTGTTGTAGGGTAGAGTTCAAGTTCATTGTTTCTTTGTTGACTTTCTGCCTTGATGATTTGTCTAGTGCTGTCAGTGGAGTATTAAAGTCCCCCACTATTATTGTGTCATCTCATTTCTTAGGTCTAGTAGTAATTGTTTTATAAGCTTGGCATTTCCAGTGTTAGGTGCATATACATTTAGAATTGTGATATTTTCCTGCTGGACTAGCCCTTTTATCATTCTATAATGTCCCTCTTTGTCATTTTTAACCGCTGTTGGTTTAAGGTTTGTTTTGTCTAATGTAAGAACAGCTACTTCTGCTTGCTTTTGATGTCCATTTGCACAGGACATCTTTTTCCACACCTTTACCTTAAGTTTATGTGAGTCTTTATGTGCTGAGTCTCCTGAAGACAGCAGAAACTAGGTTTTTCTTATCTATTCTGCAGTTCTGTATCTATTCTTATCTATTCTGCCATTCTGTATCTTTTAAGTGCAGCATTTAGGTCATTTACATTCAATGTTAGTATTGAGATGTGAGGTACTATTCCATTCATCTTACCATTTGTAGCCTGAATACCTTTTTTTCTCCCCACTGTGTTAATGTTATATGGGTCCTGTGAGATTTATGTTTTAAGGAGGTTCTATTTTGGTGTATTTTGAGGGTTTGTTTCAAGATTTAGAGCTCCTTTTAGCAGTTCTTATAGTACTGGCTAGGTAGTGGCAAATTATGTCAGCATTTGCTTGTCTGGAAAAGACTGTATCTTTCCTTCATTTATGAAGCTCAATTTCACTGGATACAAAATTTTTGGCTGATAATTGTTTTATTTAAGGAGGCTAAAAATAGGACCCCAATTCCTTCTAACATGTAGGGCTTCTGCTGAGAAGCCTGCTGTTAATCTGACAGGTTTTCCTTTATAGGTTACCTTATGCTTTTGCCTCGCAGCTCTTAAGATTCTTTACTTTATCTTGACTTTAGATAACCTGATTACTATAGGCCTACATGATGATCTTTTTGTGATGAATTTCCCAGGTGTTCTTTGAGCTTCTTGTGTTTGGATGTCTATATCTCTAGCAAGGTTGGAGAAGTTTTTCTTGATTATTCTCACAAATATGTTTTCCAAACTTTTAGATTTCTCTTCTTCTCAGGAACTCCAATTATTCTCAGGTTTGAACATTTAACATAGTCCCAAACTTCTTGGAGTCTTTGTTCATTTTTGAAAATTCTTGTTTCTTTGTGTTTGATGGATTAATTCAAAACCCTTGTCATCGAGCTCTGAAGTTCTTTCTTCTGCTGTTCGGTTCTATTATGGAGACTTCCCAGTGCACTTAGCATTTCTCTAAGTGTGTCCTTGAGCCAGGAAGAGAGGCATCACCAGAAATCAACCTTGGCAGCACTTTGATTTTGAAGTTTTAGTGTTCAGAACTGTGAGAAAATAAATTTCTGATGTTTAAGGCACCCAGTGCAGTATTTTGTTCTGGCAATCTGGGCAGTGAATACAGACATTGTCACTATACCCCCTTTATGCTTTAATTATGGTTTCCTTGAATTCTCTGAACCTATTTATTTTTATTATTTTTATATGCATATTTGTATTATATTTTAAGTTCTAAGGTACATGTGCACAACGTGCAAGTTTGTTACATATGTATACATGCGCCATGTTGGTGTGCTGCACCCATTAACTCATCATTTACATTAGGTATATGTCCTAATGCTATCCCTCCCCCCTCCCCCGACCCCACAACAAGCCCCGGTGTGTGATGTTCCCCTTCCTGTGTCCATGTGTTCTCATTGTTCAATTCCCACCTATGAGTGAGAACATGCGGTGTTTGGTACTTTGTCCTTGTGATAGTTTGCTGAGAATGATGGTTTCCAGCTTCATCCATGTCCCTACAAAGGACATTAGCTCATCATTTTTTATGGCTGCATGGTATTCCATGGTGTATATGTGCCACATTTTCTTAATCCAGTCTATCATTGTTGGACATTTGGGATGGTTCCAAGTCTTTGCTATTGTGAATAGTGCCGCAATAAACATACATGTGCATGTGTCTTTATAGCAGCTTGTTTTATAATCCTTTGGGTATATACCCAGTAATGGGATGGCTGGGTCAAATGGTATTTCTAGTTCTAGATCCCTGAGGAATCACCACACTGTCTTCCACAATGGTTGAACTAGTTTACGGTCCCACCAGCAGTGTAAAAGTGTTCCTATTTCTCCACATCCTCTCCAGTACCTGTTGTTTCCTGACTTTTTAATGATCGCCATTCTAACTGGTGTGAGATGGTATCTCATTGTGGTTTTGATTTGCATTTCTCTGATGGCCAGTGATGATGAGCATTTTTTCATGTGTCTTTTGGCTGCATAAATGTCTTCTTTTGAGAAGTGTCTGTTCACATCCTTCGCCCACTTTTCGATGGGGCTGTTTGTTTTTTTCTTGTAAATTTGTTTGCGTTCTTTGTAGATTCTGGACATTAGCCCTTCGTCAGATGAGTAGATTGCAAAAATTTTCTTCCATTCTGTAGGTTGCCTGTTCACTCTGATAGTAGTTTCTTTTGCTGTGCAGAAGCTCTTTAGTTTAATTAGATCCCGTTTGTCAATTTTGGCTTTTGTTGCCATTGCTTTTGGTGTTTTAGACATGAAGTCCTTACCCATGCCTATGTCCTGAATGGTATTGCCTAGGTTTTCTTCTAGGGTTTTTATGGTTTTAGGTCTACCATGTAAGTCTTTAATCCATCTTGAATTAATTTTTGTATAAGGTGTAAGGAAGGGATCCAGTTTCAGCTTTCTACATATGGCTAGCCAGTTTTCCCAGCACCATTTGTTAAATATCTGAACCTATTTATAATAACTGCTTTGTAGTCTTTGCCAAGTCTAACAGAGTAAACAGACAACCAACATACAATGAACTCAAACAAATTTACAAGAAAAAAACAACCCCATCAAAAAGTGGATGAAGGATATGAACAGACACTTCTCAAAAGAAGACATTTATGCAGCCAAAAGACACATGAAAAAATGCTCATCATCACTGGCCATTAGAGAAATGCAAATCAAAACCACAATGAGATACCATCTCACACCAGTTAGAATGGTAATCATTGAAAAGTCAGGAAACAACAGGTGCTGGAGAGGATGTGGAGAAATAGGAACACTTTTACACTGCTGGTGGGACCGTAAACTAGTTCAACCATTGTGGAAGTCAGTGTGGTGATTCCTCAAGGATCTAGAACTAGAATTTTAGAATAAAAACTGGATATTTTGGATATTTTGGATGATATTGTAGAAAAATCTAGATATTGATTTACTCATCATATTTTAAAACTTGCTGTTTGCTTTTTAGTGATTTCTTTTGACTATTTTACTACATTATCTTTCTCCACAACAAGAAGATTCTAATATTGTTCCTCTGGGAGCACTGCTTTTGGTATGCACACTGCCACTTTTGAATGACAGTGGTTTCAGGGGGCTCTCTTTAATGGCCTCTTTCCCGTATTTCTCTGTTAAGCTCCCTGCCTCTTTCAGTATCTCACCAAAGATCAAGGAAAAAGATGCCTAACACTGTTATTCCAGAACTAAATTTAGTTGTGTAATCACTGAATTGTGGAACACAACTGAATAACTTTACTGTAGCTGAGATATTGTAAATTTACCTGACATTTTTATCAAATAGAGAGAATGGGTAGCCAATAAAATGACTGTTATACTCCTCTTCTTATCACATTCACAAGTTAGTCTGTATGCTTTTACAAATTTAAGGCAACTTTCCTCTCTAAGCCAGAAATATAAAATGATAAGTACTGCATTTGTTTTCATTTTTTTCAACTTTTATTTTAAGTTCGGGGTACAAGTGTAAGTTTGTTACATAGGTAAACTTGTGTCATGGGGGTTTGTTGTACAGATTATTTCATCACCCAAGTATTAAGCCTAGTACCCATTAGTTATTTTTCCTGATCCTGTCCCTCTTTCATCCTCCACTCTGCAAAAGGCCCCAGTGTTCGTTGTTCCCCTCCATGTGTCCATATGCTCTCATCATTTAGCTCCCATTTATAGGTGAGGACATGCAGTATTTGGTTTACTATTCCTGTGTTAGTTTGCTAAGGATAATAGCCTCCAGCTCCATCCATGTCCCTGCAAAGGACATGATCTTGTTTCTTTTTTATGTCTGCATTGTATTCTATGGTGTATATGTACCAACTTTTCTTTATCTAGTCTATTACTGATGGGCATTTGGGTTGATTTCATGTCTTTGCTATTGTGAATAGTGCTGCATTACATAAGGGTAAAGGTTCAATTCAACCAGAAGATCTAACTATCCTAAATATAAGCATCTAACACATGAGCACACAGATTCATAAAGCAAGTTCTTAGAGACCTTCAAAGAGACTTAGGCTCCAACACAATAATAGTGGGAGACTTTTAGACAGATAATTGAGACAGAAAATTTTATCAGAGATATTCAGGACCTGAACTCAGCATTGAATTAAAGTATAGCATTTGAAATAATAGCATCAAGCACATATTTAGGTCACAACAGCCTTGCATTTTTATGGATTACTTTACCAGTAAATGAGTTCTAAAACTAATCATATCTAACTAATGTTCCATTGATAGCAAATACTAGAGTTCCACAAATTACAGGAGGAAATTCATGAAGATATTTTCGCATGTAATAACTTACAGCTACAGTTGTCATCAAAGATCCATATTTAACTTCAGAGCTAAATAAGCCATTAACAGGAGACTTGAAAAATTCTTGTTCTTACCTCCATGACTCTTTGACTGTATGTTGATTAGATGCTTTATTATATCTTTTCCATTAACACCTTTCAAGTGTTTTAAGACAGTCTCTATAAAAATAAAACAGGTTTTCAAAACGCTTTGAAAGGTAAATTGTAACATATGTCCGTGCTGTGTGTATGTGATAGTATATTTGTATGTATGAATAGTAATAACTTAATTAGCATCAGTCATTAAAGAAGATGAATTAGTAAAAAAAAAAAAGCACTGGACTGCAGAATTACAAAGCCTTAGAATTGGAAGCATTCTTAGCAATCATATAAGCCTAGAGAAGTTTAGTGATTTGAACAAAATCAGATATACAGTTAACTATAAAACTTATACAGAAATAGATGTTTGTTACTCCTTAACCAGTGCTTTCTTCCATACAATGCTGCCTCTTTTCCAAACTGAAATTATCCTAGAGAGTTTATGATAAGAATATAATTTTTAAACACATTCATACTTCATACAAGCATATCCATACACCAGGTATGGATATACCTGGTGAGGTGGAATATAATTTTATTCACAAGTCAACTTGTGAACTATGGTCTTTATAGTCACAGAAAGTTAACCATCAGGGAGAAATTCTCTGATTCTTCTAAGAATATTTTAGCCCCTTTTTATGTTATGTAACTACAAATTATGTGACAGCAGTGATTATTGTGGACTGGTAGAACGTGCCCTCTCAGGTCCATTTAGAATGTAGACTTTGTAGATGGTGAGGAAGAAATGGGTAATTTTGCATTCCTATCAGCACTGAGTTTGGATCCCTTTCCCTTTGAGTTTTGATATGATTTGAACTTTTGCTTGCTTTTGAAACAACTGCTAGGGTCAATGACAGAAAAATGAAATCAAAATTAATAAAGGGAATTCATATTAAAAATCAAATAATCTGGATTTATGAAGCTTTGCCATCTACCGGGCCTCAAGTTTTGTGGGTGAAATTGGGTCTTAGCAGAGCATGTGACTGTAGTGTGAAAACTGCAGTGACCCAGACATCATAGAGTAGAAGTTTTGCTCTGGAGAAATGGTTGAGTCCATGAATAAATTTTAAAGCTGCAAATGACCCATTGGTACATCCCATATGTACCACCATTACAATCTGTATAGAAATAGGAACAATTTAGGGCATTATCTCCAAAATGAAAAGATGCATCAGATTGACAGAATAAGTTATTAATTTGATTAAAATATTTCGTGAAAATGATGACCTACAGCAACAACAACAACAACAAAAACCTGGGGAACATTAGCAGACATATTTTAACCTCTTTAGTTATTTCCCTAACTGGTATAAGCAAGGAGTACTAATTCATTTGCGTTAGATAAGCAAAAGTTTCTTAGATCAGTAATGAGTATTTGAGGACAGATAGGTTTAAGCACTAAGAATACAAAATTATGTGCTAGAGAAATATAATTTAGTAAGATTCACAATTTTCCTTCTTCGTAACATCCTCCCAGTACTTTACATCTCTTTTTGAAACTGTTACACATGGATTTTATTGAGCTTTCTTTTTTTTTTTTTTAAAAAAAGGGTAATATATCATACAATTTGCCCTTGTAAAGCATCTAATTCAAATATTTTTAATATATTCACAGTTGTTAAACCATCATCACAGTCATTTTTAGAATCTACTTCAGATTTATTCTAATTAATTTCCAGTAAACTATACAAGGATTACTGCTATATTTTCTATTCCCTCTTCCTGACATTTGTACTGTTGTTACACCTATAAATATTAAAACCATTGTTATAATTATTTCTCTATATAACTTTATACCTTTTAAAGAACTGAGAAAAGAAAGAAGAACAAGTACATATTTATAATGTTTGTTATATGAACATTCTTGTTTATAGTTTCTGGTTCTTTTTATTATTTCCTGTGGATTTGAGTTACCATCTATTGTCATTTTCTTACTCCAGCATACTATTGCTCCCAGCCATTTCCTTTGTGCTGCTATTGTCAAATATATTGCATGCCTATTACATATCTATTATGTGATAGGCCCCAAAATACAGTTACATATCAAATTTATATATCTATATATGGTACCACACAATTACATTTTAAATCAATTAAGAGAAGAAAAGAACAAAATATGCATTTATATAATATTATGTAATAGAATTATTTCACTAATGCTTTTGTTGAAAAAATTATGATGTGAGGAAACTTGTTTTCAGCCTGAGGAACTTTCTTAAGTTTTTTTTAATAACACGGCCTGATACCAACTAATCCTGTAAATTTTTATTTATTTCAGATTCTTTTTGTTTGAGTTTCACTTTTAAAAATAATTTTGCCAAACATAAAATTATTGGTTGATATTTTTTTCTTGCAGCCCTTTGAAAATGCCATCCTACTGCCTTCTGGCCTCCATAATTTTTGGGTTTTTTTTCCCCCAAGATGGAGTCTTTCTCTGTCATCTTGGCTCACTGCAAACTCCACCTCCCGGGTTCAAGCGATTCTCCTGCCTCAGCCTCATGAGTAACTGGGATTACAGGCCCGCACCACCATGCCCAGCTAATTTTTGTATTTTAGTAGAGACAGGGCTTCACCAGGTTGGCCAGACTGGTCTTGAACCACTGACCTCAAGTGATCCACCCCCACCTTGGCCTCCCAAAGTGCTGGGATTACAAGCATGAGCCACTGCACCTGGCCTTGGCCTCCATAGTTTCTGATGCTATGTCACCTATTAATCTTACTAGAATTAACTTTTGTATGGTTACACTCATGTAACCATACAAACATGATGTTTAGACTACATATAAGATGGTGATTCCGTAAGATTGTAAAGGAGCTGGAAATTTCTATCATGTAGTGATGTTGTAACCATTGTAACATCTTAATGTAATGAATTATTCACAAACCTGTGATGATGCTGGTGTAAACAAACCTACTCTGCTGCCAGATATATAAAAGTATAGCACATAGAATTATGTACAGTACATAACACTTGATGATAATAATAAAAAGCTATGTTACTGTTTTATATATTTGCTATACATTTTTATTTTTATTTGAGTATGCATACTTCTACTTACAAAAAACATTAACTGTAGAACAGCCTCAGACAGGTCCCTCAGGACGTATTCCAGAAGAAGGCATCGTTATCATAGGAGATGAAAGCTTCACGTGTGTTACTTTCCCTGAAGACTTTCCACTGGGGCAAGACGTGGAGGTGGAAGACAGTGATGATACTGATGATCTTGATTCTGTGTAGGTCTAGGCTAATGTGTATGTTTGTGTCTCAGTTTTTAACAAAAATGTTTTAAAGGTAATAAAAAAATTAAATAGAAAGCAGCTTATTGAATAAGGATATAGAAAAAGAAAATATTTTTGTACAACTGTACAATGTGTGTTTTAAGTTAAATGTTATTATAAGAGTCCAAAAATTAAAAAAATAAAAGTTTATAGTTAAAAAGTTACAGTAAGCTAAGGTTATTTTTAAGGAAAGATTTTTAAAAATAAATTTCATGTAGCCTAAGTGTACATACAGTGTTTTATAAAGTCTACTGTAGTGTACAATAATGTCCTAGACCTTTGCATTCACTCACTGCTCACTCACTGATGCACCCAGAGCAACATTCAGTCTTGCAAGCTCTACTCATGGTAAGTGCTCTACACAGGTGTACCACTTTTTATCTTTTATCTGGTATTTTTACTGTATCTTTTCTATGTTTAGATACAGAATTGCTTACTCTTGTGTTACCATTGCCTGCAAAATTCAGTCCAGTAACATGCTGTACAAGTCTGTAGCCTAGGAGCAATAGGCTATACAATATAGCCTAGATATGTAGAAAGCTATACCACCTAGGTTTGTGTAAGTATACTCTATGATTTTTGCATGATGATGAAGTCACCCAACGATGCATTTGTCAGGACACATTTCCATCATTAGGCAACACATGACTGTAGTTGTTCTCTTGCTACTTCAAGGTTTTCACTTTGTCTCTCAATGTTTTTACTATGTTGGATCTGGTTGTGAATTTTATTGTGTTTATATAATTAGATTTAATTGAGCTTAGATTGGTGGACTAGTATTTTACATCAAACATTTTTCAAAATTTCAGCCATAATTTCTTTAAATTATTTTGTTCTTTCCCTCCTAGTAATCCTATTACTTTAAATTTACAGATTATTTCTTCTGTTAAAACTACTCTTGAGCCCCTCTAGTGAATTTTTCTTCAGTTATTGTACTATCAACGCTAGAATTTCCTTTTTACATGCACTAAAACATCACATTGTATCCCATAAATACGTTCAATCGTAAATCAAAATACTTTTAATCTTTTTGTTAATATTCTCTATTCGGTGAGACATTCTCATCATATCTTCCTTTCATGCTTAAGCATAGATTTTACGAATTCTTTTAAATATTTATAAGAATTATTTTGTAGTTGCTCCCTGCTATACCAAACATTTGGCATCCTCATAAAAAGTTTCTGTTGCTTTTTTCCTATGTATGGGACACATCTTCCTGTTTTTTTTTCTTTTTTGCATGTCTATCATATTTTGCTAAAATTGGGCTTTTTAGATAGCAAACCTCCATATGGATTTCTTGTTTACCTTTTGGAATCTTGTTGTGTACATGTTTCTTTATTTAGCTATTTGGGTGGACTATTTTCTATTTTACTGAAGTCTTCTCCTGCAACATGAAGCTTCTAATGTTATTCCTCTGTGGGCACAGATGTATATACACATGTATTAGGGTTCTCTAGAGGGAAAGAACTAATAGGATATATATATATATATATATCCTTATATATATAAGAACTAATAGGATATATATATTTATTAAGTATTAACTCACATGATCACAAGGTCCCACAATAGGTCAGCTCCTGCAAGCTGAGGAACAAGGAGAGCCAGTCAAGTCCCAAAACTGAAGAACCTGGAGTCCAATGTTTGAGGGCAGGAAGCATCCAGCACAGGATAAAGATGTAGGCTGGGAGGCCAGGCCAGTCTAGTATTTTCACGTTTTTCTGCCTGCTTTATATTCTAGCCACACTGGCAGCTGATTAGATGGTGCCCACCCAGATTAAGGGTGGGTCTGCCTTTCCAGTCTACTGACTCAAATGTTAATCCCCTTTGGCAACACCCTCACAGACACACCCATAATCAATACTTTGCATCCTTCACTCCAATCAAGTTAACACTCAGTATTAACCATCATAAGTCCATCCCTTGTCAATTTGAACCCGTACACATCTCCTGAGATCATACATAATCTTCAAATAAAGGCAATAATAAAGTCATAATTATGCCTAACGTGATACAACTATCCTTCATATAACCAGAAACGCACAAATCCCCAACCCAAATACTGTTACCTAAAGTTAACAATACTTAAATGCTGATATGAAGTCAATAAATCTTACATCACATGATAAAGGAAAAAGGAAATAAAATGAAGATATGTTCTTAGTACAAGTGTATACATGCACAAATGTGTTTTTAACAAAAGAAGGAGGAAATACTCATGACAATTACAGTCCTCATTTCTGCAGCTGGTCACATTGTTGTAGCTGGCATTGGTGACTGCCTTCTTCTACTTATGCATTCTGTATTCCCTTTGCCTTCAGCAAGCACCTCAGCAGGCTATGAAATTTTTTCCCGGTGGAGTGACCCAAACCTTCATTCCTGAAGGGTCTGTGCTATTTGTAGTCCTGCCTGGATTGGGCTGTTGTAGTTTCCCATTGACCTTAATCACAGGGCATGGTAATACTAAGAGATGCCCTAATGAATCTCCTGTATTCCATGCATACTCTTCCTGATCTCCACTGTGGAGTAGTAGACTGAATTCATCTTGATAGTCCGGGTCAATCACCCAAGTCAACAATGTAGCCCCCTTCTTAGCCTGTTGATTTAAAGGTAGGAGGAGCCCAAAGTGTCCATGTGGCACTCTTAACTTCCAGTTTAATTGAATTGTTGTTGTGTCTCCTGGTGGCAGCGTTCCTCCCTCTGGAACTAAGACCTCTAGGTGAGCAGAAAGTAATGTCACAGGAACAAGAAACAAAAGTTTTGCTAGTGGATCACTAGGGGTGATGGTGAGTGGTGCCACTTCCCACTTCCACCCCATGATTCCTGGACCTGTGAATCCTGGCTATGGGAGAAACAGTAACATATATTGGATGCTGATTCAGAGAATACATGGCCTTCTGGAGAATTTTGTCCCAGCCCTGCAAAGTATTGTCACCTAGTTGGCATTGTAATTGTGACTTCAAAAGGCCATTCCAGCTGCTTCAGGATGATGGGGAACATGGTAAGACCAGTGAATTCCAAGAGCATGAGTCCACTGCTGCTCTTCTTCTTCTTCTTTCTTCTTCTTCTTCTTCTTCTTCTTCTTCTTCTTCTTCTTCTTCTTCTTCTTCTTCTTCTTCTTCTTCTTCTTCCTCTTCCTCTTCCTCTTCCTCTTCTTCTTCTTCTTCTTCTTCTTCTCCTTCCTTCCTTCTTCTTCTTCTCCTTCTCCTTCTCCTTCTTCTTCTTTTTTAAACTATTTAAACAAATTTATTCTGAGCCAATATGAATGACCATGGCCCAGGGAACAGTCTCAAGAGTTCTTGAGAAAGTATGCACAAGGTAATTGAATTACAGTTTGGTTTTATACATTTTAGGGAGACAGGAGTTATAAGCAAAGACATAAATCAATACATGGAAGGTATACTTTGGTTCAGATAAAAAAAGGCAGGGCATCTTAAAGGGGCTTGGGCTTCCAGGTTGGAGGTAGATTCAAAGATTTTCTGATTTTGGCAATTGGTTGAAAGAGTTAAGCTTTGTCTAAAGACTTGAAGTCAGTGGAAAGAAATGCTTTAGTCAAGACAAGGGGGATTGTGGATGCCAAGGTCTTTGTTACATAGATGAAGCCTCACAGGTAGCAGCCTTTAGAGAGAATAGATGATAAATGTCTCTTTTCAGGACTTAAAAGATGGCAAGCACTTAGTTAATCTATCCTATATCTGGGAAATGCCTGGAAAGGGATTTCGTGGCTGCATTAATGGAGATTCTCTATAGATAGAAATTTCTCCCACAAAAAATATGGCTTTGCAGGGCCATTTTAAAACATGGTTTTTAGTTATTTATTTTTATTATACTTTAAGTTCCAAGGTACATGTGCACAACGTGCAGGTTTGTTACATAGGTATACATGTGCCATGCTGGTTTGCTGCACCCATTAACTCGTCATTTACCTTAGGTATTTCTCCCAACGCTATACCTCCCCCAGCCCCCCACCCCCAGACAGGCCCTGGTGTGTGATGTTCCCCACCCGGTGTCCATGTGTTCTCATTGTTCAACTCCCATCTATGAGTGAGAACACGCTACTGCCGCACTTCTTTAGCCGTAAATTGAGTGCCTTGGTCAGAGACAATGCCATGATGGTGTATAAGGCATTCTGTGAGTCCACGGATGGTAGTCTTGGCAGAAGCATTGCATGCAAGATAGGCAAACCCATATCCGGAGTAAGTGTCTATTCCAGTGAGGACAAACCTCTGCCCTTCCCATGATGGAAAAGGTCCCATATAATCAACCTGCCACCTGCCACCAGGTACCGAGGAATGGTGCCATATAGAGGGCTCAGTGTTAGTCTCTGCTGCTGGCAAATTAGGCACTCAGCAGTGGCCATAGCCAGATCAGCCTTGGTGAGTGGAAGTCCACATTGCTGAGCCCATGTATAACCTCCATCCCTGCCACCATGGCCACTTTGTTCATGGGCCCATTGGGCAATGACAGGCGTGGCTGGGGAAAGAGGCTGAGTGGTGTCCACAGAATGGGTCATCCTATCCACTTGATTATTAAAATCCTCCTCTGCTGAGGTCACCCATTGGTGAGCACTCACATGGGATACAAATATCTTCACAGTTTTTGACCATTCAGAGAGGTCCACCCACATACCTCTTCCCCAAATGTCTTTGTCACCAATTTTTCAATCATGCTTCTTTCAAGTCCCTGACCATCCAGACAAACTATTGGCTCCAACCCACGAATCAAATATATAATCACACATCTGGCCATTTCTCCTTCCATGAAGAGTGCACAACCAGGTGCACCACTCGAAGTTCTGTCCACTGAGAAGATTTCCCTTCACCGCTGTGTTTCAGGGATGTCCTAGAAATGGGCTGTAGTGCTGCAGCTGTCCACTTTCGAGTGGTGCCTGCATAACATGCAGAACCATCTGGGAACCAGGCCTTATTCTTCTCTTCCTCTGTCCACTGATCATAGGGAACTCCCCATGAGGCCATTGGTGCAGGCTTGGGGAGAGAAGGCAGGGTGGCAGGAGTGGGGACCACGGGCATTTGAGCCACTTCCTCATGTAACTTGCTTGTGCCTTCAGGACCTGCTCAAGCCCAATCATGTACATACCACTTCCATTTGATGATGGAATACTGCTGTGCATGCCCCACTCTATGGCTAGATGGGTCAGAAAGCACCCAGTTCATGATAGGCAGTTCAGGTCACATGGTGACTTGATGACCCATAGTCAAATGTTCAGTTTCTACCAAAGCCCAGTAATAGGACAAGAGGTGTCTCTCAAAAGGAGGGCATCTTTTTCCTGTGCTGGATGCTTCCTGCCCTTGCATATTGGACTCCAAGTTCTTCAAATTTCTGCTCATATAAATTAGAAAACTCAGTTTTCTTGGAGTATAGTGCACTTCCATGTGGGTTACACTTTGAACCTCACTTCTAGGGGACTGCTGGGACTTTAGTCTAGTTATAGGTCTAGAAGCAAACAGGGATGTTGGAGGTGGTTCCTGAGGAGAATAAACATTATCTTGCCTGGCAACTGCCTCAGGGAAGGCCATCACTGTTGCCTCAGGCAGCACAGAGTTTATCTCCTCAGACAAAGATGCAAAGGCTTGTGGCAGCATGGGTTGGGGAAAGGATGTTGTCACTACTGGGGATGGGGAAGCTGTTTCTTCTGGTAAAAAAGATTCATCAGAGTTTACAAATTCAGTGTCTCCAGCTTCATCAGGTCCTCCCACACATCCCCATTCCAAGTTGCAGGGTCCCATTCTTTTTCAATCAATGCCCTCACTTTAACAGTAGACACCTGGCGAGGCTGTGCATGCACCTTTCATTGCAGGTCAGCCACTTGCATGATAAGAGCTTGTGTATGTTTTTCCACAATTTCAGCTCTTTATCGGTGTTCTCCACACTATTAGAAGTAGAGTCCTTAACATTTTTGTGTTTAATCACATTAAGCAGCCAACTCCAGAAACCCCAAAACCAACAAAAGAACTCCATCCTTAATATTCTGTTCCTCTAGAACCACTCCTGGTACCAAAATCTGTATCAGTTAGGGTTCTCTAGAGGGAAAGAAGTAATAGAAGATATAGATATAGATATATAGATAGATACAGATGATATAGATGGGAGTTTATTAAGTATTAACTCACACGAGGGCAGGAAGCATCCAGCACAGGAGAAAGATGTAGGCTGGGAGGCTAGGCCAGTCTAGTCTTTTCACGTTTTTCTGTCTGCTTTATATTCTAGCCATGCTGGCAGCTGATTAGATGGTGCCCACCCAGATTAAGGATGTGTCTGCCTTTCCCAGCCACTGACTCAAATGTTAATCTCTTTTGGCAACACTCTCACAGACACACCAGGATCAATACTTCGAATCCTTCAATCCAATCAAATTGACAGTATTAACCATCATAACACACAATCACTTTTGGATGAGAGTTGTTTTAACAGGGCTCTCTTTATCTGTTTCTTCCCCTTATGTCTCTGTTAAGCTCTCTGCCTCTATGGGTATAACACGAAAAATTAAGGAGAAGTGTGTCATTGTTTCACCACTAAAAATGCAGTAGTATAATTTTTGAACTTTATAACAAAACTAAAGTGGCTGAAACATTGTCAATTTGCCTGATAACATAACGATATGAGAGGGAATGGGTAACCGATGAAATCATTATCAGTTATATTCATCTTGTTATCATGTTCATAAGCTAGCAATTCTGCTTTTGCAAATACAAAGCAACTTTCCTAATTAGCCATAAATAGCAAATTGAACAGCATTTGAAATACATCTGCAAGCATATTCTAAGGTCACTATAGCATTAGACTTTTATGGATAACTTTTTAAATAAATGAGCCCTAAAGCTAATTTTCTATTGAGAATAATACTAGAGTTCAACTAATTATAGGAGGAAATTCATGAAGACTTTTTCTCACGTGATAATTACATATAGGTACTGTTGTCATTAGAGATACATACTTAAACTCCAGAGAAGATAGGAAACCATAAGTAGATTTTAAAAATTCTTATTCTTACCAGGGTAACTCTTTCTCTTTAACTGCGTCTTAATTGCATCATTTATTGTACCTCTCTCAGTTGTACTATGCAATCGTTCATCAGTCTCTATAAAAAAGTAAACAGATTTCAAAACACTTTTTTAATGTAAATATTAACATGTGTGTGTGCATGTGTCTAATACTATCATAATTAATATTCTTCATTGGAGTAGAATTATAATAAAGTGTCCAGATTGCAGCAACATAGGAATTCAAATTGAAAGGAAAATTAACAATTAACAATCATATAAGCCTCATTATATTGAGGCTTAGTTATATTTAGTGATTTGACCAAGACCATATAGCAAGTAATAACAAAACTGAGGCACAGACTTATGCTACCTTATTTCTTAACTATTTTTTCCATATAATGCAATCTCATATGCAAATTTAAATCACACTAGATAGTTTGTGGTAATAACATAACTTTCAAGTATATATTAAGAACATATATATGTTGTAGGGGTATATCTGGTGAGGTGGAACATCAATTTTTTTTCATAGTTGACCTATCTGCACACAATGGTCATCACAACTCACAAAATATAATAAAACAGAAGTTCCTTGACTCATCCAGAAATATTTTAATAGTCTATTTTAGGTGGTGTAACTATAATTCAAATAGGCATCAGTGATAAAAAAGAATAATAAATAACGCATGTAATGTGAAAAAAGTCTCTTCTCTCTGGTTCTTTTAGCAGGCGGACTTTACAGCTGGGAAGAAGAAAACGGGAATATTTGTAGTGGTACTAGCCTTAGGATTGTATTCCTTTTCATTTGAGTTTTATGTGATTTATACATTTTGTTGGATTTAGAAACTAGTATCTAGGTATAATGATGGAAAAACTAAAAAATCTACTAAAGAGAATTTCATATTGAAAAACAGATAATTAGAACTGGTAAACCTGGTTTATTAAACCTGAAGTTTTTTGTGTCAAAGTTGGTTTTAGCAGAGCATGTAATGGTAGTTGGACACCTGTAATGATCCTGAACGACAGAGTGGAAGTCTTGCTTTGGAAAATTGGCTGAGCCCATTATTAATGTTAAAATTTGCACTATTATCATGGCAGCCCAAATATACCACCAATATAATTCAAATAGAGGCAGAAACCAGATTACACATCATTGTAAAAATGCATTATATTGGCCAGGTGCAGTGGCTCATGCCTGTAATCCCAGCACTTTGGGAGGCCGAGGTGGGCAGATCTCGAGGTCCCAAGTTCGAGACCAGCCTGGCCAACATAGTGAAACCTTGTCTCTACTAAAAACACAAAAATTAGCAGGGCGTGGTGGCGTGCGCCTTAGTCCCAGCTACTTAGGAGGCTGAGGCAGGATAATTGCTTGAACCTGGGAGGCGGAGGTTGTGGTGAGCCAAGATTGCATCACTGTACTCCAGCCTGGGCAACAGAGCAAGACACCATCTCAAAAAAAAAAAAGCATCATATTGGACAAAACGAGTTTTCAATAATTCAATAACAACATTTTGTAAAAGTAATAGCTATATGCAACAGAAAACTGAGGAACATTAACAGATGTATTTCAGCTCTTTTGTCTTTCTCTTACAGATATAAGTAAGAAAGGCTGATTCATTTGAACTAAGAAATCAGAGGATTTTTAGATAAGCAGGGAGTCAATGAGTAGAGCATTTTAGAGTTAAACACTACGAATACAAAGTTATGTGCTGGAGAAATTTATCAACTAGTAAAAGTCACAATTTTCCTCCCTTACATTATTATCCTGTTGCTTTAAATTTTACAAAATCTTATCCTGCTTAGAGTTCCTGAGCTTTTAAAAATGTGTATATTTTTAAACCATACTATTTTTCCATTTAAAGTGTCCAATTCAATGCTTATTACAGAAATGTGTATTACCTCAGTCAACTTTATAATCTTTTTCACATTTACACTAATTACATTCTACTGAGATACAGAAACATTACTCCTTTATATATACCTTTATTCTCTTTCCCCAGTTTTTGTGCTACTGTTATACATATTATACCTGTAAATATTAAGGACAATGTAATAATTATTGTTATAATTATTTCTTTGTATAACTTTATGCCTTTTAAATAAACTGAGAAAAGAAAGAAGATCAAGTACATGTTTATAGGATTTGTTACATGAACACACTTATTTACATTTTTTGGTTATTTTTATTCTTGCTCTGTATTTATCATCCAGTGTTATTTTCTTACAGTGTTACATCACTTCTCCCTCCAATCACCTTTGTGATGCTATCATGAATATATTACATGTTGATATGTTATATGCCCAATGATACAATTATATAAATTTTTTATACAGTTGTCTTTTAGATAAATTAAGAAAAGAAAGAAGGTGGAATATATATTTGTACATACTCTCTTTTGCAATTATAACATTTAACTCATACCTTTTTTAGGGGGCTTCAAATTACTGTCAGAGGTCAGCTTTAGCCTGAAGAAATTTCTTTAGAATTTCTTGGAAAACAGTTCTGCTAGAAATGAAATCTCTCAATTTTTATTTAGTAATTTCATATTTCACCTTTTCTGAAAAGCAGTTTTGCTAGCAATAAAATTATTGGTTGGTAGATTTTTTTTTTTCAGCACTTTTATTTATTGTTTTGTTTGTTTTTCTTTTTTTGTTATACTTTAAGTTTTAGGGTACATGTGCACAACGTGCAGGTTTGTTACATATGTATACATGTGCCATGTTGGTGTGCTGCACCCATTAACTCATCATTTAACATTAGGTATATCTCCTAATGCTATCCCTCCCCCTACCCCCACCCCACAACAGGCCCCAGTGTGTGATGTTCCCCTTCCTGTGTCCAAGTGTTCTCATTGTTCAATTCCCACCTATGAGAGAGAACATGTGGTGTTTGGTTTTTTGGCCTTGCGATAGTTTGCTGAGAATGATGATTTCCAGCTTCATCCATGTCCCTACAAAGGACATGAGCTCATCCTTTTTTATGGTTGCATAGTATTCCATGGTGTATATGTGTCACTTTTCTTAATCCAGTCTATCATTGTTGGACATTTGGGTTGGTTCCAAGTCTTTGCTATTGTGAATAGTGCCGCAATAAACATACGCGTGCATGTGTATTTATAGCAGCATGTTTTATAATCCTTTGGGTATATACCCAGTAATGGGATGGCTGGGTCAAATGGTACTTCTAGTTCTAGATCCCTGAAGAATCGCCACACTGACTTCCACAATGGTTGAACTAGTTTACAGTCCCACCAACAGTGTAAAAGTGTTCCTATTTCTCCACATCCTCTCCAGCACCTGTTGTTTCCTGACTTTTTAATGATCGCCATTCTAACTGGTGTGAGATGGTATCTCATTGTGGTTTTGATTTGCATTTCTCTGGTGGCCAGTGATGGTGAGCATTTTTTCATGTGTCCGTTGGCTGCATAAATGTCTTCTTTTGAGAAGTGTCTGTTCATATCCTTCGCCCACTTTTTGATGGGGTTGTTTTTTCTTGTAAATTTGTTTGAGTTCATTGTAGATTCTGGATATTAGCCCTTTGTCAGATGGGTAGATTGTAAAAATTTTCTCCCATTCTGTAGGTTGCCTGTTCACTCTGATGGTAGTTTCCTTTGCTGTGCAGAAGCTCTTCAGTTTAATTAGATCCCATTTGTCAATTTAGGCTTTTGTTGCCATTGCTTTTGGTGTTTTAGACATGAAGTCCTTACCCATGCCTATGTCCTGAATGGTATTGCCTAGGTTTTCTTCTAGGGTTTTTATGGTTTTAGGTCTAACATTTAAGTCTTTAATCCATCTTGAATTAATTTTTGTATAAGGTGTAAGGAAGCTATCTAGTTTCAGCTTTCTACATATGGCTAGCCAGTTTTCTCAGCACCATTTATTAAATAGGGAATCCTTTCCCCATTTCTTGTTTTTGTCAAGTTTGTCAAAGATCAGATAGTTGTAGATATGCAGCATTATTTCTGAGGGCTATGTCCTGTTCCATTGGTCTATATCTCTGTTTTGGTACCAGTACCATGCTCTTTTGGTTACTGTAGCCTTGTAGTATAGTTGGAAGTCAGGTAGCGTGATGCCTCCAGCTTTGTTCTTTTGGCTTAGGATTGACTTGGCAATGTGGGCTCTTTTTTGGTTCCATATGAACTTTAAAGTAGTTTTTTCCAATTCTGTGAAGAAAGTCATTGGTAGCTTAATGGGGATGGCATTGAATCTGTAAATTACCTTGGGCAGTATGGCCATTTTCACAATTCTATTGATTCTTCCTACCCATGAGCATGGAATGTTCTTCCATTTGTTTGTATCCTCTTTTATTTCACTGAGCAGTAGTTTGTAGTGCTCCTTGAAGAGGTCCTTCCTGTCCCTTGTAAGTTGGATTCCTAGGTATTTTATTCTCTTTGAAGCAATTGTGAATGGGAGTTCACTCATGATTTGGCTTTCTGTCTGTTATTGGTGTATAAGAATGCTTGTGATTTTTGCACATTGATTTTGTATCTGGAGACTTTGCTGAAGTTGCCTCTCAGCTTAAGGAGATTTTGGACTGAGACAGTGGGGTTTTCTAGATATACAATCATGTCATCTCCAAACACGGACAATGTGACTTCCTCTTTTCCTAATTGAATACCCTTTATTTCCTTCTCCTGCCTGATTGCCCTGGTCAGAACTTCCAACACTATGTTGAATAGGAGTGGTGAGAGAGGACATCCCTGTCTTGTGCCAGTTTTCAAAGGGAATGCTTCCAGTTTTTGCCCATTCAGTATGATATTGGCTGTGGGTTTGTCATAGATAGCTCTTATTATTTTGAGATATGTCCCATCAATAACTAATTTATTGAGAGTTTTTAGCATGAAGGTTGTTGAATTTTGTCAAAGGCCTTTTCTGCATCTATTGAGATAATCATGTGGTTTTTGTCATTGGTTCTGTTTATATGCTGGATCACGTTTATTGATTTGCATATTTTGAACCAGCTTTGCATCCCAGGGATGAAGCCCATTTGATCATGGTGGATAAGCTTTTTGATGTGCTGCTGGATTCAGTTTGTCAGTATTTTATTGAGGATTTTTGCATCGATGTTCATGAGGGATATTGGTCTAAAATTCTCTTTTTTTTGTTGTGTCTCTGTCAGGCTTTGGTATCAGGATGATGCTGACCTCATAAAATGAGTTAGGGAGGATTCCCTCTTTTTCTATTGGTTGGAATAGTTTCAGAAGGAATCATAACAGCTCCACCTTTTACCTCTGGGAGAATTCAGCTATGAATCCATCTGGTCCTGGACTTTTTTTGGTTGGTAAGCTATTAATTATTGCCTCAATTTCAGAGCCTGTTATTGGTCTATTCAGAGATTTAACTTCTTCCTGGTTTGGTCTTGGGAGGGTGTTTGTGTCAAGGAATGTATCCATTTCTTCTAGATTTTCTAGTTTATTTGTGTAGAGGTGTTTATAGTATTCTCTGATGGTAGTTTCTATTTCTGTGGGATCAATGGTGATATCCCCTTTATCATTTTTTATTGCGTCTATTTGATTCTTCTCTCCTTTCTTCTTTATTGGTCTTGCTAGTGGTCTATCAATTTTGTTGATCTTTTCAAAAAACCAGCTCCTGGATTCATTGATTTTTTTGAAGGGTTATTTATGTCTCTATTTCCTTCAGTTCTGCTCTGATCTTAGTTATTTCTGGCCTTCTGCTAGCTTTTCAATGTGTTTGCTCTTGCTTTTCTAGTTCTTTTAATTGTGACGTTAGGGTGTCAATTTTAGATCTTTCCTTTTTTCTCTTGTGGGTATTAGTGCTATAAATTTCCCTCTACACACTGCTTTGAATGTGTCCCAGAGATTCTGGTATGTTGTGTCTTTGTTCTCATTGGTTTCAAAGAACATCTTTATTTCTGCCTTCATTTCGTTATGTACCCAGTAGTCATTCAGGAGCAGGTTGTTAATCCTGAGTTACTTAATCCTGAGTTTTAGTTTGATTACACTGTGGTCTGAGAGACAGTTTGTTATAATTTCTGTGCTTTTACATTTGCTGAGGAGTGCTTTACTTCCAACTATGTGGTCAATTTTGGAATAGGTGTGGTGTGGTGCTGAAAAGAATGTATATTCTGTTGATTTGGGGTGGAGAGTTCTGTAGATGTCTATTAGGTCCACTTGGTGCAGAGCTGAGTTCAATTCCTGGATATCCTTGTTAACTTTCTGTCTCGTTGATCTGTCTAATGTTGACAGTGGGGTGTTAAAGTCTCCCATTATTATTGTGTGGGAGTCTAAGTCTCTTTCTAGGTCTCTAAGGACTTGCTTTATAAATCTGGGTGCTCCTGTATTGGGTGCATATATATTTAGGATAGTTAGCTCTTCTTGTTGAATTGATCTCTTTACCATTATGTAATGGCCTTCTTTATCTCTTTTGATCTTCATTGGTTTAAAGTCTGTTTTATCAGAAACTAGGATTGCAACCCTTGCCTTTTTTTGTTTTCCATTTGCTTGGTAGATCTTCCTCCATCCCTTTATTTTGAGCCTATGTGTGTCTCTGCACATGAGATGGGTTTCCTGAATACAGCACACTGATGGGTCTTGACTCTTTATCCAATTTGCCAGTCTGTGTCTTTTAATTAGAGCATTTAGCCTATTTACATTTAAGGTTAATATTGTTATGTGTGGATTTGATCATGTCATTATGATGTTAGCTGGTTATTTTGCTCGTTAGTTGATGCAGTTTCTTCCTAGCCTTGACAGTCTTTACCATTTGGCATGTTTTTGCCGTGGCTGGTACCGGTTGTTCCTTTCCATGTTTAGTGCTTCCTTCAGTAGCTCTTTTAGGGCAGGCCTGGTGGTGACAAAATCTCTCAACATTTGCTTGTCTGTAAAGGATTTTATTTCTCCTTCACTTATGAAGCTTAGTTTGGCTGGATATGAAATTCTGAGTTGAAAATTCTTTTCTTTAAGAATGTTGAATATTGGCCCCCACTCTCTTCTGGCTTGTAGAGTTTCTGCTGAGAGATCAGCTGTTAGTCTGATGGGCTTCCCTTTGTGGGTAACCTGACCTTTCTCTCTGGCTGCCCTTAACATTTTTTCCTTCATTTCAACTTTGGTGAATCTGACAATTATGTGTCTTGGAGTTGCTCTTCTCGAGGAGTATCTTTGTGGCTTTCTCTGTATTTCCTGAATTTGAATGTTGGCCTGCCTTGCTAGATTGGGGAAGTTCTCCTGGATAATATCCTACAGAGTGTTTTCCAACTTGGTTCCATTCTCCCTGTCACTTTCGGGTACACCAATCAGACGTAGATTTGGTCTTTTCATGTAGTCCCATATTTCTTGAAGGCTTTGTTTGTTTCTTTTTATTCTTTTTTCTCTAAACTTCTCTTCTTGCTTCATTTCATTCATTTGATCTTCCATCACTGATACCCCCTCTTCCAGTTGATCAAATCGGCTACTCAGGCTTGTGCATACGTCGCGTACTTCTCGTGCCATGGTTTTCAGCTCCATCAGGTCCTTTAAGGACTTCTCTGCATTGGTTATTCTAGTTAGCCATTTGTCTAATTTTTTTTTCAAGGTTTTTAACTTCTTCGCCATGGGTTCGAACTTCCTGCTTTAGCTCAGAGTAGTCTGATCATCTGAAGCCTTCTTCTCTCAACTCATCAAAGTCATTCTCCATCCAGCTTTGTTCCGTTGCTTGTGAGGAGCTGCTTTCCTTTGGAGGAGGAGAGGCACTCTGATTTTTAGAGTTTCTGTTTTTTCTGCTCTTTTTTTTCCCCATCTTTGTGGTTTTATCTACCTTTGGTCTTTGATGATGGTGATGCATAGATGGGGTTTTGGTGTGGATGTCCTTTGTGTTTGTTAGTTTTCCTTCTAATAGTCAGGACCCTCAGCTGCAGGTCTGTTGGAGTTTGCTGGAGGTCTACTCCAGACCCTGTTTGCCTGGGTATCAGCAGCGGAGGCTGCAGAACAGCGGATATTGGTGAACAGCAAATGTTGCTGCCTGATCGTTCCTCTGGAAGTTTTGTCTCAGAGGAGTACCTGGCCATGTGAGGTGTCAGTCTGCCCCTACTAGGGGTTGCCTCCCAGTTAGGCTACTCGAGGGTCAGGAACCCACTTGAGGAGGCAGTCTGTCCATTCTCAGATCTCCAGCTGCGTGCTAGGAGAACCACTACTCTCTTCAAAGCTGTCAGACAGGGACATTTAAGTCTGCAGAGGTTTCTGCTGCCTTTTGTTTGGCAATGCCCTGCCCCCAGAGGTGGAGTCTACAGAGGCAGGCAGGCCTCCTTGAGCTGCGGTGGGCTCCACCCAGTTTGAGCTTCCTGGCTGCTTTGTTTACCTACTCAAGCCTCAGCAATCGCAGGCACCCCTCCACCAGCCTCGCTGCCACCTTGCAGTTTGATCTCAGACTGCTGTGCTAGCAATGAGCGAGGCTCCATGGGCGCAGGACCCTCCGAGCCATGCGCAGGATATAATCTCCTGGTGTGCCATTTGCTAAGACCATTGGAAAAGTGCAGTATTAGGGTGGGAGTGACCCGGTTTTCCAGGTGCCATGTGTCACCCCTTTCTTTTACTAGGAAAGGGAATTCCCTGATCCCTTGCACTTCCCGGGTGAGGTGATGCCTCACCCTGCTTCAGCTCACACTTGGTGCACTGCACCCACTGTCCTGCCAACACTCCCAAGTGAGATGAACCCGGTACCTCAGTTGGAAATGCAGAAATCACCCATCTTCTGCGTTGCTCACACTGGGAGCTGTGGACTGGAGCTGTTCCTATTTGGCCATCTTGGCTCCACCGCTCTTTCAGCACTTTTAATATACAACACCACAGCCTTCTGGACTTCAAAAGTTTCTAATGCTGAGTCAGATGTTAATCTCACTGGGGTTCTCTTCTACGGGATGAATTGTTTTCCTCTTGATGCATTGTACATTTTCTCTTTCTTTTTCAACATTTTTACAGTGATTAGTCTGGTCATGGATTGATTTGTATTTATTCTACTTAGATTTAATAGAACTCAGATGTATAGATTAATATTACCTAGTAAATATTTTTCAAAGTATTCAGCCAATTTTCTTCAAATATTTTTTCTTATTCTCTCTCTACTTGGAAGACTCTCCTTCTGGTATTCCCATTATATTAAGTTTGCTTACTCCTTCTGACATTTCAAATCTTTTCTTGACCCTGTAATGAATTTTCCCTTGTAGTTATTTTACCTTTCAATTCCAAATATTAATTTGGTTCTTTAAAAATTTAATTTACATCACAATGTTGACATCTATTTGATAAAAGATTGTTATTGTACCTTCTTTTTCTTCTTTGAGAAATGTTTTAATTATTTGATGATATTATTATTATTATTAGACTACTTTGTAATCATTGTCTGCTAAATCTAACGTGTAGGACTCTCACAAGCAGTTTTCCTTGCCTTTTTCCTTGTGTTTGGGTTACAGAGTACTGTTTCTGTGCATGTCCTAAATTTTTTTGCTAAAATATGGACAATTTAGATAATGTATTATAGCAAATCTGTATGTTGATTGACTCTTCCTTTTTGTGGGGCTTGTTGTTTTTGTTTGTTTGCTGCTTGTTGTTGTTGTTGGTGGTGGGGTGTTTGTGTATGTGTGTGATTTGATAGAAGTATTTTCCTAAAGTCTCTTTCCTCTACAGTGTAAAGTCTCTTATGTTGCTTTTTGAGGGCATCTCCTTGGGCATGCAAACAGTTTCCCTCGGATGACAGTGGTTTTAGCAGGGCACTCTTTGAATGTCTCTTTCCATTATTTATTTGTTAAAATGTCTTCTTTTGGTATCACACCAACGGTCATAGAGAAGTGTGTCTAACACTGTAACCCCAGGACTAAATTCAGTTGTGTAATCTCTGAAAAATATAACTAAATAACTTTATTGCAGCTGAGATGTTACAAACTTGACTGATATTTTTACCATATAGAGTCAACTGGTAACCAATAAAATTACTATCTGTTATATTCATCTTCTTATCACATCCATCATCTAGCCCTTCTGCTTTTGAAAAGCTAATTTTACATTGCTAGTTGAAACTAGAGTTGAAATATTATAGAGGGGAATTCATAAAGACTTTTGCCTATGTAATAATTCATAGGCACTGTTCTCCTTAAAGATGCACACTTAGTTACACTCCAGAGAATATAAACTAACCAGAAATACTAAATGTGTAAAGTTTTTGTTCTTACCAGGGAGACTCTTTGATCGTGTCTTGAATTCATCCTTTAGTATATCTCTTCCAAATGCATCTGTCAATTGTTCTATATCAGGCCCTATAGAAATAAACAGGTATCAAAACACTGTAAGGTAATCATTTATACACAAATGTGACAGTGTGAGTGCATGTACATATATGTGTGTGTGTTACTAACTTAAAATATTTGTGGCTGGGCACGGTGGCTCACGCCTGTAATCCCAGCACTTTGGGAGGCCAAAGTGCAGGTGGATCATGAGGTCAAGAGATCGAGACCATCCTGGCCAACATGGTGAAACCCCGTCTCTACTAAAAATACAAAAATTAGCTGGGTGTGGTGGCGCATGCCTGTAGTCCCAGCTACTTGGGAGGCTGAGGCAGAAGAATCACTCAAACCCAGGAGTCGGAGGTTGCAGTGAGCTGAGATCATGCCACTGCACTCCAGCCCGGTGACACAGCGAGACTCTGTCGCAAAAAAGAAAAAAATAAATGAAAATAAAAATTGTATTTATAGAAGAATTAAAATGAAATGTCTGGATTGGAAAATAACAAAAACCTTAAAAAGGAAAGGATGTTAACAATTATATAAGCCAGACTATATTCAGGCTTAGATATGTTTAATGAATTGAAATATCATATAGCCAGGGAAAGGTAAAACTGATGCACAACCTGATGCTGCACAATTTCTTAACCAGTAATTGTTCTATACAATGCTATTTCTTATGCAAATTGAAATCATCCTAGGGACATTATGATGATAATGTATCTTTCAAGTTTACACTAAAAATATACCCAACCTGTAGGTATGTACTATGTGAGGTGGAACATTTTTTTCCATAGGTCAAGCTGCAAACCATGGCCTCATTAGTCACAGAAACTTCTCATGAGGCAGAAATTATTTGATTCATTGAGGAATATTTCTTTCCCCTTTTTACGTTATGTAATTGTAAATTCTTTAGATATTGGTTATGAAAAACATTACAAGATATTTGTAAAACTGAGAAAAACTGCCCTCTGAGGTCCCTTGAACATGAATCAAGGAGGTAATGGTCAGATTTGCAGCACTATCAGAATTGTTATTGGATCCGTTTCCATTTAAGTTTTTATGTGGTTTGATATTTTCCTGGAATTAGAAACTACTAAGTTCAATGAGATAAAAACGTATAAAAATTATTAAAAAGAAATTCATATTGAAAAGGGGATAATGAGGATTGGTGACATAAGGTCAACATTGGGCTTAAGATTCTGTGGGTAGAATTGGCTCTAGCAGAGTATATAACTATGGTTGGACACTTGTCATAATCCTTCCATTGTATTGTAGAGCGGTTTGTTGTTGTTGTTGTTGTTGTTGTTGCTGTTTTGGGAAAATTGGTGAATACATGAATAATGTAAATGGTTGCATTATGACACCAGCTGCTCAAATATGCCACAACTGCATTCTATACTGAGCACTGCCTCACTACCAAAGTAAAAAGTGATCCATAAGATTGAGCAGAACAAGTTTTCAGTAATCAAGTAACAATATAAGAGATATAGCGACTCAAAACTGGAAACATCGGCAGATGTATTTTAGCTTCCTTTGTTCTTTCTTCAACTGATATATCAAAGAAGGACGGGTTCATTTGAAATGAGCAAGCAAATGATCCTTACACAATCAGGGAAAAAAATGAGACCATCTGAGGAAATATTGGGTTAAATACTAGAAATTAAAAGGTATGTGCTGGAGACACTTATAATTTACTAAGAGTTACAATCTTTCTCCTTCACAATATCCTCCCTTTGCTTTAAATCTTTTAAAAATGTTTTTCTGCTTGAAGTTCACTGAGTATTTTAAATAAGCTATCTAAAATCTTAAATTCTATGGATTTTAATACATTCAGTAATGTCTGTCACCATCATCACAGTCAAGTTTAAAAAGTACTTTAAATTTATACTAAATTCCAGTGAAATATAGAAAAGTAACTCCCATATAGCTGTATTCCGTTCCCCATTTTTGTGCTATTGTTATACATAGCACATTTGTAAATAATAAAGACATGGTTATAGTTGTTGTTATAATTATTTCTTTATATAATTTTATGCTTTTTTAAAAAGCTGAGGCAAGAAAGAAAATATATATTTCCAATTTGTATTATATTAACCTTCTTATTTATAATTTCTGGTTCTATTAATTTGTTCCTGTGGTTTCAGATTATCATATCTTGTCATTTTCTTTTTTGTTAATACATAATATTTGTGCCTATTTATGGGGTACATGTGATATTTGGTTATATGTATAGTGTGCATAAAAATCAAGTCAGATTATTTAGAATATCACCTCAGCGATTTATCATCATTCAGTATGATGTTAGCTGTGGGTCTGTCATATATGGACTTTATTAGTTTGAGGTACATTCCTTTTATGCCTAAGTTGTTGAGAATTTTATCATGAAGGAATGTTGAATTTTATCAAATGTTTTTTCTGCATCTACTGAGGTGATTATATGGTTTTGTCCTTCTTTCTGTTGATCTACCTTGTTTATTGATTTGTATATGTTAAACCACCCTTACATCCGTGGGATAGATCCAACTTGATCACAGTGCATTATCTTCCTGATATGTTGTTGAATTTGGTTTGCTAGCATTTTGTTGGGGATTTTTATGTTGATGTTCATCAGAGATATTGACTTGTACTTTTATTTTTTTATGTCCTTGTCTGGTTTTGGTATCAGAGTAAATGCTGGCCTTGTAGACTGAGTTACAGAGAATTCCGTCCTCTTCAATTTTTTGGAATAGTTTGAGGGGAATTGGTGTTAGTTCTTTAAAGGTTTGGAAAAAATTGGCAGTGAGGCCATCTAGTCATGTGTTGGGAACATTTCTAGACCTCTCTCTAGCTATTCTGAAATACAAAATACATTGTTATTAACTATAATCAATCTCCTCTGCTACGGAACTTTATAACTTATTCTTTTTATCTAACAGCACGTTTGTAGTACCCATTAACCAGATTTTCTATTTCTTCTTAATTCAATCTTGGTAGGCTATATGTGTCCAGAAATCTATCAATTTCCTCTAGATTTTCCAGTTTATCAGCGTATAGTTGTTCATAATATTTTCTGATGATCTTTTGTAATTCTGTGGTATCAGTTCTATCTCCTTTTTCATTTCTGATTTTGTTAATTTGTATCTTCTATCTTTTTTTAAGTTAGTCTACCTAGTGGTTTATTAATTTCATCTTTTTAAAACACCAAGTTTTGATTTGGTTGATCCTTTGCTTAAGTATCTATTTCACTTAGTTCTGCTCTGATCCTTTTTGCTTTTCTTCTATTAATTTTTGTTGTGATTGGTTTGTTTTTGCTTTTCTAGTCTCTTGAGGTGCATTGTTAATTTATTTGAAATCTTTCTACTCTTTGATGGAGGTGTTTATTGCTATAAACTTCCATTTTTAGCATTGCTTTTGTTATATCCCATAGGTTTTGATATGTTGCATTTTCATTTTCATTTGTTTCAAGCATTTTTTGATTTCCTTTTTAATCTCTTCATTGATTCAGTGATCATTCATGAGCACTTTGCTTAATTTCCATGTGTTTGCACAGTTCCCAAAGTTCCTCTAGTTTTTGATTTCTAGTTTTAATCTGTCATGGTCTGAAAAAATACTTGATATGATTTTGATTTTTAAAAATTTGTTAAGACATCTTTTGTGGCCTAACATATGGTCTAACCTGGAGAATGTTCCATGTGCTGACGAGAAGAATGTGTGTTCTGCAGTTACTGAAGAAAATACTTTGTAATTATCTGTTAGGGCCATTTGGTTTAAACTGATGTTTAAACTCAATGTTTCTTCGTTGATTTTCTGTCTAGACAATCTGTCTAATGCTGAGAATGAGGTGTTGAAGTTTCTAGCTATTATTTTATTGGACTGTCTCTGTCCCTTTAGATTTAATATTTGCTTTATATATCTGGATGCTTCAATGTTGGGTGAATATAAGTTTAAAATTGGTATATCCTCTTTCTGAATTGATCCTTTTATCATTATATAATAATTATCCTTATCTCTTTTTATTGTTTTTGACTTAAAGTCTGTTTTATCTGAAATAAGTACAGCTACTCCTGCTCACTTTTGTTTTCTGTTTGCATGGAATATTTTTTCCATTCCTTCACTACCAGTCTATATGTTTCTTTACAGGTGAAGTGAGTTTCTTATAGGCAGTATACAGTTTGCTCATGTTTTTAAAATCCATTCAGCCATTTTCTGTTTACATTCAAGAATAATATTGATATGTGAGAACTTATTCCTATTGTTTTCTTATTTTCTGGTTGTTTTCTTTATCCTTTGTTTCTTTCTTTCTCTTGTGTTGTTTATCATTGTGGTTTGGTGATTTTCTGCCATAGTAACATTTGAGTTCTTTTTCTTCCTCATTTGTGTGTTTCCACATCCATGGTGTATATGTGCCACATTTTCTTAATCCAGTCTATCACTGATAGACATTTGAGTTCGTTCCCAGTTTTTGCTATTGTGAATAGTGCCGCAATAAACATATGCGTGCATGTGTCTTTATAGTAGCATGATTTATAATCCTTTGGGTATATACCAAGTAATGGGATGGCTGGGTCAAATGGTATTTCTAGTTCTAGATCCCTGAGGAATTGCCACACTGACTTCCACAATGGTTGAACTAGTTTACAGTCCCACTAACAGTGTAAAAGTGTTCCTATTTCTCCACATCCTCTCCAGCATCTGTTGTTTTCTGACTTTTTAATGATTGCCATTCTAACTGGTGTGAGATGGTATCTCATTGTGGTTTTGATTTGCATTTCTCTGATGACCAGTGATGATGAGCATTTTTTCTTGTGTCTGTTGGCTGCATAAATGTCTTCTTTTAAAAAGTGTCTGTTCATATCCTTTGCCCACTTTTTGATGGGGCTGTTTGTTTTTTTCTTGCAAATTTGTTTGAGTTCTTTGTAGATTCTGGATATTAGCCCTTTGTCAGATGGGTAGATTGCAAAAATTTTCTCCCACTGAATGTATTTTTTGTTTTATTAATTGAATTGAATTATGGGATTTCTGTTTGGTTCTTTTCTTAATGATATCTACCTCTTTAATAAATTTTTCATTCCTCTCAAAATTATTTTTCTGATTTCTTTGTATTGTTTATCTGTGTTCTCTTCTACCTCATTGAGCTTCTTTAATATCATTATTTTCAATTCTGTTTCAGGCGTTTCATTAATTTCTTTTTCACTGGAATCTGTTGCTGAAGAATTATTGTGTTCTTTTTGAGGTGTCACATTTCCTCGCTTTTTCATGTTTCTTGTGTACTTATGTGTCTGTCATCTCATGTAACACTCACTTCTCTCAATTTGTGGATTGGCTTTCACAGAGCAAAACTTTTTCCTGAAGATGCTATCTATGATGTTGGTTGGATAGGGCACTTTTCAAATTAAAAAAAGTTTTTTGGTAGAGACAGTGTCTCACTGGTCTTGAACCAAGGCTGGCCTCAAATGTCTGATCTCAAGTGATCCTGCCACCTTCACCTCCCAAAGTGCTGGGGTATAGGCATGAGTCACCATGCCTACCCTGGGTTGGGCATTTTAGCTTTGATTCTGGGTGTATGCAGTGGTATACGGCCTCTGTATAATTTTTTTTTTCAGCTATAACAGTGTCAGTGATGTCCATCATTTCTTCAATGACTTAGGCTGTAGTTGCTAGTGGATGCTGCCGTGAGGCTTTGCTGGGGACAGGGACCCCAGGTGAATCAGTCCTTGGCCTCATTAGTGATAGCAATGGCTGAGCATGCCTATCCTTGGGCCCCTAGGTGATATATGTGAGCATCAGGATTAGTGAGTCCAGGCAGGCTAATCCTTGGGCCTCTAGGTGGCTTGCTTGAGTGCTGGCCATGGTGCCAGCAGGTAGGTGGGTCCTTGAGCCTCCAGACAGTGTACATGATGTGGGCAATAAAAGTCACAGTGGTGAAACAACCCACAGGCTCCCAAGTAGCATGCACTGGTGTTAGTAGTGGCTACAACTGGCTAGCTGAGTTCATCCTCCAGGACCCAGGAAGAGTGCACAGATGCCTGTGGTGGTAAATGGGGCAGGATGAGCCCCCGGCCTTTGGGTGTCATGCTTTGGTGCTGCTGACAGGTTTCTGGGCCTATTGTGAGGTCCCCTGGTAATCAGGGCAACTGATGGGGCAAGGTAATCCCCTGGCCCCTGGGAGGCATTTTTGGGCACTGAAACACGGCTCTAGGCTGAGAGGGCTGGTTCTCAGATCCCCCAATGGTATGCATGGGCACATGCTTTGGCAGGCAGGGTGGGGAAATCCCCAGGACCCCAAGTGGTGTGCCTGGGTGGCATTAACAGCAATGGCAGTTGTCAGGGAGAGCCTGTTCTCAGGGTGCATCCAACTGTGTGGTGGTCCTGCCGCTGGGTAGGATTGAGTTGCTCTCAGTGGCAGTGTCTGCAGCCCACTGCATAGATGCAGGGGGATGTCAGTGGGGCTCTACGATGTAGGGATGTTGGGCCACACCAGCCTGGCCAACATGGAAAAACCCCATCACTACTGAAAATACAAAAATTAGCTGGGCATGGTGGTGCATGCCTGTAGTCCCAGCTACTTGGGAGGCTAAGACAGAAGAATCACTTGAACCCAGGAGGCAGAGGAAAAAAGGCACTATGCTGCATCTGCTTGGTTCTCACGGTGTGTGTGTGTGACTCACATGAGCTCCCTCTCTAGAGCAATGCCACTGGTCAGGGCCTGTAAGGGTGGCTCTCCCATGGCTAGGATTGGAGGAATCTATGGTGGGAATGTTGACTTCTAGGGACCTCTCACCCTTTTCCCACACTGGGGAGCCTCTCTGGACTTTATCGATCCTACTTAGGTCAGCTGCCTCCTTTCCCTTTCCTTCTATGCCTCAGGTGTTTCCTGTTAATTCTCTGCTGAATTCTAGTGTTCCTGATTAGACGATCTATTTGAAATATGATTATCAATTCCCAAATTTGTTTTTTTGTATGTGTTGAGAAGAGTGCCAGATATCTTTAAGACAGTCATCTTGGAGCCCCCTCTCTTGTCATTTTTTTTTAACTTCAATACATCATTTCTCTCAACCATCGCCTGTGTGCTAACATTCTGGAATATACTACATGTCTATATTTTAAAGTCCCAGCAATAAAATTCTGTAAATATTTTTTATACAATTGCATTTTATATCAATTAAGAGTTAAAATTAAGAGTAGAAAGAAGTGAAGTATATTTATATGGTCTTTCAGAGTTACAGAATTCCTTTAACCTATGTTCGTTTTATGGGTTCAAGTTAGTGTCAGAGGTCAATGGTTTTCAACCTGAAGAACTCTATATTTCTTGGAAAGCAGTTCTGATAGGAATAAATTTTCTAATTTAAAAAAGTCTATTTAGAAATATCTTCATTTCACCTTCATGTTCAATAAATAGTTTTGCTGGATATAAGATTTTTGGTTAACAGTCCTTCATTTAGCTTTTTGAATGTGCTGTCCCAATGCCTTCTGGCCCTAATAGTTCCTAATGATAAGTAGTCAGCTTTTAATCTTAGTGGGGTTCTCTTTTACATCATGCATTGTTTTTCTCTTGCTGCTTTTAAGCTTTTCTCTTTATCTTTCAACATTGTTACTATGAGTGTGATTATAGATTCCCTTGTGTTTATTCTACTTAGAATTAATTGAGCTTGGATGTGTAGACTCATTTATCATTAAATATTCTTCAAAAAGTTTTCATCCATATTTTTTCTGCTCCTTTCTCTCTCTGTTTTCTTTTTAGTGTTCCTAATACTTTAAGTTTTTTAATTCTTTCTTTGGACAGTTCAAATGTACTTGAACCCCTCTAGTAAATTTTTACTTCCAATTTTTGTACTTTTTAACACTGTAATTTCCATGTGGCCCTTTGCAAAATATTTTTTATCTCTTTGTAGATATCTTCTATTTGATGAAACATTGTCATAATATCTTCCTTTTCTTGTTAAAGAATGGTTTCCTTTAGTTCTTTCAATATATTTATACTAACTGCTTTGTAGTCATTGTCTGCTAAGTCTAACAGCTAGGATTCTCATAAGCTGTTTTTTTGCCTGCTCTTCTTCTGTGTATGGGTCATACTTTCTTCCTTATTAGAATAACTCATACTTTTATGCTGAAAACTGGACATTTTAGACATATAATGTAGCAATCTTAATTTTGATTCTTTTCCTCTTCTTTCTGGGTATGTTATTATTGTTTGCTTATTTATTTCTTCAGTGATTTGGCTTGATTATTTTACCGAAAACTCTTTCCCCTGTGATATGGTTTGTATGTTTTTCCTGTCCAAATCTCATGTTGAAATGTAATCCCCATTGTTGGAGGTGGGACGTGTTTGTGTCACAAGGGCAGATCCTTCTCCATGGAATGGTGCTGTTCTCACAATAGTATATGAGTTCTTGTGAGATCCAGTTGTTCAAAAGTATGTAGCACCTTCCCCCTTCTTTCTCTTGCTCCTGCTCTTGTCATGTAATGTGCCTGTTCTGCTTTACTTTCTGCCGTGAGTAAAAGCGCCCTGAGGCCTCCCCAGAAGCCAAGTAGATGCTGGCACTATGCTTGTACAGCCTCTTTTCTTTATAAATTACCCAGTCTCAGGTATTCCTTTATAGCAATGCAAGAATGGCTCAATACATCCTGCAATGTGAAGCCTCTAATGCCGTTCCTACAATAAAACAGCTTTGGGCATGTAACAACCACCTCTGGATGACAGTGGTTTTAGAGGGTCCCTCTTTGAGTATGTCTTTTACTTAATTCTCTATTAACCTGTCTGCCTTCCTTTGTATCACACCAGAGATCAAAGGGTGTTTTGCCTAACACTGCTACTCTTGTACCAAAGGCAGTAGTATAATATCTGAACTATTTTACACAACTGAAGGATTCTGCCATAGTTGAGAGATTATTACCATGCCTGACATTTTAAAGTATAGAGGGAATTTGTAAGAATAAAACAACTGTCTTTTTCCTTTACTTATTGCACTCATCAGATAGCCTTTCCGCTTTTGCAAATTTAAAGTAACTTTCTATCTAAACTGTAAATAGAAAGGGACTAAAATAATTTTGAACATACTTGTCCCAAGTATATTCTAAGCTCACTATACTATATTATTTTATGGATTACTTTCTAAATGGATGAGTCCTAAAAGTAATAATATCTAGCTAGCTTTACATTTCTAGTAAATATGTTCTAGAGTAAAACCAAATATGGGAGGGTATTCATGAGAACCTGTGCCCATGTCATAATAACAAATGGGCACCATTGCTATTAAGGATACACACTTAAACTTTGAAGGAGAAAAATAAATGAGAAATATTAGACTTAAAAATATTTTCTTACCAGGGAAACTCTTTGACTGTGTCTTGAATTCATCATTTAATAAGCGTCTTCCCAAAGCACCTCTCAAGCTTTCTATATCAGTCTCTATAGAAATAGATGGATTTAAAAATACTTTGCGAGGTAATCCTTACATAGGAATGTGAGGGGTGTGTGTGTGTGTGTGTGTGTATTAAATTAATCAGCCTTTGTTATTAATGAATAAAAGTTATAGCAAAATGTCTGAATTGCCAAATCACTAAACATTAGGAGTGGAAGGTCTGTTAGCAATCATATAAGCCTTAGTGTATTGAGGCATAGAAATGTTTAGTGATTCGACCAAGACCACATATCGAGGTGATAACAAAGTTGTTGCACAACCTGATGCCCCACAATACTTTGAACAGTGCTTATCTGTAACGCAAAATTAAAATATCCTACAGAATTTATGATAATAACATGACTTTAAAGTTTATATTGAATCACATTCATACCACATGGATATACCTGGTAAGACGAAACATAACTTTTTTTCCACCTAGCAACTTGAAAACAATGATCTTCATAATCACAGGAAATTATTATAGTGCAGAAATACTTTGACTCATCCAGAAATATTTTAATGTGATTTTTAGGTTAACTTTAAACCAAGTAAGCACCAGCGATGGAAAATAATAAGATATCTTGTAGATTGAGGAAAACATGCCCTCTTAGGTCCCTTTACCATGTGGACCTCGTAGCTTAGGATATGATTAAATTTGCAGAAATACAAGGAGTAAAATTGGGTACTTTTCCATTGGAGTTTTTACACAATTTGACTCTTTTGTTGGATTTAGTAGTCTAACCATGTTTAATAACAGGAAAAATACCTGAAATTTATTAAGGAGGAATTTATGTTAGAAAGGGGTGATTAGGATTGATGAACTAAAGTCAACTACTGGGACTAAAGTTTTGTCAGTGAAATCTAGTTCCAGCAGCACATGTGCCTACTAGAAACCTGTAAACACTGGAAACTAAAACCAGTTGTTACCTAGACATAATAGATGGATGTCTTTTTCTTTTTTGAGAAATAGTTAAATTCATGAATAAATGTTAAAATATCTGAAAGTTATTAGTGGGAAATTTATATTAGAAAGTAGTGATTAGGAGTGTATATCATACTATATAATTTACCCATTTAAAGTGTTCAATTAAATGGTAGTTTCAATGGTGGAGGCGACAAACATCCAAACCATATCAAAAACATACTGGAAGAGGGACACACAAATGAAAAGACGAATATAAAAAGCCACCAATTACAAAGCTAAGAAATAACATAAAAAATATACAAAACAATTAGAAGACAACAAAATGACAAGAACAAGTTCTTATCTATCAATAACAATCTTGAATGTAAGTGGTTTAAATTCCTGAATTAAAAGATATAGACAGACAGAATTGATAACAAAAAACCAAGAAGCAACTATATGATGCCTACAAGAAATTCATTTTACCTGTAAAGACACACATAGACTGACAGTGAATGAATCGAAAAAGATTATGCACACAAATGGAAAGTAAGAGTTAAGAAATAGCTATACTTACAACAGACAAATAGACTTTAAATTTTAAAAAAGAGACAAAAAGATTAGTATATAATGATATAGAAATCAATCCAGAGAGAGGATATAACAATTATAAATATATAAAAAGCTAACCCTAGAGAACCCAGTTCTAAACAGGAATTATTATTAGAGCTAAGGAGAGAAAGAGTCCCCAAGACAATAATAGTTGGAAACTTCAGCATCCCACTATCAGCACTGGATATCATCTAGACAGAAAATCAACAAAGAAACATTAAACTTAAACTGTGCTATATATCAAATGGACCTAACAGACATTTACAGAACATTTCCTCCAACAACTACTGAATACACATTCTCATCACTTCGCCTTTTGGCTAAGATCAAGTGCAGAATACACATGCTTCTCATTGGCACATGGAAGATCACATATCAGGCCACAAACAAGTCTAAACAAATATTAAAAAGTCAAAATCATATCAGTTATCTTCTCAAATTATGATGAAATAAAACAAGGTATCAATGTGATTGGATTGAAGGATGCAAAGTATTGTTCCTGGGTGTGTCTGTGAGGGTGTTGCCAAAGGAAATTAACATTTGAGTCAGTGGACTAGGAGAGGCAGATCCACTCTCAATCTGGGTGGGCACCACCTAATCAGCTGCCAGAATGGCCAGAATAAAAGCAGGCAGAAGAATGTGAAAGACTAAACTGGCTTAGTCTCCTAGCCTACATCTTTCACCTGTGCTGGATGCTTCCTGCCCTTCAACACCAGACTCGAAGTTCTTCAGCTTTTGGACTCTTGGACCTACACCAGTAGTTTTCCAGGGGCTCTCAGGCCTTCTGCTGCACTGTCAGCTTCCCTACTTTTGAGGTTTTGGAAATAGGACTGGATTCCTTGCTCCTCAGCTTGCAGATGGCCTACTGAGGAACCTCACCTTTTGATTGTGTGAGTCAATACTCCTTAATAAACTCCCTTTTGTCTATATATCTATCCTCTTAGTCCAGCCCTCAAGAGAACCCTAATACAGATTTTGGTACTGGGAGTGGTTCTAGAGGAACAGAATTTTAAGGATGGAGTATTTAGTTGCCTTTGGGGTTTCTGGAGTTGCCTGCTTAATATGATTAGACCCAAAAATGCTAAGGATTCTACTTCTAATAGTATGGAGAACACTGATAGTTCTTGGTGTGAACTGTTTAGAGAGTTATGCAAAATAAATGCATTTGATACTCCTGATTCACTGCTCAAGAGATGCAAGGAGTTTAGTAACTCTATACATAATACCTTTGACCATATGTGAAGAACTACGGAATGTAAAGAAGTTGGTTGGTTGCTCCTAAGTTCACTAGACAATGTGATAAAAGAAAATGAAGTCAGGGATTCTATCTCCCGGCTCTAGAAGCACATACTAAGCCTCAAATCTTCTAAGGTTGCCCTAAGTGAGAGTCTTATCTTCTGTAGAAAAAAAGCTGAAATTGTGGAAAATCAGACACAAGCTCTTATCCTGTGAGTGGCTGACCTGCAACAAAAGATGCATGCACAACCTCACCAGGTATCCACTATTAAAGTGAGGACATTGATTGGAAAAGAATGGGACCATGCAACTTAAAATGGGGACATGTGGGAGGACCCTGATGAGGCTGGAGGCACTGAGCTCCTAAATTCTGATGAGACTTTTTGGGCGGAGGAAACAGCCTCCCCACTCCAAGTGGTGGCAACATCCCCTTCCCAATCTATGACCCACGCTGCCATCAGCCCTTCCACATTTGCTGAGGAAATTAACCCTGCACTGCCTGAGGTAACAGTGATGGCCTCCCTTGGGGCAGGTGCCAGGCAAGACAATGCTGATTTTCCTCAGGACCCACTCCCAACACCCCTGTTTGCTTCTAGACCTATAATTAGGCTGAAGTCCTGGCAGACCCCTGGAGTTGAGGTTCAAAGTGTAACCCACATGGAGGTGCACTACACTCCAAAAGAACTGCTTGAGTTTTCTAATTTATTTAAGCAGAAATCTGGAGCACATGCATGAGAATGAATATTAAGGGTGTAGGATAATGGTGGAAGGAACACAAAGTTGGAACAGGCTTAATTTATTGATTTAGGCCCACTAAGCAGGGATTCTGCATTTAATGTTGCAGACTGGGGAGTTAAAAAAGATTCTAATAGTTTATTGGCTTTGTTAGCTGAAATATGGATTAAAAGATGGCCCACTGTGAGCGAGCTGGAAATGCCTGATCTCTCTTGGTTTAATGTAGAGAAAAAGATCCAAAGTCTTAGGAGATCAGGATGCTAGAGTGGATTAGTCACTTTAGACCTACTCATCCCAGCTGGGAGGGTCCAGAAGACATAATCTTGACCAATACTTCGAGAAATAGATTTGTGTGGGCAGCACCTGCATCCTTGAAGAGCTCTGTGATTGCTCTTCTCTGTATGCCGATCTTACAGTGGGAACCACAGTCACTTCAGCTATAAAATTTAAATGCAGTGGGAATAATTGGATCCCAAGATGGCAGAGGCCAAGCGGTGGCACTCAACCATCAAAGGCAAGGTGGGCATAGTTACTGCAATGGACAGCAGAGGCAAAGTAGCAATCAGAATAGTCTGACTCATGTAGAGCTCTGGCATTGGCTAATTAATCACGGTGTTTCTAGAAGTGAAATTGCTAGGAAGCCCACTGCATTTTTACTTAATTTATATAAGCAGAAAATTCCATGTCAAGTGGACAAAAGACTGATTTGAATTATAAAGACAGAATCATGGACCCTCAACCAATTTCCAGACTTGAACCAGTTTACAGTTTGTAAACTTGAACCACTTTACTTGAAGGAAAGGCTGGATCCCCTTGAGGAAGGATCCCACTACACTACCAACAGTTTATGCTGTTAATCTTTCTTCCATCTTTCCCCAAAGAGACCTCCAGCCTTTTACTAGGGTAACTGTGCATAGGGGAAAGGGAAATAATCAGACCTTTCAGGGACTACTGGTCACTGGCTCTGAGCTGACATTGATTCCGGGGGACTCAAAAATGTTATTGTGATCCTCCAGTTAAGGTAGGGGCTTATGGAGGTCAGGTAATTAATGGAGTTTTAGCTCAGATCCAACATAGAGTGGCTCCAGTGGGTCCTTGGACTCACCCTGTGGTCATTTCCCCAGTGCCAGAATGCATAATTGGGACAGACATACTTAGTAGCTGGCAGAACCTCCACATTGGCTCCCTGACTGGTAAAGTGAGGGCTGTTATGGTGGGAAAGGCCAAATGGAAGCCATTAGAACTGCCTCTACCTAGAAATATCATACATCAAAATAATATCGCATCCTTACAAAAATTGCAGAGATTACTGCCACCATCAAGGTCTTGAAAGATGCAGGGGTGGTGATTCCCACCACATCCCTGTTCAACTCTCCCATTTGGCCTGTGTAGAAGACAGGTGGATCTTGGAGAATGATAGTGGATTATCGTAAGCTTAACAAAGGGTTTACTCCAACTGCAGCTGCTGTATCAGATGTAGTTTCATTGCTTGAGCAAATTAACACATCTCCTGATACCTGGTATGTGGCCACTGACTTGGCAAATGCCTTTTGCTCCATTCCTGTCCATAAGGCCCACCAGAAGCAATTTGCCTTCAGTGGGCAAGGCCAGCAACATACCTTTACTGTACTACCTCAGGGATATATCAACTCTCCAGCTTTGTGTCATAATCTTGTTTGGAGAGATCTTGTTTGCTTTTCCCTTCCACAAGATATCACACTGGTCCATTATATTGATGACATTATGCTGATTGGATCCAGAGAGTGAGAAGTAGCAAACACACTGGACTTATTGGTGAGACATTTGCATGCCAGAGGATGGGAAATAAATCCAACTAAAATTCAGGGACCTTTTACCTCAGTAAAATTTCTAGGGATCCAGTGGTGTGGGGCCTGTCAAGATATTCCTTAGAATATCACCTTAGAAAGGTGAAGGATAAGTTGCTGCATTTGGCCCCTCCTACAACCAAGAAGGAGTCACAACACCTAGTGGGCCTATTTGGATTTTGGAGGCAACACATTCCTCATTTTGGTGTGTTATTTTGGCCCATTTATCCAGGGACCCAAAAGGCTGCCAATTTTTAGTGGGGTCCAGAACAGGAGAAGGCTCTGCAATAAGTCCAGGGTGCTATGCAAGCTGCTCTGCCATTTGGGTCATATGACCCAGCATACCCAATGGTGCGTGAAGTGTCAGTGGCAGATAGGGATGCTGTTTGGAGACATTGGCAGGCCCCCATAGGTGAATCACAGTGGAGCCCTCTCGGATTTTGGAGCAAGGCCCTGCCGTCTTCTGCAGATAATCATTCTCCTTTTGAGAGTCAGCTCTTGGCCTGTTACTGGGCTTTGGTAGAAACTAAACATTTGACTATGGGTCATCAAGTCACAATGCAACCTGAACTGCTTATCATGAACTGGGTGCTTTCTGACCCATCTAGCCATAAAGTAGGTGATACGCAGCAGCATTCCATCATCAAATGGAAGTGGTATATACATGATCGGGCTCGAGCAGCTCCTAAAGGCACAAGTAAGTTACATGAGGAAGTGGCTCAAATGCCCATGGTCCCCACTCCTGCCACCCTGCCTTCTCTCCCCTAGCCTGCACCAGTGGCCCCATGGGGAGTTCCCTATGATCAGTGGACAGAGGAAGAGAATAGTAGGGTCTGGTTCACAGATGATTCTGCATGATACACAGGCACCACCCAACAGTGGACAGCTACAGCACTACAGCCCCTTTCTAGGACATCCCTGAAGGACAGCAGTGAAGAGAAATTTTCCCAGTGGGCAGAACTTTGAGCAGTGCACCTGGTTGTGCACTCTGCATGGAAGGAGAAATGGCCAGATGTGCAATTATATGCTGATTCATGGGCTGTAGCCAATAGTTTGCCTGGATGGTCAGGGTCTTGGAAGAAGCATGAGTGAAAAATTGGTGACAAAGACATTTGGGGAAGAGGTATGTGGATGGACCTCTCTGAATGGTCAAAAACTGTGAAGATATTTGTATCCCAAGTGAGTGCTCACCAACGGGTGACCTCAGCAGAGGAGGACTTTAATAATCAAGTGGAGAGGATGACCCGTTCTGTGGACACCACTCAGCCTCTTTCCTCAGCCACGCCTGTCATTGCCCAATGGGCCCATGAACAAAGTGGCCATGGTGGCAGGGATGGAGGTTACGCATGGGCTCAGCAATGTGGACTTCCACTCACCAAGGCTGATCTGGCTACGGCCACTGCTGTGTGTCCAATTTGCCAGCAGCAAAGACCAACACTGAGCCCTCTATATGGCACCATTCCTCGGGGTGATCAGCCAGCTACTTGGTGGCAGGTTGATTATATTGGACCTCTGTTATCATGGAAAGGGCAGAGGTTTGTCCTCACCAGAATAGACACGTACTCCAGTTATGCGTTTGCCTATGATGCATACAATGATTCTGCCAAAACTACTATCCATGGACTCATGGAATGCTTTATCCACCATCATGGTATTCCACGTAGTATTGCCTCTGACCAAGGTATTCACTTTATAGATAAAGAAGTGCAGCAGTAGACTCATGCTCATGGAATTCACTGGTCTTACCATGTTCCCTATCATCCTGAAGCAGCTGGATTGATAGAAAGGTGGAATGGCCTTTTGAAGTCACAATTACAATGCCAATTAGGTGGCAATACTTTACAGGGCTGGGGCAAAGTTCTCCAGAAGGCTGTATATGCTCTGAATCAACACCCAGTTTGTGGTACTCGTTCCCCCATAGCCAGGATTCATGGGTCCAGTAATCAAGGGGTGGAAGTGGCACCACTCACCATCACCCCTAATGACCCACTAGCAAATTTTTTCCCTTTTGTTTTATTTTTTATTTATTTTTTAAACTATGTTTTTATTTCCATAATCATTGGGGAACAGGTGGTGTTGGTTATATAAGTTCTTTAGTGGTGATTTGTGAGATTTTGGTGCGCCCATCAGACGAGCAGTATACACTGCACCCAATTTGTAGCCTTTTATCCCTTACTCCCTCCCTACCCTTTGCTTTTGAGTCCCCAAAGTCCATTGTGTCATTCTTATGCCTTTGCATCCTCGTAGCTTAGCTCCCACTTATGAGTGAGAACATACAATGCTTGGTTTTCCATTCCTGAGTTACTTCACTTAGAATAATAGACTCCAATGTCACCCATGTCACTGATAATGCCATCAATTCATTCCTTTTTGTGGCTGAGTAGTATTCCATGATATATATTATATATGTATATATACACATATGTATATATATACGCATATATATACACACATATATATACGCATATATATACACATATATATGTGTGTGTGTATATGTGTGTATATATATACGTATATATATACACACACACACATATATACATACACATACCACAGTTTATCCACTCGTTGATTGATGGGCATTTAGGTTGGTTCCACATTTTTGCAATTGTGAATTATGCTGCTTATAAACATGCGTGTGCAAGTATCTTTTCATATAATGACTTCTTAGAACAATTCTGAGGTCACCTTGTTTCTTCCCCCGTCTTAAGTAGATTGTCTTTTAAATTTTGTGTGGAATTTTTGGAGGAGAGGGTAAAGTCTGATGCCCCTAGAATTCTGTATATTTAAAATAATTTTAAAAGGCCAGTAAATTTCACCAGGTTATTTTTATATGTTATTAATTCCCAATTTGTCCTGGGATGTCTTTTCGACTTATAAATTTGGGTCATCCATTATTGTAAAATTAATTCTTCAATTATGCCTTATAATATATTGTACATTTTATTTATTCTTCTTCAGGAATTCCAAATACTGAATTCTGGGAAATAGATATCTCATAAAGTGTGAAAAGCAAGTGCAAAGGTCCTCTGATGGAGTGAAATATAAAACATTTGAGAAACTGAAAGAAGCATTTTGGGCATGGCAAATAAGTATCATTGCTCCATGTTTCTAAGATCTATTCTCTGCACAGAAAGTTTAGGAAACTACATTGCTAAATCCATTTCTCTGTATTTTTCTAAGATAGAATTTACCAAAAAAAGATATCCATACTATATTTGGGAGATAGAAGATATGCCATTATCCTTTGCACATAGTTGCAGCCAGAAATGCAGGCAGATGTGAGGTTTGTAGCAGAATTATCTGTGAGCAAATGAGAACCCACAGACTTAAGACAGTTGGTGGGAGATTACTAAACAATAATTGAGTATTGAAAGCTTCTGATTTTAAAATGTTGGCATAGAAGCAATCTGGCTTTACTCCCTTTCCCCCACAGAAAGCCATAAAGAAATATACAGCATCAATATTATGACCAGCAATATCCAAGAACCCATTATGAGAATGAGACAATTTTTAGGACCACAGAGAAGCAACAAAAACTCAAAGCAGACAGCGACTTGTCCCTGCCTCAATCCCTGGGAAGAATAAGAGAGCCTGAAGTGAGAAATATCCCTGAGGACAGAGGAGACAGAGGGAGAAGTAAGCCTATCATCCTTAGCCCTCAAAACTGCTCTGTAACTTGGCCAAAGGGGATGTCAAATCAGTGGCTACTAAGAGTGGCTCTCAAAGGCCCAAAACAAATATAGGATCCAAACGCAGCAAGAGAAAATTTAATAACATATAAGAAGCACTATTGTGTAGGAGGTATATTCCACAGGTCCTCTGGGCACAAACTTCCAGCTACCCTTCCCACACCTTTGGGAACCCCCACTTTGAGAAGGGCATTGCTTTGTTTACTAAGGCCAAGGGAAACCTGGGTTTAAGGCTCCACCTAGTGCCAAAAATAAGGCAGTGAAAAAAATTTAATATGGAAATTGCAAAGAATCTCTAAGCAAATGTATCTAATAAAACCCAAAACAAGCCAGACAAAGAAGACAAATAAATAATTAATCCTTAAATGCAAAGATACAGGAATACATCCCCAATAAATAACAGCAAACAAGGAACCATGACTTCTTCAATTGGAAAAGCAAAAAAACAATGACTGATGCTAATGAGATGATGAGAGTTTTCCGACCAAAAATTCAAAATAGAAGTTTTAAGGAAACTCAGTAGTCTACAAGATTACAAATAAAAGCAATTCAGAAATCTATCACAGAAATTTAACAGAGATTGAAATAATTTTAAAAATCAAACAAATCTTGGCGCTGAGAAATACATTTGCTTAACTGAAAAATTTTTAGAGGCTCTCAACAGCAGAATAGATCAAGCAGAGGAAAAACCAGTGAGCCTGAAGAAAACCTAATTGAAAATACAGAGTGAAGGGGGGAAGAACAAAGAATGACATGGAACGAAGATTGCCTACAAAATATTTAAAAACCTCAAAAGACCAAATCTAAGAATTATTACTGTTCAAGAGGAAACTGAGCAAGAAAAAGGAATGCAAAGTTTATTTTTAAGAATAACAGAAAACTTTCCAAACCCTGAGAAAGATATAAATATTCAGGTATAGGAAAGTCAGAGAAAACCAAATAGATTCAACTGAAATATTGAATCTATTCAATATTGATTGATCCAGATGCCAAGACTAAATGGGGAGAAATCTGGGAACCCTACATGGGGTTGCCAAGCACTAGGATGCTTTCCAGACCCTGAACAGCTCCTAAGGAAGGGACGTCTCTAGCCTGAGTAGGCTGCCATACCTAGAGAGAACAGGGCTGACTTTCCTATGGAACTGGGGAAAGTCTGATCTGTTCACCCTCACTATGCATTTGACAAAAGTCTAATATCCATAATCTATAAGGAACATAAATCAGCAAGCAAAAGCAAATAACCCCATTAAAATATGGGCAAAGGACATGTATCAAAAGAAGACATACATGCACCAACAAATATATGAAAATATATATGAAAAATTGCTCATTATCACTAATATTAGAGAGATACAAATCAAAGCCATGAGATAACATATCACACTAGTCAGAACAGCTACTTTTAAGAAGTCAAAAAAACAACAGATGCTGGCAATGTTGAAAAATAAAAGGAAACACTTCTATAATAATGCTGGTGGGAATGTAACTTAGTTCAGCCACTGTGGAAAGCAGTGTGGAAATTTCCCAGAGAACTCAAAATAGAACTACCATTTGTCCTAACAATGCCACTGTTGGTTATATACACAAAGGAAAATAAATCATTCTACCAAAAAGACACATGCACTCAAAAGTTCATTACTGCACTATTCACAATAGCAAAGACATGGAATCAACCATGATTGTCATCAACTGTGGACTGGATAAAGAAAATATGGTACAATACACCACGGAAATGATGCAACTATAAAAAAGAATAAAATCATGTCCTTTGCAGCAACATAGATGCAACTAGAGGCCACTATCCTAAGACAATGCAGGGACAGAAAACCAAATACTGCAATGTGGACACAAGGATGGGAACAATAGATACTGGGGACTGCCTGATGTGGAGGAGAGTGGGAGAGGGACATGGGTGGGAAGGCTACCTATGGAGTACTATGCTCACCACCTTGGTGATGAGATCTTTCATACACCAAGCCTTAGCAATATGCAATTTACCCATGTAACAAACCTCCACATATACCCTGAACCTAATATAAAAGTAGAAAAACAGGAAACTTTGAAGTTAAACTACATACTAGACCAAACAGGCCTAACTGACATTTAGAAACTATTTCACACAACTGCTGTAGAATACTCAGTTTTTGTCAGCACATGGAATATTCTCCAGAATAGATCATAGTTATACCACAAAACAGTCTCGATAAATTCAAAAATAAAGAAATTCTACCAAGCATTTTTTGAAGCACAATGTAATAAATGCACTACAATCAATAATATGACAAACCTTGGAAATTGTATTAACACATGGAAATTAAACAACATTTTCTTGAATAACAAATGTATGAATAAAGAAATTAAGGAAATGTAAAATTTCTTGAAACAAATGAAAATGGGAATGCAACATACCAAATGTATGGGATACAGCAAAAGTGGTACTAATAAAGGTTATTCTGTCTTTCTGATCTCATTCAGATGTTTTTTGATTTATAAGTAAATTGTAAAGCTAATATCAAAACACATAAGACTAAGAGACAGAAAGGGAGAAAAAAACATGACTAATATATACATTAAAATATGTACAGGTACTACAGTAATGGATTTATAATCCATTACAAGGCTTCAATTTATATTTTTCACTTCTTTCCACCAATAATTCCATGTCCTCCCTTTCCCACAGCCAACTGCTTGGCTACCTAAGGGTCTTCCCTAGTTAAGATGGCTCAAAATTTTATTCTTGAAGGGAATAACCTTTTAGTTGTTCAGCCTTGATTATGTAATCTTCCAATGGACATATGTAATCTACTACCAGACATAAAAGTAGTAAAGAATCATGTCAGTAAATCCTTTGTATTCTAAAGTCTTCCCTGAATTGCATGACTAACACCAAATTTCACCTAAGTGAAAGTATTCAAGATTAATACACCCTAATAAGAAGAAGGTGTATTTTTAAAAATCTACTCAGCCAATCTATGTCCTGGATTGAAGAATTTATTCCATTTACATTCAAGGTTATTTATAGGTAAGAACTTACTATTATCATTTTGTTATTTGTTTCCTGGTTATTTTGTAGATCTTTTGCCCTTTTCCTTCTCTTTTGCTGCCTACCTTTGTGATTTAATATTTTTTGTAGTTCTAAGCTTTGATTCTTTTCTCTTTATTGTTTGTAAATCTGCTATAATTACCCTGTGGCTTACATAAAACATCTAGGTGAGACAGAGTCTTGCTCCATCACCCAGGCTGGAGTGCAATGGCGTGATCTCGGCTCACTGCCACCTCTGCCTCCTGGGTTCAAGTGATTCTCCTGCCTCAGCCTCCCGAGCAGCTGAGTTACAAGCGTATGCCACCACACACAGCGAATTTTTGTATTTTTAGTAGAGATGGGGTTTCACCATGTTGGCCAGGGTGGTCTTGAACTCCTGACCTCAGGTGATCTGCCCACCTCAGCCTCCCAAAGTGCTAGGATTACAGGCATGAGCCACCATGCCCAGCCAACATCTAGGTTTTAAGCAAGTAATTTAAGCTGATAACAACTTTATTTTTGTCGCATATCTAAACTGTAGATTTGTATCTTCCCCCATTTATGATTTTGATGTCACAATTTACATCTTTTTGAATTATGTAACTTATTGTAGCTTTAGTTATTTCTGACAATTTTGACTTTTAACCTTTATTCTAGAGATATATATGATCTACATACCACCATTACAGTATTCTGGATTTTTTTGTTTATCTCTACCCATGATGAGTTTATACTTCCATATGTATTCATGATAGTATTTATTGTCCTTTTATTTCCACTTGAAGAAATCCCTTGAGCATTTCTTGTAAGACAAATATAGTGGTAATAAATTCCCTCACGTTTTGTTTGTAAAAAGATTATTTTTCCTTTATTTCTCAGAACATCTTTGATGGGTATAGTATTCTTGACTAATTTTTTTTTTCTTTTAGCACTTTGAACATATCATTCAATTCTCTGCTGGCCCGCAAGATTTCTACAAAGAAATCTGATGGAAATGTCCTCGATGTCACTTGATGCTTTTCTCCTGCTGTTTTAAAAATTCTTTTGACTTTGACAGTTTGATTATAATGTGCCTTGAAAATGACTTTTTTGGACTGAATCTGTTTGAGAACTTTGAGCTTCATGGATCTAGACATCCATGTCTCCCTTCAGACTTGAAATAATTTTCATCATTTAATTCACTGAATAAGCTTTCCATCCCTTTCTCCACTGTTTCCTTCTTTAATACCTGTAATGTCAATGTTTGCTAACCTAATGATGTCTCATAAGTCCTTTAGTGTTCTTCATTCTTTTTCATTCTTTTTTTCTTCTCTGATAGAGTCATTTCAAAAGACCTATCTGAAAGGTCACAGATTTTTTTTCTTCTGCTTGATCTAGTCTGCTGTCAAAGCTCTCAATTGCAGTTTTTATTTCATTCACTGAGTTCAACTCCAAGATTTCTGTTTATCTCCTTTTTAAAATAATATCTTTGGCTTTATTGACTTTATCATTCAGATGATGAATTATTTTCTTGATCTCAGTGAACTGTCTATTTGTATTTTCTTATATCTTAGTGAGTTACCTTAAAATCATTATTTTGAATTCCTTTTCAGGAAATTTCTGTTTCTTTGGTGTCAGTTACTGTGTTCCTTTAGTGGTGGTGTCTTTCCTTGCTTTTTTATGATTCTTATGTACCTGTGTTGAGGTCTGCACACTGTTAGAGCAGTCTCCTTTCCAAACTTATAGAGTGGCTTTTTTTTTTGAAAAAGACTCACTTGCAGATGGACCAGAGGGTAGTGTTTTGGGTAGGTTGTGGTGGCTGCGGTTCCAGGTAAGCACAGTGGTGTGATCTCTGTGCAGCTTCCTTACCTGCGATCCATGTCAATGATGACTGTGGGTGCCTCAGTGGCCTAGGCAGCAGAAATTTGTGGCAGTGATAGTAGCTGTGTAGCTGTTAGGGTTCTCAGTGACAAAGGCTTCAGGAGTACCTCCTGCTCTCATTTTTCCCATAGTAATGAAACTTAGCTGAGAAATCCCTCTTGGTGTTGGGTCTGATATGACTTGCAGGCAGCATCAGCAGCACTATGTTCCAGGGCACAGGATTGAAGTGGCTGTAAAATTGGGGTCCTGTGCTTAGTGTCTTGCAAAACTACTGAAGTATCCAGTATGTGGGATCAGGTTTACTCTCTGAGGCACAGGTGGATGCAAATCTTCCACAAAACTGAGGACTCTGACTCTGAGGCACTCTTCAGTAGCTTGGCTCAGGGACAGGAATATGGCTGCAACTCTGACCCTGTGAATCAGAATGAAGCACTGACACAGCTGTGGAGAAAAAATGCATTCCAAAGGCTCAGGCCCTAGGGAGAAGGGCACAGCTGCAATTTGAGTTCTAGAGCCAACAGACCACAGTGGCAACTTGGGCATTGAGAGAGGAGGTAACCCAGAGTAGTGACTCTGGACCCTGGAAGGGCGGAACACAATAAAGCCCATGTTCTGCAAGGCTGAGTACAGCAGCCAGGACCCAGGAATGGCAAGGTGCTCCTTGGCTGCTCCAGCTGTGGTGCCAATGGCCCCAGGTGCAGTCTGGGCTAGCACTCCAGAGGACACAAGCAGTCGGCCTTGGTGGTGTTTATGTGGTGTTAGTTCCGCAGGCATGCAGAATGCAAGAGTGTGGGGGCATGTCTTCCTCCACCTAGATTTCAGAGAATGTCATGGACAGTCTGGGGTCCCGGACAGAAACATGTCACAGGGGCTGAGCCACCACAGACAGCCCCCAATAGAACAATGCTGAGCGGGCCGTGGAGTCAGAGTTACCACTAGGCATAGTGGAGCCTTGGGAGTGGGGCTGGCCATGAGATTTCAAAACTGTAGACCACTAAGGTGTAATGCCAGTCTGGGAAAGCTGCAGGCACAAGACTCCAACCCATGAGGGTTGCTGTCTGGGCTGAGGCCAGCAAAGGCATAGAGATGGGGCTGCCTGAGACTTTGAGGGCCCAACCCCCACCCAAGTGTGCTCAGAGGGTGGAACATGAAGTCAAAAAAATGTATTCTCTAGTTTTAAGATTTAACGTTGCTTTCCTTGTTGTATTTTGGACTTACTTGGAGCCAGTTATCTCCTTTTATCTTACCTATTTTGTCACTTTGGGATGGCAATGCCTATTCTATTCTTGTCCCACCAGTGTATTTTGGAAGCACAAAGGGGGCAAAAGAAAGACAGATGGAATCAAATTTCCCCTTTTATAATAAACCCACTCCTAAGATAACAAACCTACTCCTCTGTGATAATAGCATTAATCTATTCACTCTGCCTTCATGGCCTAATCACCACACATTAAGGCTCCACCTCTGAACACTGCTGCATTGGGAATTAAGTTTCCAATGCATGCTTTTGGGTGGACATATTCAAACTATAGCAGTGTCCCATAATTCTTGTAGGGTTTTTTTTTTTTTTACTTTTTTATTTTCTTTTTTTCTCTGGGTAATTTCAAATGATCTGTGTTCAAGTTTACTGATTCTTTCTTTTGCCTGATCTATTTTGCTATTGAAATGCAATATGGAATTTTCCAGTTCAATCATTGAGTTCTTTAGCTCTAGAATTTCTGTCTGGTTCTTTTGTATGATTTCTATCTCTTTATTGAGTTCATTTTGCTTATTTTCCTGATTTTTCTTAGTTGTCTGTTTTCTCTTGTAGTAAACTGAATTTCCTTAAGATTATTTTGAACTTTCTGTCAGACAGTTTATAAATCTCCATTTATGTAGGGTCAATTACTAGTGCTCTTTTTGTTCCTTTGGTGATGTTATGTTTCCTGATTGTTCATAATTCTTGTGCCCATGCATTGGTATTTTCACATTTGAAGAAGTAGGCACTTATTCCAGTCTTTACAAACTGGCCTTGGCAAAAAAAAAAAAAAAAAGCCCTTTACCGTTCAGCTCAACCAGAGACTATGGGTTGGTCATCTGGCTTAGTTCATGAGTAGTCTTGCTGCTGGAGTTCTCAGGCAGGCTGGCCTAGTGGCTGGATGAGAAGGCAGGTGGGTCTGGTGCCTGAGTCTACCAGGTTGGGCCTAGAGCCTGGGTCCACATTGGCTGGCTTTGCACTGGGATCCACTATGATTCTGTAAGCCATATCCACAAAATCAGGTCTGTAGCTAGGGTCCACTGGAGTGAACCAATTGACTGGGCCCACAGGGGCAGACCTGAATCTTGTTATTTGTGGGAACTGGTCTGATGTCTGGGTCCATGGAGAATGACTTGGTATAGGGGTGGACCTTTAGCCTGAGTCTGTAGGGACAGCTAGGTGCTTGGATGAGCCTGGAACTTTGCTCCATGGAGATGGATTGGTGCTGGGGTTTGTTGGTGCTGACCTGGCACTAGGGTGGAGCTAGAGGCTGGGTCCATGGGTGCTGGCCTAAAGCCTGGAGTTGTGAGAGCCAGCCTGACAGTGGGTAAATCTGAAGCAAACTTGGACCTTGAACCTGAGTTTGCAGAGGCAAGTCTGGGGCCACAGAAAATTACCTGACACTGGGCAGGCCTGTACCAGTATCTGCAGACTGGCCTGGTACTGAGGCAGGCCTAGAGGTTGGATACACATAAATAGGCCTGGAATCTGAGGCTGGATTTGATGGCCTGGGGTCTGAACTCAGGAATAAAGCTTAGTTGATTGCTACTGGTCTGGAGGATAGGGTCACAGAGGCTGGTATAGTGCTGGTGGCAGTCTGAAGCCTGGAGCTGCTAGGGCTGACCTGACAATGGGGCAGGCTTGGAGCCTCAGGTACATGTGAAGCCTGAGTTTTCAGGGGCCAGCTTAGGGCCTGGAGCTACTGGGGCTGACCTGGCTCTGGGATCGGTCTGGGGTGTGAAGCTCTGGGTCCAGCTTGGTGCTGGGGCAGCCCAGAAGACTGAGTCTATGGGGCAAGCTCAGTGTTGAGGCAGTGTTGGTTTGCAGGTGGTGGCCTGGACTCTAGGGCTGCAAATTCCAGCCTAGTGCTGAGGTGGGCCTGAAGGCTGGGATCACTGGAGCTTGCCTGGAAGTGGAGCAAGACTAGAGGCTGAATCTGTGGGAGCTGGACTGGTGCCAGAATGGGCCTGAAGGCTCCATCTGTAGGGTCAGCCTGGAGAGGCCTTCAGGGGCAGGCCTGAAGCTTGAGTCTGTGGAGATGTCCTGGAATAGGGGCGAGCCTGAAGCCTGGGGCCTCTGGGGCCAGCCTGGAGCTGGGACTGCTAGAGCTGGTCTGACGGTGGGACAAAACTGGAGACTGCATTTGCAGAGCTGGCCTGAAGAAGCCTAGAGCCACAGGAGCTGGCCTGGCATTGGGGTGGGCTTGGAGGCTGGGTCTGCAGATACTGGCCTAGAGTTTGTGGCTGTAGGGGCCTGGCTGGCATTGGATTTTACCCCAGTGGGCTGAATGTTGGGGTCCAAGGAAGTCCAGTGCTCATTTAACCTTTCTTTCCTCACATTAAGGATATCTCTCTCCACACTGTGCTGCCCGAAGTTAAGGAGGGAGTGATGCAGATTATGTAAAACTGTCCTTCCTCCCCTATTCAATGCATCTTTCTTACATCTGCGTTACATTCAAGTGCTGTAATCTCTCATCTGGTTTCTTTAGCTGTTGTGAAGGTATTTTCATGTGTAGATAGCTGTTCAAACTGATGTTTCTATAAGGGCAAAAGCACTAGGAAATCTTATTCTGCCATCTTGCTGATGTCATTCCATAGGGCTGTCTTTGCATTTTGACAGAATTTTTTGACAGAATTACAATGTGTCTCGGTGTGGATCTCTGAGTTTATTCTACTTGGAGTTTGGTTAGTTTTAAATGTGTAGATGCATGTCTTTCATCAAATTTGGGATATTTTTTACCCATCATTTCTTCACAAATTCCTTCTGCTCTTTTCTCTTTTCTCCTTCTGATACCCACATAATGTGTTGCTGATCCACTCGATGGTGTCCCACAGGTCCCTTCCCTTTCCTTCGTTTTTATTCCTGCTTCTCAGACTTAATAATCACAATTGTCCTATGTTCAGATTCACTGATTCTTCTTTCGTCTGCTCAGATCTGCTGTTGAATCTCTCTATAAATTATTTATTTCAACTATTATACTTTTCAACTAAGGATATTGTTTATTTTTTATCATCTTTATTTCACTTTTTTTACAAAGTTTTTCTGATTTCCTTTTGTTCTTTGTCCATGTTTTCCTTTAGCTCTTTGAGGATATTTAATATAGTAGGTGGTTTCTTTTTTTGTTTGTTTGTTTTGATGGAGTCTCACTCTGTTGCCCAGGCTGGAATGCAGTAGCATGATCTTGGCTCACTGTAATCTCTGCCCCCTGGGTTGAAACAATTCTCCTGCTTCAGCCTCCCTAATAGCTGGGATTACAGGTGTGCATTACCATGCCCGGCTAATTTTTGTATTTTTAGTAGAGATGAAGTTTCGCCATGTTGGCCAGGCTGGTCTCGAACTCCTGGCCTCAATTGATCCACCCGCCTTGGCCTCCCAAAGTGCTAGGATCACAGGCATAAGCCACCATACCCTGGCCTTATATAGTGGTTTTAAAGTCTCTCTAGTAAGTACATTGTATGAGCTTCCTCAGGAATGGTTTCTCTCAATTTATTTTGCTCCTTTGATTTGTCCATACTTACTTCTTTTTATTATGCCCTGTAATTTTTTTCTATTGAAAGTTGTTCATTTGGATATTAAAAGGGGTGATGCTAGAGATTATCTTTTCTCCCTTCCCCAGGTATTGCTCTTTTTGATTGCTGAAAGCTACAGTCAGACATTTGTTTAGGTATTCGCAAATCATTTTTACAAAAAATTTACTTTATTCTGTGTGTTACCACTGAAATCTGTTACTTAAAGCTCATGTTCAGTTACTGTTTTTATAGATATTTCTTCCAATGTCAGCATTTCTTTTTAAATTAAAAGAACTCCCCCCACACATCAAACACCTTTCACAGTATTTGCAGTTAATTCTATCCTAAGAGTCTCCCTTCAGCACTTAGCTAGGCTTGCATTGAGCCCAGAAATAAGGCTGAGTTGAAAGTTTAATGTCTTGTTAATCACAGGTATTAACAGCACTATATATCAAGCTGAGGAAGGAATCTCAGAGCTCGAAGACTAGCTCCCTGAAACAACTCAGACAAAAATAAAGAAACAAGAATAAAAAAGAATGAACAAAAACTTGGGGAAATATGGGATTATGGTAAGAGACCAAACTATGACTCATAAAGAGAGATGAAGAAAATTTAGAACTATGCCACTACAAATGCCACCTTTCCTAAATCCTCCCAATTAATGCCTTCTACTTTATTTGCTAAATATATTATATTTCCATGCATAAGTCTTTGTAAACTATCAACTTTTTATTCCACTGATATTATTTCTATGTCCTCTACTTTAAAAAAATAATTCTCTTATTTTAATCTTTTTTCTACTTTTAGTTTTCAGATTTTATCATCTTCTTTTTCTACCTTCTTGCTATGAACTTATAATCCTAACTTTTTAGTTTTCCTTATTTTCTATCATATGCAACCTTTAAATTTCCTTATAAAAACCTATTTAAGGACCTCTTGTAAGTGCTTATGTGTAGTGTTTTAAATTTAATTTAGTCTCAAATATATCCTAGTGTCCATTATGTTTTCTTCAGCTTATAAATAGGATTTTAAATTGTGCAGAAGAATTTTTATCTTTTTTATCATTTAGTTCTGTTTTATTGCATCATAGAAAATGTGATTTGTGGAAATCATTTTTTGGTATTCATTGAAACTTAATGTGTGGCCTAATATGTAGTCAATTTTTGCATGTGTACTCCATTTATTGAGTGAAGTGTTCTATAAGTATCTGTTTAATATGTCTAGCACAGAAGGATTTATGTCCTTCATAAACTAGTTTTTTTCTGCAATATTTGATAGAGATGAAAATAGTGTAGAGATGTTCAATTTTTGTAGATCCATAAATTCTGCACAGTTCTTCATACATTTTGAAAATTTCTTTTTTTTGTTTTGTTTTGCTTTTTAAGACAGAGTCTTGCTCTCTCTCCCAGGCTGGAGTGCAGTGGCGCAATCTCTGCTCACTGCAACCTCTGCCTCCCAGGTTCAAGCAAGCCTCTTGCCTCAGCCTCCTGAGTAACTGGGACCACACGCGTGTGCCACCAAGCCCAGCTAAATTTTGTACTTTTGGTAGAGATGGGGCTTCACCATGTGGGCCAGGCTGGTCTCGAACTCCTGACCTCGGGAGATCTACTCTCCTCAGCCTCCCAAAGTGCTGGGATTACAGGCACGAGTCACGGCGCCCAGCACGTGTCTGTAGTCCCAGCTACTCTGGAGGCTGAGGCAGGAGAATCGCTTGAATCCGGGAGGCGAAGGTTGCAGTGAGCCGAGATTGCGCCACTGCACTCCAGCCTGGCGACAGAGCGAGACTTCGTCTCAAAAAAAAGAACTTTGGCTTATAAAAAGAAATGAGATCATGTCCTTTGTAGGGACATGGATGAAGCTGGAAGCCATTATCCTTACCAAACTAACGCAGGAACAGAAAACCAAACACCGCATATTCCCACTTGGGAGTGGGAGCTGACCAATGAGAACACATGGACACAGGGAGGGGAACAACACACACTGGGGTCTGTCAGAGGGCCGTGGGGTGTGCGGTACAGCATTAGGAAAAAGAGCTAATGCATGCCAGGCTTAATACCTGGGTGATGGGTTGATAGGTTCAGCAAACCACCATAACACACATTTACCTATGTAACAAATCTGCACATCCTGCACATGTACCCTGGAACTTAAAAAATAAAATAAAATAAAATAAAATTTCTTTTGTAATTTTTGTATTTTTATCAGAATACCTTCATTTTTATTGTGGTAAATATACATAATATAAAATTTATTATTTTAACCATTTTAAATGTATGATTAATTGTATTAACCACAATCACTTTGTTGTGCAACCATCACCACCATCTATCTTCAGAAAGTCTTCACCTTTCTAAACTCAAACTCTACCCATTAAGCAATAACTCCCTATTAGCCTCTATTGCCAGGCCTTGGGAACCTTTGATCTACTTTCTGTCTACTTATTGTAGGTACCTCATATAAGTGGTACAATAAGATACAATATTTATCTTTTGTATTTGCCTTATTTCACTTACCATAATATTTCAAGATTCATTCACTTTGTAGCATGTTTCAGAACATGATTCATTTTTAAAGTGAAATAATATTTCATTGTATGTATATACCATATTTTGTTTCTGCATTCATTTGCTGATGGAGATTAGGTTGTTTACAACTTTTGGCTAATGTAAATAATGCTGTTATAAATGCTGGTGCACAAGTACCTGTTTTCAATTCTTTTGGGTCTACACCTACACCTTGAAGTAAATAGATCATATGAGAACTCCATGTTTAACTTTTTGATAAACAACCAAACTGTTTTCCACAGCAGTGACAGTTTTACATTCCCATGAACAATTTACAAAAGTTCCTATTTGTCTACATCCTTGCCAACATTCCTTATTTTCTGTTTTTATAATGAGAGTCATCTTAATGGCTATGAAGTGATATCTTATTGTGATTTTGGTTTGCATTTCTCTAATGGCCAATGATGCTAAGTATCTTTTTTAGGGCAAATTAGCAACTTGTATATCTCCTCTGGAAAAATGTCTATTCAAATCACTTGCCCATTTTTAAATGGAGTTGAGTTTTTTGTTAATTTATAAAACTTCCTTGTATATTCTAGACATTAAGCCCTTATCAGATATGTAATTTGCAAATATTTTCTCCCACTCTCTGGGTTGTGCTTTCACTCTCTGACACTGTCTTTTGATGACAAAAGTTTTTAATTTTGATGAAGTCCAACTTACCTATTTTTTTCTTTTGTTGTCTGTGCTTTGGGAGTCATACCCAAAAAATAATTGCTAACTTCAATGTCATGAAGGCTTTTCCCTGTTTTTCTCTCAGAGTTTTAATGGTTTTAGGTCTTATATGTAGGTATTTGGTCCATTTTAATTTTTGTATATAATGTAAGGTAAGGATTCAACTTCATTCTTTTGACGTGACTATCTGGTTTGTGGAAAAGACTGTCTTTTTGTGAAAGCACCGTTTGTGGAAAGACTGCCTTCTTACCAGTAAATGGTATTGGCAACTTTGCTGAAAGTTATTTGACCACATAGCAAGGATTTAATTCCAGTCTCTCAATTCTATCCCCATTGGTCTGTATGTCTGCTTTATGCCAGTATATCACTCTTTTGATTACTGTAGCTTTATAGTAAGTTTTGAAATCAGGAAGTGTGAGACTTCCAAATTTATTCTCCTTTTTCAAAATTGTTTTGGATATGTGTGGTCCCTTGTATTCCTATGATTTTTAAGATAGGGTTTTCTATTTTGCAACAATAACCTCATAAGTATTATGGGAATTTGATAAGAACTGCAGATTGCATTGAAGGTGTAGATCACTTTGGGTATTACTGTCATCTTAATAATATTGTCTTCTGGCCGGGCACGGTGGCTCATGCCTGTAATCCCAGCACTTTGGGAGGCCAAGGCAGACGAATCACTTGAGGTCAGGAGTTTGAGACCAGTCTGGACAACATAGTGAAACCCCGTTTCTTCTAAACATACAAAAATTAGCGGAGCATGGTGGCATGTGCCCGTAATTCCAGCTACTAGGGAGACTGAGTCAGGAGAATTGTTTGAACCTGGGAGGCGGAGGTTGCAGTGAGCTGAGATTGCGCCACTGCACAGCCTGGGTGACAGAGGAAGACTCAATCTCAAAAAAAAACCAAAAAAAACAAAAAAAAAACAAGTTATCTTCTAATCCATGAACATGAGATGTCTTTCCATTTATTTATGTCTTCTTAATTGTTTTCAGCATTATATGGTAGTTTTCAGTATACAAGTCTTTTGCCTTTTGCCTTCTTGGTTAAATTTATTCCTAAATATTTTGTTCTTTTGATGCCATTGTAAATGGAACTGTTTTCTTAATTCTTTTCAGATAGCTCACTACCAGTGCATAGATAATGTAACCAATTTTTGTGTGTTCATTTTGTATCCTGCAACTTTGCTAAATTTGTTTATTATATCTAACAGTTGTTTTGTGGAATCATTAGGGTTTTCTTCATATAAGATAATGTCACCTCTTGGCAGATAATTTTATTTCTTCCTTTCCAGTTTGGATGTTAACTATCTATCATCTACCTGTCTTCTATTCTAACTGGTCCAGATAGATTTTGAATACTATTTTGACTAGAAGTTATCTAAACAGGTGTCCTTGTATTGCTCCTGATCTTAAGGAAAACATTTTTAATCTTTTACCATTGAATATGATGTTAGTTGTGGATTTTTTGTATTTGGCTTTTTATCATGATGTGGAAGTGCTCTATTCCTAGCTTGTTTACTGTTTTTACGTGAAAGGGTATTGAATTTGGTCAAATGCTTTGTCTGCATCAACTGAGAGGATCCAGTGGGGTTTTTTGTTGTTGTTAATTATGCTAACATGGTATATCACACTGATTGACTTTTGTCTATTGAATTATCCTTGCATTTGAGAAATAAAACTCATAAATTCATGATGTATAATTTTTTGTATGCTACTAAATTTTATTTACTAATATTTTGTTGAGGATTTTGCATCATTATTCATAAGGGATATTGGTCTGTCATTTGCTTTCTTATAGCATTTCTGACTTTAGTATCAAGATAATGCTGTCCTCATAGAATGAGTTAGGAAGTATTCCCTCCTCTTCAGTTTTTTGAAAGAATTTGAGAAGGATTAGTTTTAATTCTTCTTTAAATATTTGGTAATATTCACCCATAAAGTCGTCTGGTCCTGGATTTTTCTTTGTTGGAAAATTTTAATTAGGATTCAGTATTCATCTTAATTAGGGGTCTATTTAGATATTTCTTCATAAGTCAGTTCTGGTAGATTGTATATTTCTAACAATTTGTTCATTTCCTCTAGGTTATCCAGTTTTTTTGGTGTACAGTTGTTCACAGTGTTCTCTTGCAATGCTTTTTATTCTTTTAAAATTGGTTGTAATGTTCCCACTTTCTGTTTTGATTTTTAGCAACTTTATTATTTTTCTCTAGTCAATCTAGCTAAAGTTTTGTCATTTTTGTTCATCTAAAGTGCATCTTTTGTAAGCAGCATGTAGTTGATCATTTTTTAAAAAAAATTCATTCTGCAAATTTCTGCCTTTTGTGTGAAGAGTTTTATCAATTTGCATTTAAAATAATTACTGATAAGGAAAGACATTTCTGCCATTTTGATACCTGTTTTTTGTATGTTATACCTTTTTGCTCTTCATTTCCTCTAATTCCATCTTTTTTGTGTTTAGTTGACTTTTTGTAGGCACATGTTTTGATTCCTTTCTCTTTTCTTCATGCATGCACCATAGATATTTTCTTTGTGATTACCAAGCAAATAATATATAACATCTTAAAGTTATAACAGTTTAATTTGAATTGACACCAACTCAACTTCAATCCATCCAAAAAGTATACTCTTATGCAGCACCCTCTAACTTATCCCTGTCATTAACATCACAAATCATGTCTTTATATATTGTGTGTCCATAACATAAATTTGTAATTATTTTTATATATTTGTCTTTTGAGTATTATAGATACAAAGAGCAGAGTTACAAACCAAAATTATAATAATAATGGCTTTTATATTTGCCCATGGACTTATCTTTGCCAGAGATCTTTATTTCCTCATATGGTTGAAGTTACTGTCTAGCATTCCTTCATTTTAACCTGGAGAATTCTGGGTTTTTTTGTTTGTTTGACGGTGTCTTGCTCTGTAGCCAGGCTGGAGTGCAGTGGCGTGATCTCGGCTCACTGAAACCTCCTCATCTTCGGTTTCAGTGATTCCCCTGCCTCAGCCTCCTGAGTAGCTGGGACTATAGGCGTGTACCACCATGCCTGTCTAATTTTTTGTATTTTTGTAGAGACGGGGTTTCACCATGTTGGCCAGGATGGTCTTGATTTCCTGACCTCGTGATCTACCTGCCTAGCCTCCCGAAGTGCTTGGATTACAGGCGTGAGCCACTGCGCCCAGCCTAGAAGTTTTAACAGGGCGGGCCTACTAGTAATGCTGTGATTGCCAGGAGTTTTTCATATTCTTTTCATACTGGCTTTTGCTGGAGCACTCCTTTGACAGTTTCACAAAACTTTCTTACCATTTGAAGAGAGACTTTTCCTAATTAGGTATTCTCTTGGTTTCTATAAATCTGTGACTATTTTCTGAAGCTCTCACAAAGTTGGTTCTGATAGATTATTCTAACTTTTTTCAACGTTTCTGTCAGGGAATGAGAGTTTGGATGTTTTCAGTTTGCCATTTTGTTCGTGTTTGCCTGATGCCTTTAAGGAGTGATTCAAAAGCTACCACAGAACACTTTGGTTTTATCTTATTAGAAAATAGTCACTTAACCACACTACCACTACCTTTCACACATATTCTAGCTTCTTCCACATTCTGATGATCTTTGTCACCATTTGACATTGCAAATTTAATAATAAGCACATCACAAGGCAGCCATATTGCCTATATGGTACTAGTTCCATTTGTCTTTCCATCTTGTTATACAAAAGATGGTATAAGAAATTACAACTATGTCCTCAAGGAACTGTTCACATATCATCTAGTTTATCTTATGAAAATTCACAGTAGTGGAAAGCCTATATGTATTTTGTTTCATGAGTAGGTAAAGGGAAATATATGAAACATTACAAAATTAATGTTGTCTGATGGAGTAAAAACACGAAATTTAAAGATACACTTAATTGACATGTAGATTGATTGAGTAGAATGAACTTAAGTTGAGAAAGACTACTCCTTCTTTGAATTTCCTGTTTTTTAACAGAACTATACAGTTGAAATATTTTAATTCTTAGATTGTGTTCTACTGTATCCAAACATAAATCTATACTTACCGACCACTTTGTTTAAATCAAATTGAATTATTAGGTCGCTAATTGACGGGTACATTGCTGGAAGATTTTCTGCTGTATCTGGAAGTTCTGAGGCTGCTTCATTTTTAACTGTAAGAATAACAGATTGTCAAAGTAGTTGATTTAAAAAACTAACATTTTGTGAAACACCTAGCAATGCATGTAACCAAGAAGGTGAAAGATCTCTACAACGAGAACTGCAAAAACACTGCAAAAGAAATCAGAAATGGCACAAATAAATGAAAAAACAGTCCATGCTAACGGATTGAGAGAATCTATGTCATTAAATGGCCATACTGCCCAAAGCAATTTACAGGTTCAGTGGAGTCCTATCAAACTACCAATGTCATTTTTAACAGAATTAGGAGAAGCTATTCTAAAATTCATATTAATCCAAAAAGAAGCCTAATAGCCAAAGCAATCCTAAGCAAAAAGAACAAAGTTGAAGGCATCATACTACCTGACTTGAAACTATATTACAGGGCTACAGTAACCAAAACAGCATTGTACTGGTACAAAAACAGACACATAGACCAACTGAACAGAGTAGAGAACCCAGAAATAAAGCCACATACCTACAATCATATGATCTTTGAGAATCCCAGAAAAAATAAGCAATAGGGACTCCTTACTCAATAAATGATGCTGGGATAGCTGGCAAGCCATATGCAGAAGAATGAAATTGGACCCCTGCTTTTTATCATATACAAAAATTTAGTCAAGAAGGATTAAAGATTTAAATGTAAGACTTCACACTATAACAATCCTAGAAGAAAGCCTAGTAAATACCCTTCTCAATATCAGCCTTGGCAAAGAATGTATGGCTATCTCTTCAAAAGCAATTGCAATAAAAACAGAAATTGACAAATGGGATCTAGTTAAACTAAAAATATTTTGCACAGCAAAAGGAACTATCAACGGATTAGACAGACAACCTATAGAATAAGAGAAAAATATCCATGAACTATGCATCTAACAAAGGTCTAGAATCTATAAGGAACTTAAACCAACAAGCAAAAAACAAATAACTCCATTATAAAGTGGGGCAAAGGACATAAACAGAATCGTCTCAAAAGAAGACATACAAGTGGCCAAGAAACATATGAAAAAATGCTCCACATCACTAATCATCAGAGAAATGCAATTTAAAACCACAATGAGATACCATCTCACACCAGTCAGAATGGCTATTATTATTATTTTGAGACGGAGTCTCACTCTGTCACCCAGGCTGGAGTGCAGTGGCACGATCTTGGCTTACTGCAACCTCCGCCTCCCAGGTTCAAGCGATTCTCCTGTTTCAGCCTCCAGAGTAGCTGGGATTACAGGCGCATGCCACCATACCTGGCTAATTTTTTTTTTTTGTATTTTTAGTAGAGATGGGGTTTCACCATGTTGGCCTGGTTGGTTTCGAACTCTTGATCTCAAGTGATCCACCCACCTTGGCCTCCCAAAGTGCTGGGATGACAGGCATGAGCCACCACACCCGGCCCAGAATAGCTATTATTAAAAAATAAAAGATAAAAACAGATGGCAAGTCTGTGGAGAAAAGGGGACATGTACACACTGTTGGTGGGAATGTAAATTAGTCTAAACACTTGGAGAGCAGTTTGGAGATTTCTCAAAGAACCAAGAGTTGAAATACCATTTGACTCGGCAATCCCATTCCTGGCTATATACCCAAAGGAAAATAAATTGTTCTACCAAATGGACACATGCATCCATACGTTCACCACAGTGCCATTCATAATAGCAAAGACACAGAATCAACGTAGGTGCTCATCAATGGTGAACTGGATATAGAAAATGTGGTACATATATACCACGGAATAATAAACAGCAATAAAAAAGAACAAAATCATGTCTTTTGCAGCAACATGGATGCAGCTGGAGGCCATTATCCTGAGGGAGCTAATGCAGAAACAGAAAACCAAATACTGCATCTCTTCCCTTATATGTGGGAGATAAACACTGGGTAAACACAGACATAGAGACTGTGGAATACTAAAAGGGGGAGGAAGAAGGGGTAAAATGACCTCTTGGGTATTATGCTATCTGGGTGATGCATTCAGTCATACCACAGACCTCAGCATCACACAACAGACTTTGTAACTAATCTGCATGTGTACCAGCTGCTTCTAAGATAGAAGCTGAAAAAGTAAAAAAAAAGTACACATAGTAAAAAACAACAAAAAAACCCTAACATTTTGTTTGAGGCAGAAGTATAGTACATAGTACTAATTACAGATATTTTACCTCCCAATCATCTAATCATCTAACCTTATTTACTTTGCAATTTAACATACTAATTATTCAATTGAATACAAATATGTTAAATAATTTCAAATTCATACAAAATAGCTACTATATGCCATCGATTATACTAAGTACTTTTGAAGTATTATCTCATTTAATCATTATAATAATTGAAGAAAATAAGTATTTTATCTCCATTTAACAGATGAGGGAAATAGAACTTATTGATATTATGCATATTGTGGAAGGCCACATAGTTATTAAGTATAAAAACCTGGAATGAATTGATTCTTCTAGTTTCCAAAATCTGTTCTCCAACTAATAAACCCAAATGTCTACTGAGACTGAGTATGTTATATGAGTGTAATGAGCCTGGTGATGATAGGGATAGCATAAAGAGCAAGGTAAAATAGAGAAGTACCTGTTCTATTAAAAAAAAAACCATTATTCTTACCACTACAAATGCATGACAGATATTCTCAGGTGTTCTAAATTCCCCAAAGAAGCTAGAAATCTAGATTTTTTTTTTATTATACTTCAAGTTTTAGGGTACATGTGCACATTGTGCAGGTTAGTTACATATGTATACATGTGCCATGCTGGTGCGCTGCACCCACTAACTCGTCATCTAGCATTAGGTATATCTCCCAGTGCTATCCCTCCCCCATTCCCCCACCCCACCACAGTCCCCAGAGTGTGATATTCCCCTTCCTGTGTCCATGTGATCTCATTGTTCAATTCCCACCTATGAGTGAGAATATGCGGTGTTTGGTTTTTTGTTCTTGCGATAGTTTACTGAGAATGATGATTTCCAATTTCATCCATGTCCCTACAAAGGACATGAACTCATCATTTTTTATGGCTGCATAGTATTCCATGGTGTATATGTGCCACATTTTCTTAATCCAGTCTATCATTGTTGGACATTTGGGTTGGTTCCAAGTCTTTGCTATTGTGAATAATGCCGCAATAAATATACGTGTGCATGTGTCTTTATAGCAGCATGATAATTTTCAAAATTTCAAAATATTTGCAGATAGTTTAAGACATATATTCATGTGTGAAGGACAAATCTTCAGCTAGTACTACAAAAAAATTATCTGTCTTTAGAAAGGGATTAATTCTAATATATGGGTGCAATTTAAGGGCCAATCACTGGTATATTTCCTTCGAAAATATGATAATTTACCCACCAATGTATCTCTCTATGATCTAGGACCATGGAAAAGCAATTTTGGATTATATAGTATATAGGTTTATTCCTCACCAAATCACTTTGGAGATCTAGAGCATTACGGTTTTTTTCTAAAAACAGATAGTTACTATAGGTATTTAAACTTGTGCTCTTAGTAATCTTCAAAGTACTCAACGTCAGAAAGTCATACAGTAATCTTGCAAAGTCTCTGGTTATTTTCTATTTTTATATCCTTAAGAAGATGGCAGAATAAAGCTCCCCTTTGCCCTCACTTTTCCTATAAAACTCCCAGAAACAAAAGAAAAAAAGTAAGAAAATTTCCATAGCCCTCTGATACTAAAAGTACTGTCATGAAATCTGGCACAAGGCTTTGGAGAATACTAAGAGATAATAGTCATGCTGTCTTGAACCTATAACAGTACACAGGTTTTCCTCCAAAGTGTCATCACTGAAAGGCATGCCTAATATGCCTTTATAGCAGTAATCATATTTAGGGTCCTAAGAAAGGAGAGTTGAAGAAGAAACCACACTGATGGACCATTTCTATTGCTTGAGACAGAGATTCCTAATAGAAGTTAGGAATGCTGACAGTAAAAATGGCTAAAAACAGAGGGAGGAAGATAGCGCAAAACTGCAACAGACAAAAGACACATATGTGAGTTGCAATAGCTTCTTTAACAACAACAACAAAAGATTTAATAATATGATACCAAACCTGGACAGAATCTATCCATTTCCCACAAAATCTCATCCTCCATCAATCTACCACACATATACATTCCACTAACCACTTTATTATTTAGAAGTTCCCATTCAAAAATTAATAATAATCCAACCAGCATGAGAAGCCAGCACAGAAACTGCAACAATCACAAATAAACCTAAAAGATAAATAACCAGGAAAATCACAGAGTGGTGTAAGCAAGATGGCAGACTAGAAGATCTCCCAGCATCACTTCCCCTAGAAAAAAAATACAACTAGAAATTATTCAAAGACAAGAATACCATCCTGAATTCACCAAAACTCAAGGGAGTAGTGGAGAAACTTCCTGGACACACAGAATCAAGAAAATCTGATGCTGGTAAGAGGAATAATCACTTTTAAGGGTGTCACCCCCTCCTGCAAGCAGGGCTAACACCACTCACAGAATTTCCCTAGACACATGGTTCCCAGTGTGGGAGGAGGAAATTGGAGGTGAATGTTCAGTCTCCCAGCTGGTTATAGAATCTTCACAGGAAGCTCACTCCAGTCCTGTCCCATGGAACATTTAAAGTGCAGGGAGGACTGAACCACCTGGGATGAACTGTGGTTAAAAAAAAAAAAAGGGGAAGGTTCTAATTGCATCGACTGGCATGTGAATTTTTGTAGGTGTTCTGTGCTCCAATCAGTGAAGATACCACATTGAGTAAAGTGGATGGCCCATAGTGCTGAAGAAGACACAATCCACAGGAAGGACCAAATTCCTGGCTGGATTTCCCACAAAATCCACATATTCATGTGAAGCCTCCTCTTGATCTGGAAACATCAACATGTTTGGCAATTAAGTTCTGGTGCTCACTTAAAAATAAAAACTATTTATATTAATAGTTTTTGTAATTGATTGAAGAACAATGGCAGGGCAGCAACATAGTTCTAGAGCAGTGTTTAAGTTACAGGGCTCACTATAAGTCTTCCACAGACTTGAAAACAACAGGGCAGTGATTTATTTCCAGTGCACCATTTAATTTCCAGTTCTCACTATAAGTCTTCCCCAGACTCAGAAGCAAGAGCAGACCAGTAATTAAGTTCTAGTATTAAGCAATAAAGACCTAACACTATCAAAAACACCTGCAAAAGCTCAATGTGCAGGCATCAACATAAAAATCAAGACTTGTAAAAACTCAGGAAAATATGACACCACCAAAAAAGAGCAAAAAAACCTTCAGTAATGGACTCAGAAAAATTGAAGATCTATAAAATGGCTGATAATTCAGAATAATCTACTTTTAAAAGTTAAAGGAATTACAAAAAAATACAGATAGAAAACTAAATGAAATTTGGAAAACAATTCAGGAACAAAATTAGAAATTTAACCAAGAAATAGAAACAATTTTTTAAGACCAAAGAGAAACTCTCAAAATAAAGAATATGTAAATTGAATAAAAAATTCAAAAAAAGCTTAACAGCAGACTTAAACAGGAAAAAAAATCAGTGAACTCAAAGACAGAACATATGAAATTATACAATTAGAGGAGCAAAAAGAAAAGTGAATAAAAAACAATGAAGAAGGCCTATCAGAATTACGAGACAACATCAAATAAGCTAACCTCAGCATAATAGGAGTTGCTAAATGATAGAAGAGAGAAAAAGGCCTAGCAAGCATATTTAAGGAAATAGTAACTGAAATTATCCCAAACATGGTGACAGAAAACAGCATCCAGGTATAGGAAGCTCAGGTCACCAGTCAAATTCAAGCCAAAATGTAATCACCAAGGCACATCATAATCAAATTAACAAGTTAAGGACAGAATATTAAAAGTAGCAAGAGAAAAGAAACATATCAAAATTAATGAAGTCTTAATACAACTTTCAGTTGATTTCTCAGCAGAAACCCTGGAGATCAGGAGAAGATGGGATAATGAGATTGACACTGTGAACTTTTTTTCAAGAAGTGATGCCGAACCTGAACAGGAAAACCAAAGGAATCTATGGACCCTTTGAAAGAAGCAAAAGGCTGCAGCCTACACTGCGAGTCAGGTGAAGGGCTCCCAGTCCCCAGAATGTGAGAGGTCGGAAGGTTGCCTCTGGCATACACACCCCCACCAGGGATCCTGAAAGTCCATATCACCAGGGAAGGCCCTAATCTCACCCAGTGCAGGAACTGACTTGGGGAGGATAATGGAATATAAAAGTAGGAGCAGCATGATCCTTGCATGCACTCCCAGATTCCAGTGTGGACCAAGGGCAGCCATTCCTTACTGATCTTAACAGGGGACCCTGCAGACGACAGTCAAAAAGTTCAGGTGTTGGTCACAGGTTGAAAGAAGCTCCCAACACGGTTTCACAATATAACACAAACTCTCTTGGCTAGGGCCATGGTTGGGGAGAGTGAAAAGCAGACTTTGAGTACAGGAGTCCTGAGTGTTGTAGCTGTGGATTCAAGAGCTGGGTGCCTAGCTTTGCAGTGAACAGGGAGGAGTGTGGCCTAAAAGCCATGGTTGCTATTTCCCTGGGGAAAGTTTATGACTCCCAGTAGCTGTGAGTTCTGATTACAGGCTGACTGGGACTCAGCTTTCTGCTGTCAGTGGAACACTGTGGGAGTGGATCTGCCTCACCAAATGAGTGGGAACTATGTGGGGCTTACCACTGCCTGCTACTCCCCACTCCCTGCACAAACTCTTCTGCATAGCAGAGGCAGCAATGCTCCCCTGTGGAACATCAACCCAGTGGTCTGAGACCACTCCCATTCCCCAACACCCACAGGGGTTGCTGCTTGCCCTGCACAGGGAGACTCAGAGTACAAACCCACCAGACCCAGTTCCCACCTGGCTTTGCCCTGCCACACATCCTGGCTTAACACAAAGGATAGAATCTCTTGAAAGCTACATGGCCCTGCCCATTGCCTATGAAATCAGAGTACCCCACCCTGGACAACATAAGGCAAGCAAAAATTCCACTACTACTCCCACAGTTGGAAGCACTGCCATCTGGCTGGAGGCCAGCCAAGACAATCCACTACAGTATCTCCTGGCAGAATAGCACTGCACCCAAGAAGAAGAAAATAGCTGCATGATCTCAGCTATCACTACTGCCTGCACCACTCTGCTAACCAGGAGGTCCTTAGTCTGCCTGTGGGACCAGTTCATTACTACTCTTAACTGGTGTTCAAAAAAGCCAACACACTGAGGCTATCAATAACCAAGTACTTTCACAGAGTCTATGTGACTCTCCTGCCACCCCCATTAAAGCTGGTGCTGGTACCCACTACTGGAAAACTTGAGGACAGGTCATATCACCTTGCAGACATGCCCCATCAGCAGCCTGGAATGTGGCAACTTCACTGGGCAGTTAGAAGAAATCTAAAAGCAGTAAGACAAAAGCATGAGGTAACCTAAAAAGAAAAAAACTATCAGACTAACAGCAGATTTCTCAGCAGAAACCATATTAGCCAGAAGGGATTGGGAAACTATCTTCAACATCCTTAAACAGAATAACTGTCAACCAAGAATACTGTATCCTGCAAAACTAAGTTTCAATCTCCTTAAACAGAATAACTGTCAGCCAAGAGTTTTGTATCCTGCAAAACTAAGTTTTATAAATGAAGAAGAAATAAAGTCATTTTCAGACAAATGCTGAGGAAATTTGTCACTACCAAATCAGCCCTATAAGAAATATTAAAGGAATTCTAAACCTTGAAACAAAAGCACAATATGCACTGAAATATAATTTCTTGAAAGCTGAAAACTCACAGGCCTATAAAATAAAAACACAATTTAAAAAATCAGGTAACAATTAACATGATGAAGAAAACAGTACCTCACATCTTAATATTAACATTGAATGTAAATGGCCTAAATGATCCACTTAAAATATTCAGAATGGATAAAAAATCACAACCCAAATCTCTGCTGTCTTCAATAGACTTACCTAACATAGAAGGATTCATATAAACTCAAGGAAAAGGGAATTAAAAAGGTATTGTACACAAATGGAAACCAAAAGTGAGCAAGAGTAGCTATTCTTGTATCAGACAAAATACTTCAAAGCAACAACAGTAAAAAGAAAAAAAGACAATGATGGTCAGTACATAATGATAAAAAGATCAATTCAACAAGCAGATATTACAATCCTAAATTTATATGTACCAAACACTGGAGCTCCTAGCATCATAAGATAGCAAAACAATAATAGTAGGACTTCAATAGACCACTGATAACACTCAAAAGATCTTTGAGACAAAAAGTCAACAGAGAAACAACGGACTTAAATGACATGCTAGAACAAATAAACTTAATGGGTATCTATAGTAAATTCTATTCAAGATCTTCAGAATAAACATTCTTCTCATCAGCACATGGAACATTCTCCAAGACAGACCATATAATAGGCCACAAAACAAATCCTGATAAATTTTATAAAATCAAAATCTTATCAAGTGTCTTCTCAGACCACAAAGAATAAAACTAGAAATCAATTCCAAGAGGAATTCTTGAAACTATACAAATACATGGAAATTAAACAACATGCTCCTGAATGATATTTGGGTCAATAACGAAATTAAGATGGAAATTTAAAAATTTTCTGAAACAAGTGAAAATGGAGATACAATATACCAAAACCTCTTGAATACAGCAAAAGCAGTGCTAAGAGAGAAGTTAACATTAAATGCCTACATCAAATAAATATAAATATCACAAGTTAACAACCCAACGTTGCTCCTGAAGGATCTAGAAACACAAGAACAAACCAAACCCAAAACTAGCAGAAGAAAAGAAATAACAAAGATAAGAGCAGAACTAAATGAAAATGAGACTTAAAAATAATACAATGTAAATTAGTTCAACCATTGTGGAAGACAGTGTGGTGACTCCTCAAGGATCTAGAACCAGAAATACCATTTGATCCAGCAATCCCATTACTGGGTATATACCTAAAGGATTATAAATCATTCTACTATAAAGACACATGCACATGTATGTTTATTGCGGCACTATTCACAATAGCAAAGACTAGGAACAAACCCAAATGCCCATCAATGATAGACTGGATAAAGAAAATGTGGCACATATACACCATGGAATACTATGCAGACATAAAAAGGATGAGTTCATGTCTTTTGCAGGGACATGGATAAAGCTGGAAACCACCATTCTCAGCAAACTAACACAGGAGCAGAAAACCAAACACTGCATGTTCTCACTCATAAGTGGGAGTTGAACAATGAGAAAACATGGACACTGGGAGGGGAACATCACACACTGGGGCCTGTTGAGGGGTGGGGGGCTTGGGGATGGATAGCATTAGCAGAAATACCTAATGTAGATGACGGGTTGATGGGTGCAGCAAACCACCATGGCACATGTATACCTACGTAACAAAACTGCACGTTCTGCACATGTATCCCAGAACTTAAAGTATAATTTCAAAAAGAAATAATAATAATAATACAATGGATCAACCAAATGAAAACTCAGTTCCCTGAAAAGATTTTTAAAAATTGATAAATCACTATCTAGACTAACCAAAAAAAAATCCAAGTAAACATAATCAGATATGAAAAAGGAGACATAAGAACTGATACCACAGAAATTTAAAAAGATTATCAGAGTACATGAATAACTATATGCTCACAAAGAGAAAAACCTAGAGGAAATGGATAAATTTCTGTAAACATACAACCTTCCACGACTGAACCAGGAAGAAACAGAAATCCTGAACAGACCAATAAGGAGTAGTAAGATTGAACTAGTAATAAAAATCTCCCAATAAAAAAAAAGCTCAGAACTGGATGGATTGACAGCCAAATTCTACCAAATGTGCAAAGAGGAACTGGTACCAATCCTGTTGAAACTGTTCCAAAAATTATAAAAAGAGAGAATCCTCTACAATTCATTATACGAAGCCACCCTGTTACCAAAGCTGAACAAGGACACACAAAAAAACTACAGACCAAAATCCTCTGCTGATTATAGTTGAAAAAATCTTCAACAAAATGCTAGCAAACCAAATCCAATAGCACATCAAAAATATAATATACCATGATTAAGTGGGGTTTATTCCAGGGATTCAAGGATGGTTCAATATATGCAAATAAATAAATGTTATTCAACACAAAAAGAGAATTAAAAACAAAACACTTTTGATAATCTCGACATATTTAAAAATGGCATTTGATAAAGTTCAGCATTTCTTCAGGATAAAAATCTTCAGTCAACTAGGTATAGAAGAAACATACCTCAAAATAATAAAGGCCATATATGACAAACCCACAGCCAACATCGTACTAAACACACAAAAGTTAAAAGCAATCTTCTAAGAAGTAGAACAAGGATGCCCACTTTCACCACTCCTATTCAACGTAATACTGGAAGTCCTACCCAGAGCTGTGAGGCAAGAGAAAAAAATAAAAGGCATCAAAATAGGACAATAGGAAGTCAAATCATCTTTGTTCACTGATAATATGATCTAATATCTAGAAAAACCTAAAGACTTCTCCAAATCTCTTAGATTTCATAAACAAATTCAGTAAAGTTTCAGGATACAAAATCAATGTACAAAAATTAGTGGCATTTCTGTATACCTTAACAAGCTGAGAATTAAATCAAGAAGGCAATCCCACTTACAATAGCTACAAATAAAATACTTAGGAATATATTTAACCAAGGAGGAGAAAGACCACTACAAGGAAAAATACAGAATACTGATGAAAGAAAGGAATTAATGTTATTTAAATAGCCATACTTGTAATGTTAAATACAAGTACTAAATACATACTTGTAATATTTAAATAATGTTATTTAAATAGCCATACAATCTTGTAAGCATACTGCATTCTTTTCCATTTTTTTCTTCTCTGTATTTTCAAAAGCCTGTCTTTGAGTCAGTAATCCTTTCTTCTACTTGATCACTTCTGCTGTTGAGATACTCTGATGCATTTTTGTATATGTCCATTGAATTTCTCAACTCCAGAATTTCTGGGTGTTTTTAAAGTTATTACTTCAATCTCTTTGTTAAATTTCTCTGATATATTTCTGGATTCCTTCTCTATGTTATCTGAAGATCATTCAGCTTCCTCATAACAGCTATTTTAAATTCTCTAAGAGGTCACATATCTCCATTTTGCCAGAACTGGTTACTGATGCCTTATTTAATCAGTTTGGTGAGGTTATATTTTCCTATATATTCTTGATGCCTGTGGACATTTGTTAATGTCTGGGCATTGAAAAGTTTAGGTCTTTATGCGTCTTTGCAGTCTGGACTTGCTCGTACCCATCCTTCTTCAGACAGCTGATTTTTTGGTTCCATGAAAGTGCTCTCTTGTATGGATAGTTGTTCAATTTGATGTTCCTGCAGGGAGGAGAGGAGGATGACTCCTGGAGCATTCTTTTCAGCCATCTTGCTCTGCCTCCACTTCACAAATAAATTTTTAAAGGAATAGATACTTGTTCTATTTTGGTTTTTTAATTGCTTCTAAAAGAAGCCAAAGCAGAAAATACAATCAATAGTTTAGAAAAACACATTTTATACCACTTGGCTCCCTGAAATATATCTCATTTGGACAAAGAATCACATTTAACATGACCAGTGTATAAAAATTAGGTAAAAGGCAAAACGTAGTATGAATATAACATATCTCTTACAATCCCCAGAACAGTGGCCAAACAAAAATTTAATGGAAAAGTAATATGGTGTGCATATGTGTCCCCTCCAAATCTCATGTTGACACTTGATCACCAATATTGGACACGTGCCCAGTGGGAGGTGTGTTGGCTATGGGATAAAATTTCTCATGAATGGCTTGGTGCCCTCTCCACAGTAATGAGTGAGTTGTTACTCTATTAGTATTAGTTCCTGCAAGATCTGGTTGTTGAAAAGAGCCTGGCAGAATTGGAGCAAGATGGCTGAATGGAAGTCTACACTATTCATCCCCCTTACAGAAACATCAAATTTTAACAACTAACAATATGGAAAAAGCACCATCACAAGAACCAGAAATCAAGCGAGTAATCACAGTACCTGGTTTTAACCTCATATTGCTGAAAGGGGTACTGAAGAGAGTAGGCTGGGAGAGAGAAGGTAATGTAGCAGAAGTGGAGACCATAGGTATTTGGCCACATCATATATTTTACTTGTGCTTTCAGGGCCTGCCTGAGCACTGTCTCATGTATACCACTTCTATTTGATGATGGAGTACTACCTGCATGCCAAACTATTTGGAGGGTCAGACAACATCCAGTTCATGATGGGCAGCTCAGATTGCTTGGCAACTTGGTGGTCCATGGTTAAGTGTTCAGTTTCTACTAACACCCAATAGCAGGCCAAGAACTGTTTTACAAAAAGGATAATTATTTGCAGAGAATGAGATGGCTTTGCTCCAAGGGGCCTGCACTGTGATTCACCTATAGGAACTTGCCGAAGGCTCTGAAGAGCATCCCTATCTGCTACTGTCACTTCCAGCACCATTGGATCTGTAAGATCATGTTTCCCAAGTGGAAGAGCACCCTGTACCTGTTGCAGAACCTTCTCTTGTTCTTGGTTCCACTCAAAACTAACAGATTTCCAGGTCACTCAGTAAGTGAGTGAGCCACAGTAGCATGCCCAAATGAGGAATACGTTGCCTTAATATACAGAGAAGTCAAATAGGCATTATACCTGTTTTTTTGGGTAGTAGGAGAGGCCAGATGCAACAATTTTTCCTTATTTCAGAAGGAATATCTTGACACGTCCCATTCCACTAGACTTCTAAACATTTCATGATGTAGAAGGCCCCTAAATTTTTTGGATTCATGTCCCACCTTCTGACATGCAAATATCTTACTAATATATCTAGAGTACTTTTTACTCAAGAGGTCCAGTCAGCATATCATCAATATAATAAACAAGTATGATATCTTGTAGAAAGGCTTTCAAGTTCCTTGCAAACTAAATTATGATAGAGAGTGGGAGAACTGATATACCCTTAAGGTAGGACAGTGAAGATGCATTGCTAGACTTTCCAGCTAAAAGAAAACTGCTTCTTCACTATAGGAAAGCAGAAAATAAAGCAATCTTCCAGATCAATATTTGCATGCCAGTTACCAGGGGATACGTTAATTTGCTCAAGCAATGAAATCATTATTTAGTACAGTATCTACAATTAGAATCACCATCTATTTAAATTTATGATAATCCACTGTTATTTTCTGAGATCCACCTGTTTTCTGAACAGGACAAATAGGTGAGTTGAAGGATGTGGTTGAAATCACAACCTCTACATTTTTCAAGTCCTTGATGAAGTCACTAATCTTCCAAATCTCTCTGAGAATGTAATATTGCTTTTGGTTTAAAATTTTCCTAGGTAGAATCAGTTCTAGTAGCTTCTAATTGGCCTCTTCTACCATAATGGTCCTTACTCCACAGGTCAGGAAACCAATGTGAAAATTCTGCCAGTTGATGAGTATATTTATTAAATTATACATTCACAAACTGGGGAAATGACAAGAGGATGAGTTCAGCTTCCACTGGATCCACTGTGAGACAGATCTGTGCTAAAGTCCCATTGATCACTTGCCCTCCATAGTTTCCTTTCCAGTGGACCATCATGACATTTTTGGCCTTTTGGAATTAGTGTCAGTTCAGAGGCACTGTCCATTAATCCCTAAAAAATCTTATTATTTCCTTTTATATGTTGCGTAGTAACCCAGCAAAAAGGCCATAGGTCCCTTTGAGGAAGGCTGGGAGAAAAATTAAAGGTATAAATTTTGGGCAGTATACTAGGTCCTTCCTCAAGGTACCCTTCCTTCAAGGGGTCCTGGGTCTGTAAACTTGATCAAGTCTGGGAATTGATTGAGAGGCCATGACTGTGCTTTTATTATTTAAATTAGACTTTGTCCACTTGATCTAGAACTCTTCTGCTTATACAGATTAAGTAAGAATTTAGTAGACTGACCATTTGTGTCACTTCAACAAACACAATTATCAACTAGCCAATGCCATAGATATCTCAAGTCAGACTATTCTGATTTCTACTTTGATTTCCATTATGGTAACCATGACACTGTTGTTTCTGATGTTTAAATGCCACCACTTGGCCTCTGAGACCCAATTATTCCTATTGCATTTAAGGTTCCCATTTCAGTAGCAGCAACATCCAGTGTGATTTCTGAGCTGTAGAGAAGAGCAACCACAGGGCTGTTTGAGAATGCTGGGGCTGTCTTCACATTTCTCACAGTTGTGGTGAAAGGTGTGTCCTCTGGACCCTCCTAAGATGGGTGAGCAGATCTTAAATGATAAATCCACATTAACACTCCAATTTTCCTAGGCCTTCGAATCCCTTCCTTTTCAGTAAACCACGGCAATTCTGCATTTCAACTTCACTTAGTATAGGCCATCTTTTGGTCCATTTTCAGCCAACCAAACTGACCGTTACAGTCCTTTCTAACCTCCATGCTGCAACATTAAACCATAATCTCTGCTTAGTGATAAATAAATTATACCATATCAATAAATTTGGTGTGATCTAACTTTGTTCTTTTCATCTTCATCCTATACATGCAATATTGATTCCCAAACATATTCCCCTGATTTCTGTCTAAATAAATTAGAAAAATTATGTAGTTTTTTTGGAATGCAGTGCACCTTCTCATGAGCCATACTTTGTACTTCATCTTTAGGGGGCTGGTGGGACTTGTGTCTAATTATAGGTCTACAAGCAAAAGAGGGTGGTGGGGGTGAGTCTTGGGGAGAATCAGAAGTGTTTTGCAAGGTAACTATCTCAAGGGAGGCAATTATAGTTTCTTCGGACAAAGCAAGATTAATTTCTTCTGACAGGAATGAAAAGGCTGCTTCTGTCTTTTTATTGTATATATTTATGGGGTATGAGTGGTGTTTTGATATATGTATACATTGCAGAATGATTAAATCAAGTTAATTAATATATCTATCACCTCACATATCCCTTTTTATAGTGAGAATAAAGTCTACTCTCTTAGCAATTTTCAAGTATACAGAATATTAACTATAATGACCATGCTATACAGTAGCTGTCCAGAAATTAATACTCCTATCTAACTGAAATTTTGTGCCCTTTTGTAACATCTCCCCATTTGTCCCCCTTCCCTCAGCCTCAGGTAACCACCATTTTACCTTCCACTTCTATGAATATGACTTTTTAGATTCAACATATATGTGAGATCATGTAGAATTTTTCTTTATGTGCCTGGCTTATTTCACTTAGCATGTCTTCCAGGTTCATTCATGTTGTTGAGAATGGTAGTATCTCCTTTTTAAAAGGAAGAATACTATTCCATTGTATGAGAACACCACAATTTCTTTATCGATACATCCACTGACAGACACGTTGTTTTCATATCTTGGTTATTGTGAGTACTGTTACATGGACACGGGGATGCAGATATCTTTACTAGGTATTTATTTCATTTCCTTTGCGTATGTACCCAGAAGGGGAATTGCTGGGTTATATGGTAATTCTATTTTTAATTTTTTAAAGAAACTCCCTATTGTTTTTCACCACCTGAACAGTATGTAAGGATTCTGTTTCTCCATAACCTCACCAACATATGTTATGTTTTTGATGATAGCCATCCTAATAGGTGTGTGATGATAACTCATGGTTTTTATTTGGATTTCCCTGATGATTAGTGATGTTGAGCATCTTTTCATATGCCTGTTGACCATTTGTATGTTTCATTTCAAAAAATGTCTATTTAGGTTCTTTGCCCATTTTTGTCAGACTTTTATTATTGTCATTTTGCTGTTAAGTTTGTGAGTTCCTTACATATTTTGAATATCAACTGCTTACCTAACAATATATGATTCACGAATGTTTTCTCTGAATCTGTTGGCTCTCTTTTCATTTTCTGCATTATTTCCTTTGTCCAGAAAATTTTTAGTTTTATTATACTTCCACTTGTATACTTTTGCTTTTGTGTCCTGTGCTCTTGGTGAGCTATCTAAAAATTATTGCCAAGATCAATATCAAGAAGTTTTTCCCTTATGTTTTCTTCAAGAGTTTTATAGTTAAAGGTATTATGTTTAGGTCTTCAATCCATTTTAAGTTTATTTTTGTGAATGTTATAAAATAAGTTCCAGTTTCATTATTTTGCGTTTGAGTATTCAAATTTCCCAACACTATTTGTTAAAGAGATGGTCATTCTCCCATTGTGTCTTCTTGATGCTCTTGTGAAAAATTAATTGACATAAATGCTTGGGTTTATTTCTGGGTCATCTATTCTCTTCCATCAGTTTGTACATCTGTTTTTATACCAGTACCATAGTTGTTTTTTAAAAATATTTTTAAAATATTTTTATATTTTAAAATCACTTTGTAATACAATTTGAAACCAGAAAGTGTGATGCCTGCAACTTTGTTTTTCTTTTTAAAGACTGTTTTGGCTACTTGATGTCTTTTGTGATTCCATAGAAGTTATAGAATTTTTGTTTTCTGTTTCTCTAAAAATGTAATTGGAATATTGATAAGCACTGTGTTGAATCTATGTGACTCTGGGTAGTATATATATATTTATTATATATATATCAGGCAGCTTCTGGAAGAGTGTGCCAACAAACCACTTCCAGGAATAAACTAGATTCTGGGGACCTATAGCTAGCCATGAGAAGTGCTCGCACACTCATTCAAAACCATCTGTTTGTTCTCTCTTCTCCAGGCAAACTCATGACTTCCAAGTTCCCTCCACTCCCTGAAGTAGGTGATTTAAGAGCCAAACCTTCTGACAGAAACTGTAAATGTTGCGGAACACTATATGTGGTCCAAACCCTTTATTCCTCAGGAAGAAGTTATCAGTTGTGGATTATTTCCCAATTGTATGACACTGTGCTTAGGATGCAGTTTGTGCATGAGTCTTTGCTTTCCCTACCCAATATGTGGATATTTTTTCAGTTTCCCAATGTGTAGGAGTCGCTCAACCACTTTCTGGCTCTCAGAGAGAATTGATCCATGTGGAAATGTTTATTCTCTGCATCTGTGGGAGAGAGAAAAGTAAGGAACCTCCTATTCCACCATGTTGCTGACATCAGTCTCTACAAATTCTGCTTCCAAAGGCAAGGAGGACCCAGCAGAGTTTAGAGGTAAACATCCCTAGCTTCATTAGGATCTTCCCATATTTCCTCATTCCAGTTTTTAGGATTTTGTTCTATCCTAATCGATGCTCTCATTTTAACAGAAGATATCCTATAAAATTGGGAATTCAACTTGCATTATAATTCAGCCACTCACAGGATGAGACTCTGGATATGGTTTTCAGCAATCTGAGCTAGTTTTCAGCAATTTGTAGCTATAGCAGACCAGGGTTTCTTTCAGGGTAGTCATAGAAAGTTTTAGGTCATTATGTGGCTCTTGGGCTGGAAATCTGAATTCCAAGCTCATACTTTTCTTTCCCCACTTTGTCTAACATAATAAGAGTAACCAGCTAATCTCATTACACTCATTACTTTGGCAAAAGTATGTTAAGGTATCAAAGACATGGTCACTCAGAAACCTGCTATTTTTAAGTATTTGATTAGGAGTATCCAGTGGTGATATTTTGTGTCCTATTGCCATATGATGCCACGGTATCAGTGCTCTCTTTGTTCTGTATCAAGTACCATATACCCTTTTATTCCTTTATTAGTAGCTGCACATGGTCAATATAGGTGAAAAGAACAAAAGAAACAAGGTATGTGGTAACTGCTGGGTGCCCCAGTGAGAGAGACACTGTGCTTTCTGTATTCCCTCTTCTGTATTATGTTAAGAAGCCAAATAAATGTAGTATTAGTTTAAAGTCTGTTTTGTCTAGTGAATTTATTATAGCCTGAAACTCACAATGATTGGGAGTGCCATAATAGTTACTTTTAGAGAATAAAATACAATTACTTCCATTTCTGAATTCATACGTTACATTATTAATATATTGCCATACCAGTTGTTAAATATACTGAATATCACCATGACTAGCACACAATTTGGGGTCTTCTCTCATAGTTCAGCTGAAAATATATGTTGAGGAAGTCAGAATTAAGGTGAAGGCATACTTCTATCTTCTATTTACTTTCCATTTCAATTTGTCTTGTGTGTGCAGGGTGGGGTGATAATTTTTATTTTGAACCTTCCGGAGCCATCTTGCTTTGGGTGTTCTTTTTTTTTGTAATATCTTTTTTTTTTAATTTTATTATTATTATACTTTAAGGTTTAGGGTACATGTGCACAACGTGCAGGTTTGTTACATATGTATACATGTGCCATGTTGGTGTGCTGCACCCATTAATTCATCATTTAGCATTAGGTACATCTCCTAATGCTATCCCTCCCTCATCCTCCCACCCCACAACAGGCCCCAGTGTGTGATGTTCCCCTTCCTGTGTCCAAGTGTTCTCATTGTTCAATTCCCACCTATGAGTGAGAATATGCGGTGTTTGGTTTTTTATCCTTGCGATAGTTTGCTGAGAATGATGGTTTCCAGCTTCATCCATGTCCCTACAAAGGACATGAACTCATCATTTTTTATGGCTGCATAGTATTCCATGGTGTATATGTGCCACATTTTCTTAATCCAGTCTATCATTGTTGGACATTTGGGTTGGTTCCAAGTCTTTGCTATTGTGAATAGTGCCACAATAAACATACATGTGCATGTGTCTTTATAGCAGTATCATTTATAATCCTTTGGGTATATACCCAGTAATGGGATGGCTGGGTCAAATGGTATTTCTAGTTCTAGATCCCTGAGGAATCGCCACACTGACTTCCACAATGGTTGAACTAGTTTACAGTCCCACCAACAGTGTAAAAGTGTTCCTATTTCTCCACATCCTCTCTAGCACCTGTTGTTTGCTGACTTTTTAGTGATAGCCATTCTAACTGGTGTGAGATGGTATCTCATTGTGGTTTTGATTTGCATTTCTCTGATGGCCAGTGATGATGAGCATTTTTTCATGTGTTTTTTGGCTGCATAAATGTCTTCTTTTGAGAAGTGTCTGTTCATATCCTTCGCCCACTTTTTGATGGGGTTGTTTGTTTTTTTCTTGCAAATTTGTTTGAGTTCATTGTAGATTCTGGATATTAGCCCTTTGTCAGAAGAGTAGGTTGCAAAAATTTTCTCCCATTCTGTAGGTTGCCTGTTCACTCTGATGGTAGTTTCTTTTGCTGTGCAGAAGCTCTTCAGTTTAATTAGATCCCATTTGTCAATTTTGCCTTTTGTTGCCATTGCTTTTGGTGTTTTAGACATGAAGTCCTTGCCCATGCCTATGTCCTGAAAGGTATTGCCTAGGTTTTCTTCTAGGGTTTTTATGGTATTAGGTCTACCATGTAAGTCTTTAATCCATCTTGAATTAATTTTTGTATAAGGTGTAAGGAAGGGATCCAGTTTCAGCTTTCTACATATGGCTAGCCAGTTTTCCCAGCACCATTTATTAAATAGGGAATCCTTTCCCCATTTCTTGTTTTTCTCAGGTTTGTCAAAGATCAGATAGTTGTAGATATGTGGCATTATTTCTGAGGGCTCTATTCTATTCCATTGGTCCATATCTCTGTTTTGGTACCAGTACCATGCTCTTTTGGTTACTGTAGCCTTGTAGTATAGTTGGAAGTCAGGTAGCGTGATGCCTCCAGCTTTGTTCTTTTGGCTTAGGATTGACTTGGCAATGCGGGCTCTTTTTTGGTTCCATATGAACTTTAAAGTAGTTTTCTCCAATTCTGTGAAGAAAGTCATTGGTAGCTTGATGGGGATGGCATTGAATCTATAAATTACCTTGGGCAGTATGGCCATTTTCACAATATTGATTCTTCCTATCCATGAGCATGGAATGTTCTTCCATTTGTTTGAGTCCTCTTTTATTTCATTGAGCAGTGGTTTGTAGTTCTCCTTGAAGAGGTCCTTCACATCCCTTGTAAGTTGGATTCCTAGGTATTTTATTCTCTTTGAAGCAATTGTGAATGGGAGTTCACTCATGATTTGGCTCTCTGTCTGCTATTGGTGTATAGGAATGTTTGTGATTTTTGCACACTGATTTTGTATCCTGAGATTTTGCTGAAGTTGCTTATCAGCTTAAGGAGATTTTGGGCTGAAATGACAGGGTTTTCTAAATATACAATCATGTCATCTGCAAACAGGGATAATTTGACTTCCTCTTTTCCTAATTGAATACCCTTTATTTCCTTCTCCTGCCTGATTTCTCTGGCCAGAACTTTCAACACTATGTTGAATAGGAGTGGTGAAAGAGGGCATCCCTGTCTTGTGCCAGTTTTCAAAGGGAATGCTTCCAGTTTTTGCCCATTCAGTATGATATTGGCTGTGGGTTTGTCATAAATATCTCATTATTTTGAGATATGTCCCATCAATACCTAGTTTATTGAGAGATTTTAGCAAGAAGGGGTGTTGAATTTTGTCAAAGGCCTTTTCCATATCTATTGAGATAATCATGTGGTTTTTGTCTTAGGTTCTATTTATATGATGGATTACTTTATTGATTTTTATATATTGAACCAGCCTTCCATCGCAGGGATGAAGCCAACTTGATCATGGTGGATAAGTTTTTGATGTGCTGCTGGATTCGGATTGCCAGTATTTCATTGAGGATTTTTGCATCAATGCTCATCAGGGATATTGGTCTAAAATTCTCTTTTTTTGTTGTGTCTCTGCCAGGTTTTGGTATCAGTATGCTGCTGGCCTCATAAAATGAGTTGGGGAGGATTCCCTCTTTTTCTATTCATTGGAATAGTTTCAGAAGGAATGGTCCCAGCCCCTTTTTGTACCTCTGGTAGAATTCGGTTGTGAATCCATCTGGTCCTGGACTTTTTTTGGTTGGTAGGCTATTAATTATTGCCTCCATTTCAGAGCCTGTTACTGGTCTATTCAGGGATTCAACTTCTTCCTGGTTTAGTCTTGGGCGGGTGTATGTGCCCAGGAATTTATTCATTTCTTCTAGATTTTCTAGTTTATTTGTGTAGAGATGTTTATAGTATTCTCTGATGGTACTTTGTATTTCTGTGGGATTGGTAGTGATATCCCGTTTATCATTTTTCATTGCACCTATTTGATTCTTCTCTTCTTCTTTATTAGTCTTGCTAGTGGTCTATCAATTTTGTTGATCTTTTCAAATAAAACAGCTCCTGGATTCATTGATTTTTTGAAGGGTTTTTTCTGTCTCTATCTCCTTCAGTTCTGCTCTGATCTTAGTTATTTTTGGCCTTCTGCTAGCTTTTGAATGTGTTTGCTCTTGCTTCTCTAGTTCTTTTAATTGTGATGTTAGAGTGTCAATTTTAGATCTTTCCTCCTTTCTCTTGTGGGCATTTAGTGCTATAAGTTTCCCTCTACACACTGCCTTAAATGTGTCCCACAGATTCTGGTATGTTGTATCTTTGTTTTCATTGGTTTCAAAGAACATCTTTATTTCTGCCTTCATTTTGTTATGTACCCAGTAGTCATTCAGAAGCAGATTGTTTAGCCTCCATGTAGCTGGGCGGTTTTGAGTGAGTTTCTTAATCCTGAGTTCTGGTTTGATTGCACTGTGGTCTGAGAGACAGTTTGTTATAATTTCTGTTTTTTTACATTTGCTGAGGAGTGCTTTGCTTCCAACTATGTGGTTAGTTTTGGAATAAGTGTGATGTGCTGCTGAGAAGAATGTGTATTCTGTTGATTTCGGGGGGAGATTTCTGCAGATGTCTATTAGGTCCACTTGGTGCAGAGCTGAATTCAATTCCTGGATATCCTTGTCAACTTTCTGTCTCATTGATCTGTCTAATGTTGACAGTGGGGTGTTAAAGTCTCCCATTATTATTGTGTGGGAGTCTAAGTCTCTTTGTAGGTCTCTAAGGACTTGCTTTATGAATCTGGGTGCTCCTGTATTGGGTGCATATATATTTAGGATAGTTAGCTCTTCTTGTTGAATTGATCCCTTTACCTTTATGTAACAGCCTTCTTTGTCTCTTTTGATCTTTGTTGGTTTAAAGTCTGTTTTATCAGAGACTAGGATTGCAACTCCTGCTTTTTCTTTGTTTTCCATTTGCTTGGCAGATCTTCCTCCATCCCTTTATTTTGAGCCTATGTGTGTCTCTGCACGTGAGATGGGACTCCTGAATACAGCACACTGATGGATCTTGACTCTATCCAATTTGCCAGTCTGTGTCTTTTAACTGGGGCATTTAGCCCATTTACATTTAAGGTTAATACTGTTATGTGTGAATTTGATCCTGTAATTATGATGTTAGCTGGTTACTTTGCTCTTTAATTGATGCAATTTCCTCCTAGCATCGATGGTCTTTACAATTTGGCATGTTTTTCCAGTGGCTGGTACCAGTTGTTCCTTTCCATGTTTAGTGCTTCCTTCAGTAGCTCTTGTAAGGCAGGCCTGGTGGTGACAAAATCTCTCAGCATTTGCTTGTCTGTAAAGGATTTTATTTCTCCTTCACTTATGAAGCTTAGTTTGGCTGGATATGAAATTCTGGGTTGAAAATTCTTTAAGAATGTTGAATATTGGCCCCCACTCTCTTCTGGCTTATAGAATTTCTGCGGAGAGATCCGCTGTTAGTCTGATGGCCTTCCCTTTGTGGGTAACGCGACCTTTCTCTCTGGCTGCCCTTAACTTTTTGTCCTTCATTTCAACTTTGGTGAATCTGTCAATTATGTGTCTTGGAGTTGCTCTTCTCGAGGAGTATCTTTGTGGTGTTCTCTGTATTTCCTGAATTTGAATGTTGGCCTGCCTTGCTAGGTTGGGGAAATTCTCCTGGATAATATCCAGAAGAGTGTTTTCCAACTTGGTTCCATTCTCCCTGTCACTTTCAGGTACAACAATCTGATGTAGATTTGGTCTTTTCCCATAGTCCCATATTTCTTGGAGGCTTTGTTCATTTCTTTTTATTCTTTTTTCTCTAAATTTCTCTTCTCGCTTCATTTCATTCATTTGATCTTCGATCACTGATACCCTTTCTTCCACTTGATTGAATTGGCTACTGAAGCTTGTGCATGTATCACATAGTTCTCGTGCCATGGTTTTCTGCTCCATCACGTCATTTAAGGTCTTCTCTACACTGTTTATTCTAGTTAGCCATTCGTCTCATCTTTTTTCAAGGTTTTTAGCTTCTTGTGATGGGTTTGAATATCCTCCTTTGACTCGGAGAAATTTGTTATTACTGATCGTCTGAAGCCTTCTTCTCTCAACTCGTCAAAGTCATTCTCCGTCCAGCTTTGTTCTGCTGCTTGCGAGGATCTGCATTCCTTTGGAGGAGAAGAGGCAGTCTGATTTTTAGAATTTTCAGCTCTTCTGCTCTGGTTTCTCCCCATCTTTGTGGTTTTATCTAACTTTGGTCTTTGATGTTGGTGACATACAGATGGGGTTTTGGTGTGGATGTCCTTTCTGTTTGTTAGTTTTCCTTCTAACAGTCAAGACCCTCAGCTGCAGGTCTGTTGGAGTTTGCTTGAGGTCCACTGCAGATCCTATTTGCCTGGGTATCACCAGCAGAGGCTGCAGAACAGCAAATGTTACTCCCTAATCCTTCCTCTGGAAGCTTCATCTCAGAGGGGCAACTGGCTGTATGAGGTGTCAGTCGGCCCCTACTGGGAGGTATCTCCCAGTTAGGCTACTTGAGTATCAGGGACCCACTTGAGGATGCAGTTTCTCCATTCTCAGATCTCAAACTCCATGCTGGGAGAAACACTACTCTCTTCAAAGCTGTCAGACAGGGACGTTTAAGTCTGCAGAAGTTTCTGCTGCCTTTTGTTCAGCTCTACCCTGCCCCCAGAGGTGGAGTCTACAGAGGCAGGCAAGCCTCCTTGAGCTGTGGTGGGCTCCACCCATTTCTAGCTTCCCAGGTGCTTTGTTTACCTACTCAAGCCTCAGCAATGGTGGATGCCCCTCCCCCAGTCTCACTGCTGCCTTGCAGTTCAATCTCAGACTGCCGTGCTAGCAGTGAGTGAGGCTTTGTGGGTGTGGGACCCTCCAAGCCAGCGCGGGATATAATCTCCTGGTGTGCTGTTTGCTAAGACCATTGGAAAAGCGCAGTATTAGGGTGGGAGTGTCCCAATTTTCCAGGTACCATCTGTCACGGCTTCCCTTTTCTAGGAAAGGGAATTCCCTAACCCCTTGCACTTCCTGGGTGAGGCAGTGCCCCGCCCTGCTTCAGCTCACACTCTGTGGGCTGTACCCACTGTCCTACAAGCCCCAGTGAGAGGAACCCGTTAACTTAGTTGAAAATGCACAAATCACCCATCTTCTGCGTTGCTCATGCTGGGAGCTGTAGACTGGAGCTGTTCCTAGTCAGCCCTCTTGGAACCTCCCTCATGTTTATTATTTTATAATGCAGCTTTTTAATATGCAGTTAGATCAAGTGCCACTGCCTTATCCTCTTTCTTTAATCAATTATTTTCATACTGAAATATGTTATTGTTGCCAAGTTTTAGAATCATATTTATAAAATTTCATCAACACCAAAAGCAATAATCAACCACTGGTATTTTGATTGGAAGTAAGTTATTTACCCATTACTTTTAAGAGTCTTTCACTCATGAGCATGAAATATCTCCCTATGTAGTCAACATTTCTTTAGTCATTAAAGTTCATTGTTTCCATCATATGAGGCCACATATTTCCTAGTGTTTATTTATCAGTTATTTTATTATTTTTGTGCTCTTTTCACTACTGGGATATATAGAAATGTTTTTGTTTTCCTTTGCCAAATTTGTGTTAGCCACATTGCTGAACATCATACTGATATTAAATTTTCTTTTATTTGATTCTTTTAAGCTTTAAAAGTCAAAATCTAATAATCTGTAAGTAATAATCGTGTTGTATCATTTCTTCTAATATTTATAATAACAGGTTTTCTTTTTTATTACATTGGTTATACATTTTACAACAATACTTACTTTAGCAGCAATAGGAATTTTATCTTATTTTTAACTTTAATTGAACATTTCATTTCATCATGAAACATGGTATTGGGATATTAGTAAGAGATTTTCTCCAACACGTTAAAAAAATCATTTGTTTCATTGTTTAAAAAAAATCAGGAACAGATGTATATCTACTCACAAAAAACGAAATTTATGAAAAAATAAACAATTAAGAAAACATGTAAATGTCATTTTTTCAATCAATTTTCAACATTTCTTGTCACTTAAAAATCTGAAATTGAGGAACATACCATAATTGTTAAGGTAACACAATTGCATGTTCTAAGAGTAATTTAAGAATTTCTGGTAGCCACAGAGAAATGGTAGCAAAAGAAATAGCAAGAGCGAAAGAAGAGTTTGCGTGAGAGGTTCAAGGAAACTATCTCATTATATACTTTAAAGCCAAATATAGTCAGATTCTTCTAAGATTTCCTATAGTTTTCCTGGAGTGATCACAACAGAATAAAGAGCTAGATTATCCGGGTTTGAAATCCATCTGTAATGATGTGACTTTAGGCAGTTACTCCATGTCTTACTCTCCTCATCTCCTAAATAGTAATAGTAGTAGTATTTCAGTATTTCCCTCATAGAAATTCTTTGTGGATTATTTATTAAATATTTGATAATAAAGGCTCAATAAATATTAATAAGAAAATGTTTGCTGTTATTATTGTAAGGGTCCAGATATAAAAATCAAAACTGGTTTGTTTAATATCTATTTATGACCACATTCCAAACTTATTCTTCTGAATATGAATATGACTATAACTTAAGGTTATTTGCTAATATTTTACACACTATGTGTTTCCACTTGGGCAATTTTATGTTTCTTAATTTGAAGCTCATCTTCTGATTTTGAGTCCATTGGCAAAAGACTTTTACCTATCATCTGAGCCACCTTCAGAGCTACAAAATAGATGTTTGAAATACATTGAAAAGAAAATACATCTACTCTAAAAACGTAAAACATATTGAGAAATGACATATTCCCTTCTTCATTTTATTAAGCTAGTAATTTCCCATATTAAATTGCATAGCTGAATAACCATCAATTAATCTCTTGTAAGTTGTAACAAAATTAGCACATGTGAACAAGTCAGTGGACTAAATACAAGTTGTCATCCCTCTCCTTTATTCAACTCAAAAACCTCAGGAAAAAAAATTACATAATAACAAATATGGAAAGTTAAGGACAGGGGTCTGAGACCAAGGTAAGTGAGAAGGTGCTAACTCTTAAGGAAAAATCTAGACATTGAAATACTTCAGAAATCTTATGGGTACAGATATGTAATATCATTGATATATTTTTAAATAATTAAGAGTATTTTAAATCATTATATACTCCCACTAATAACATTGAGAAGCAAACTTTTCACAGGCCTATTTCTATCTTTTCCCAATTTTTGTACTAGACTGCTTGTCCTATTTTATATATTAAGCCATTATTTGACACTGTATTGTAGTCACACAAAAGGGGGGACCTGAAAGACAATAGCAAGAAGAAATCCTTCTTGTGAACAGAAATTTGAGGAGTACAACTAAGACTCCACTATACGTGGGACTAGAGATGGTTTGAGATTTAGATTTACATTGATTTGTAGGCAGGAGCTAATGGAATTCGCCAGGTAATCAGTTGAAGACTTGGGGGAAAAAGGTTGAAAAAATGGTGACAGGCATGTCTTGGGGAGTTTTGTCTATGATTTTCCAGAATAGGATGATAGTGTATAAAGTTATCCATCCCCCATGTAAATGTGCATAGGAAGGCATTTACCATAGTGTTAGCTCTCAATTAGAGGGCTATAAATACTAGTCAACCTCATGCCTCAGCTACATTAGTGCTTATTCCATGGACTTAAGTACCAAGAGGCCACGGTGACACTGGCTTTTGAATAAACTTAATGGTATAGGGTTTTTCCTATCAAAAATAATATGGATATTGCCTCTGCTGAGTGCTGAAATTGTCAAAAGCGTAGGCCAAAGTTGAGCCTCCAAGTATAGCATCATTTTCCAGAAGAATTAGCAAAACATCTGGTTGCAGATGGACTACTGTAAATTTTCTATCATACAGAGGCAAGCGAACTGCCTTCAGTGAGTTAGGCATTTATTATAGGCACTGAATCACGTTCTCTGCCGATAGAACTTCTACCAATATTGTGGTTCATAAACTTGAAGAATATCTTTTCGACTGCCATAGTATCCTATACATCATCTCTAACCAGGGGCATGTTTTATGCAACTGATGTGTCATAATGAGTTCATGCCTATAAAATTCACTGGTATCAGCACAAGCCCCCATTACCCACAAGCAGCAAGTCTGATGGAACAGTGAAATGGCTAGGTGAAGTCTTGGTTACTATGACTTCTGATAGAAAACACCCTGAGAGGCTACAGTCTTGATTTACAGGATATCATATATGCTTTAAAATGAAAGCCAATATATGGCCCTATCTATGCCATAGCCTACCAATCTCATATCACATATGCCTTAATAACCCACTTAAAGAACTTTTACTTGATTTCCCAATGACTTTCATTAAGCAAGCTCCATGCAAAAGCATTCTTCCTGGTGCTCAAAGGAAGAATGCTCCCACCAAATATTCATGCTTCCAATAAACTAGAAGCTGAGACTGCCATCTTGGCATTTGGGATCCCATGCCATTAAATAAATCGACACAGAGAAAAAAGTTTCGGTACTGGCTTGATCTCAATAATTGGAAAGAAGTAAGTTTCTCCTAATTAATGGAGGCAAGAAGGACTAATTTTGATCCCTGGGGGTTCACTGGGCTACCTTTAAATACTCCCTTGCTCAAAATACTAGATAAATAGAGGACTGCAGAAATTTAACAAAACCACTAAGGTATCAGCTTTCATAACAATAAAGGTTTGGGTTACCTTACCAGATAAAAAAATATTGTGCAGCCAAGGTGGAGGCAAAGACTAGTGAGAACATGGAGGGGCAATGGAGGAAGGTAGCTATAATTAATTGCCTTCATAACTAGTTATAGAAATGGCAACTGTGGCAATGATTTCTGTCCATTAATTATTTCTTATACCACTACCCCCTTTTATCCTCTGCCACTTTATATAAAGAACATTGATGCTGAACAATGAATGTTGTAGGTTACAAATGGGAGTAAGACCCAGTTGAAATTACTCTGAAATATTATGGATTCTAATAGGGCTTAATGTTTCTTGGGTTGGAGACACATTTTCATCACCTGAATGATAAACAATGTGAGAATATTGAAGGCCAAACAAAGTAAACTGAGAAGACATCTCTTATTTTACCTTCCAGATTTACTCTCCAACTTTCTCCAGTTACTGTATGTTTCAAAGAGTGAACCTCCAAAGAGTGAATCAATGGGCTTGCTTGCTCTCTGGCTTCCAGGTGAATTCAGCCAGTGGAACCATGGCAGGAGATCAGAGGGAGGAAATACAATGAGATCAAGGAATGTATTTCCATGGTTTCTTCCCTGCAGCATCACAGCAGTGGGCATGTACCTTTCCCAGACCTCTTACCTCTTATTACACTACTCTCTCCATAGAGCTCTCTTTTACCTAGGTCTCCAATAACCATTCCTTCTCCTTTCCTCTTCAAGGTTAGGGGTAGTAACATTATCCCACTTTTTCTGCCTCGAGATTATTAAAGTTTTCCTTATGTTTTTGCTGGACACCCCTCCTTTGTAAAGAGTATGTCACTTTATTAAACTCAAATGAAACCCAATTTGTGCTATCTCTTTTCCAACAAGATCATGACTTATATACCCATAACTAGCAGACTGGATAAACAAACAGTAGTGCCTTCATACAGCAATGAAAATAAACAAAATATGGTTACATGTCTTACATTACATTAAATTTTAAAAAGCAAGATGAGAAAGGATATTTAGAGAATTATTTATTCTTAAAATCTTCAAAAATTATATTATAATTACATACTGAAATGGTAAAACTATTAGGTTGAACCACATGAATTTGTCATTTTCTTATAGGTCAAAAATAGTTGAATATTGGCAATTACATATGTTTTGACCAAAATAAGAGGAAACAAGAAAACTGTTATCTTAAAATCAATATAACTATTGCCACTGTGAGGATGGAGGAAATTGTGAGAGATACACTGAAGATTTTATGTGAGAGTAGAACTCTATTTCTTGACCTAAGTGGTGGTTATCCTAGTTTTGCTTCATGCTTATTTGTTAAAATTTACACGTAAGTCTTATGAAATTACCTGTAACATATTTTGTAGTAAACACTGTTTAAAAAGTAAACTTTAAAAAGAATACTTGCTCTCAAATATTTTCATTTTGGTATTTCATTCAATACATATTCAAGTTCTGAACAAGAGATACTTTTGTAGTTCACTATAAAAGAAAGACAAACTATATATTGTTTAACTGGACAAAAATATTTTCTCTAATTTTTGTAACAATCACATGTCCACAGTAAGTTGCACTGACATATTAAAATATAGTACATACTTAAAGCATAAAAATAAAGACAATAGTTCTCCTCAGTGTATACGTGAAAATCTGCTATTTCATAGATATACCTAGTTATTAAACAAATGAATTTATTACTTGATTCTCTTATGGTATACATATTTTAGAAAAAAGTTTAAATTATTAAAATAAGATAAATGACTGACACAAATGGAAGGATGCTATAAGTCACCAGTCCAAAAGAGAGCAATGAAGAGATAAATACCTTTTCTGAGGTAAGGAAGATAAAAAATTTTTTAAACGGACCTTCCAATTTCCAGTCTAACATGTAAAAATCTCAGAAACTGTCACTCCATCCTAACAACAAGTAAAAAGCTGAACAAGTTGAAAAATAACTCTTCTTAGATACTTCATAGAAAAGACGTCACAGGGCAAACTGCTGCCCCCAAAACTGGAGAAACAGGTAAAGATAGGGAATCACAACTTAATGAAGCAGAAACCTTTTTAACCAGGATAAGAAAACCTGAATTGCAATTAGTGAATTGCTGGAACCTCAGTGAGGACACGTCTGAAGGATAAAACCACCAAGGAGGCTCAGTTATAGGGAGTTTCCACACTTTTGTGAGTTTTGCCTCCAGGAGCTGTACCAGGTTCTCACAATGAATAGTGGAGAAAAAAATCCCTTTATGTTCCTAAGAGAGGGAAAGGAAAAAGGAACCACTTCAAAATATGCCAGAGCAGTCTGTTCTTCTTAACAAGGTCTGCTCTCAGGACACGTACTTTTTACCAGAGCCAAACCGACTAGGGTTTTATCAGAGCCTAACAAGCCTACATGAAGGGAAATACCCAACTCCAGCCCCGTCTAGCCATCCTGCCCCACATAAGAAGGGAAAAAACTGAGAAGCACTGGAGAAGTTCATAGTCCAGGGACACAGGATCACCAAAAGATTGAGATCTAACCATAAGATTATAGAAGACTTTTTTTCCCTCATACTTATTCGCCACAAAATTAGAGACCCATTTACTGGAGTTTCTTTTCCTAGTATATCA